>NC_000005.10:174246172-174549202 GCF_000001405.40 Homo sapiens | reverse complement strand
GGCCTGGGATGGGGGTGGGTGGCTAAGACCTTGTCTAAGGCTACAGAGTGAGTTGGTGTCAGAGCTGGGGTGAGATCCAGCTCTCTTGACATAAGCCACTGGGCAAAAATCAGGTGCAAGAAGAAAACTGCAGAAGCCTCAGTTGGGGACTCAGACCTTATATGTTCACCTTCAGCCAACCTTCAGGGTGACCTTCAAGGGTTCCCCCTCAGGTGCCCACATTGATTGTGCCTGCCCCTCTGTGCTACATATTACACGTTTTAACCTGCCAGGTCTGACTTAGGCGCTACATTTTAAAAACCAATCAACAGAGGCTCAAAACAAAGAATACTTGCAAGCTAGGCAGGAATTGAGGTGGGACTCAAATCCAGCTCGGACAGATTCCTATGATACAAGATGCTCCTCATATACCTCTTGCCATGTTTAGGTGGATGGGAGAGTATTATATGAAACTGTGAGCTGCTGTTCCCAACATTATCATCATTTTGGGGGAGTTTTAAATTCCCACTGGACTTCAACTCTGAACACATGCAGAGATCTTCCAGTTGTCTGATTCAGAGGGGAGATTTCCTGGGGTTTTCAGAGGGAAGCCATGAACTCTCATCTATCTAGCTATGTCTAGTTCAGGAGTGGGCAAACATTTTCTGTAAAGAGCCAGATAGTAAATATTTCAGGCTTTGCAGGTCTCTGTTGCTGCCATTACACACCTCTTCTGCTGTAGCATGAACACAGCCACAGAGCAATGCACCCATGGTTGGAAGTGGCTATGTTCTCATAAAACTCTATTTATAAAAAACAATGACATGCTGTAGTTTGCCAACCCCTGCTACAGTTAGTCCTATATCCAGCCAACAGCCTCTTTCTGATTTAGCTTCGATATTTGCCTGAAACACATTTCAACACAGAGGCTGTTTACTTCAGGGGCTGTTATATTTTTGCAGGGGCTGAGGGTGAGGAGAAGGAAGAAGGCGCATAGCCCAATGAGAATCCCAAAAACCCTCTCATAAGGACACGCAAATGTGCAAACAATTTTGCACACAATTCTAGGGGCGTTGTGGACATATAACCTCTCCATTCTTAGGAGCTCCATGAATGCATCTTGGCTTTCTAGAAACTGGAGAGACGGAGACAGCTGGTTGGCATAAGAGCATCGGCCTGAGAATGTCAGAACTGAGGAAGATTTGGTAGTGTGCCAAAGTGCTGGTTATCACAGAGTTTCATCTCAGCACAAAACTGCCCAGCTAAAGGGTACGTTTCTGAACTCTCTTGGGGGATACGTGTGGCTACGTGATCTTGTTTTGCTCAATGGGATAGAGTAGAAGTGACAGGTACCACTTCCAGGCCCTGACCTTAAAGACTGGATATATGCTTCCCTGCCTTCTTTCCCCTGCCACTGACTAGGAGGTGGTAAGAATGGGACAGTCTTCTTGGACCCAAATGTAGAAGCTGCATGCTGGTGATAGAAATGATATCTTACTATCTGAACTGCCTACTTCTGGGCTGTTAGGTAAGAGAGAAAAAAAACTTCACTCTTGGCCGGGCGCGGTGGCTCACGCCTGTAATCCCAGCACTTTGGGAGGCCGAGGCGGGTGGATCACGAGCTCAGGAGATCGAGACCATCCTGGCTAACAAGGTGAAACCCCGTCTCTACTAAAAATACAAAAAATTAGCCGGGCGTGGTGGCGGGCGCCTGTAGTCCCAGCTACTCGGGAGGCTGAGGCAGGAGAATGGCGTGAACCCGGGAAGCGGAGCTTGCAGTGAGCCGAGATTGCGCCACTGCAGTCCGCAGTCCGGCCTGGGCGACAGAGCGAGACTCCGTCTCAAAAAAAAAAAACTTCACTCTTGTTTAAGTCACTGTATTTCTAGATCTCTTTGTTACAACAGCAAAACATGTACTTAGTACTGACTATCTATTTTGCAAGGCCCAGTGCAAAATGCAAATGTGGAGGTTCTTGTTAGAAATGGATTAAGAATTTAAGCCGGGTGCAGTCGCTCACGCCTGTAATACCAGCATTTGGGGAGGCTGAGGCAGGAGGATCACTTGAGGTCAGAAGTTCAAGACCAGCCTGGCCAACATGATGAAACCCTGTCTCTATTAAAAATACAAAAATTAGCTGGGTGTGGTGGCAGGTGCCTGTAATCCCAGCTACTCAGGAGGTGGAGGCAGGAGAATTGCTTGAACCCGGGAGGCAGAGGTTGCAGTGAGCCAAGATTGCGCCATTGCACTCCAACCTGGATGACAGAGTGAGACTCCCTCTCGAAAAAAGAAAGAAAAGAAAAGAAAAAAAAATGATTAAAGAATTTCAAGACAGTGACAGCAGAGTACAAAATCATTTACCCATCTTTCAGCCTTCCAAGGCAGATGGTTCGCTCCCATTTTCTAACACCTGAAATGTAAAGGTCTTGAGTCCAGAGGCTGCAAGGACAGGTTCTGGATAAGGCTGCCTAGGTTCAACACCTGGTTCCATTACTTACCAGGTGTGTGAGCTTGGGCAGACCTCAGCTTCCTCATCTGTAAAATGGCAATAAGAATAAAAGACTCTGTCTCATTGCTTTGGTATGAGGACTAAATAAGGTAGTACAGGCAAATAACTTGGCATTTAGTGAGCACTTTATAAATGTTTGCGTTCATTCTTGATACATAATAAATGGGTAAACTAGATTTTCTAAACTGTTTTAGACATTCATGTGCATCTGTTCTGCTCTCTCCAATCCCTTCTTGTTTCTGTCTAGCCTTTGGTTCCTCTCATTCACCTACTTCTCTTCCCTTGCTGCAATGTTAGACTAGGCAGGTGTTTTTTTGTTATTTTGTTTTTAAATCAGGACAAAATGGTTATACTCAACTGAGCATAATTTATTAAAATAATTGCCTTAATGAATACTAATTATTAAATGTTCATTTAGTTATGTGCTTCCCTTTGCTTGTATATGAACTTCATGTTAGTCATTATGAAACAAGACATGCAGCAAACTGTGTAATTACAGACAAAACATTTAAGACACAAACCAATAAAAATCAAAGGTAGGAGAAAAATGCTTTGAAGAGAGCTGGGGAGTTGTTGGGACTTCCCGTGCCCTGCCAAGAACCTGCGGTGGGAGGCAGGGGCAGGAGGTGGGGTGTGGGGCGATGGCCCTGAGATCTGTGTGCCAGGCCTCTCTATCCAAGACAGAGAGGAAATGAGAAAAGACCAAGGAGCCACCATGTCACATCTTTAAACAAGTGGAAAGAGATGAACTGCAGGCCCACAGAGCCCTCCTTCTCTTGGGGAGGGTATGGAGTACAGGTCGGGGAAGCATCTTCATGGAAGCCAGGCTTACGGTGGGTCCTTGCCTTCTCCATTCTCACAGTTTGCCGAGTGACTGTTAAGGGTTGAATTGTGTCCCCCTGCTAAATTCATATATTGAAGTCCTAATGTCCAGTCCCTTGAAATGTGACCTTATTTGGAGACAGAGTCTTTGCAGAAGTTATCAAGCTAAACTGAGGACATTAGGTTGGGCCCCAATCCCATATGACTGGTGTCCTTATAGAAAATAACACCAGCTGGGCAGCTTAAACAACCGACATTTATTGTCTCACAGTTCTAGAGGGCAGTAGTCAGAGAGCAAGGTATCTGCAGGGTTGGTTCCTTCTGCGGGCTGTGACAGGTCCCCTAGCTCTCTCCCCCAACTTCTGGTAGCTTGTGTCAATCTTTGCTGTTCCTTGGATTGCGGAAGCATCACCTGATCTCTGTCTTTGTCTACACACAGTGTTCTCCCTGTGTGCATGTCTGTGTCCACATTTTCTCTTTTCATGGACATCAGTCATACTAGATTAGAGCCCAACCTAATGTCCTCCATTTAACTTGATTACCTCTGTGAAGCCTTTATCTCCAAATAAAGCCACATTTTGAGATACTAGGGGTTAGGACTCCGAAGTATGAATTTTGGAAAGGACACAATTCAACCTCTAACAGTGACCTTGGGCAAGTATCTTCCTTTCTGTGAGTTCAGCTTTCCTTTCTGTGAGCTCAGTTTACCTATTTGCAAAGTGATACGTTGTGATTAGATAACCTCCAAGGGCTTTTCAGCCCTAAAGTCCTAGGTAGGTGAAACAAATTCCAGCCCCGAGTCACACAGGGGCTAGATACAGCCTCGCCCCAAAGGCTGCAGAAAGAAATGCGAAGACTCCAATTTACAGGAGGCAAATGAAGGTGGAAACTGCCCACTGTGGTAAAACCACACTTCACTAGAGGGGTCTTTGTGCGTTGTTTGTGGGAGGCCCTGATCACTCGACAAATCTCTGTGTCTAAGGACTCTGCCAAGTTCAGCAGAGAGACAGATGACAGGAGCGGAGCTAGCCCATCCAGCCAGAGGAATTGGCAGTGCTGAGACAATCCATGCCACAGATAAAGCCAGAATATATTCTTTCTGTATTGAAAATTTTCCATCTTGCATGGAATTTCATGTAAATTCATCATTCATTCATTCATTCATTCAGGAAAAATGTATTGAACACCTGAATGTCAGGGCCTGCTTTGTATATTGGAGATACAGGAATGAACAGAACATAGTTCCTGTTCACATGGAACTTTCGTTTGCAGGGGTTTGGTGGAGGAGGTGCAGACAACAGACAAACAAGTAAATCATTTCAGATAAGGATGATCGAAGGCAAAGAAGAAAGAAAAGCCATCCAAAGTCAGAGTGCATATGTGTTTACTCTCACCAACTTGTGATGGGCAGAGCCAAGGGACTTTTGCCCTGGCAAGTAGCTTTGCTGGCTTCTGGAAGGCCCCTAAGTAGAGATGCTTCCAGATGTAGAGTCTGAGTAACACGACAGAAGACCACAAGGAAGGAACCTCCACTTCACCAAATGTCTTCCCCTGGGTGTTGTATAAGGAGAAATACCTTTGGAGCCAGATAACTGTGAGCTTCAGTCTTGTATTTATCACTTTCCAGCGGCATGACCTTGAGCCAGTCCTTTCACCTCTTGCAGTCTGTCCTCCCATCGGTAAAATGGGTGAATAATTAGTAGGTTGGTGCAAAAGTAAGTGTAGTTTTTGCCATTACTTTTAAGTGGCAAAAACCGCAATTACTTTCGCACCAGTCTAATACAGTAATGACCTGATTGGGTGGTTATAAGGACTGGATGTGATAATGCCTATGAAACATGCAGGTGATGGAAATTCAATACATTTAGCCACTGTGATGATTAACTCCAGCTGTAGTATGAACAAAAGAGCCCTGGGCTTGGAGTCAGGTGAGCAGGGTTCAAGCATAAGTTTTGTTAGGTCAAAATTGGGAGACTCTGGGGAAGGAGTTCTCTGTGCCTTGGAAAATGCATTCATTCATTCAAATGAGAAAACTTGATCTTAAAAAAGGCATAATAATTTACATTTCCCTGGGTTGTTATGAAGGTTCACAAATCTATACGTAGAAACTTTATTTAAAGGCAAGGCATTTGTAAAATAGCTGTTCTTGTATCACACTAAGCCTCCCTCCTCCTCCCACCACACAGGTTTCCCAAAGCCCTTTATTTCTTTATTTGTCCCCACGTTGGCTTCTCCTTAAGCCATCAGGCAGCAGACCTCCAGAGTCAACATACATCAAGTGATATCTTAAAACAAGGAGGACCAGGGTCCCAGTGAGTAAGAAGAGAAATGGTACATGTGAGCATCTGAGCCTGGGATATTGGAAATATCACACTGACCTTGGAGACAGACACACCCAGAGTGGATCCGGGGTCATCCTTGAGGCTATGTGATCTTGGAAATGGTATGTGGCCCCTCTGAGCCTCCATTTCCTCATCTGGAACACAGAAAACCCAGTTTCCGAATCTTAGCTTCCATTATTGTGCGAATTATAGAAGATAACAAAGGCAGTAATGATGATAGCAACAATCGTAATAACTCCTCATATTTATTGACTGTTTGCACATGGTTCTGTGTGGTTTATGTGCTTTACCCCATTTAATCCTCATAATGACCTTATGAGATGGTAATTATTGTAATCCCGTTTTGCAGGTGAGGAAACAAAGAAGGGACAAAACAGCTGCCAAAGTCACCCAGCTGGGAGTGTCAACGCCTGGGTTGTGGCTGGAGTCTTCTACTCTAGAGCCCACATTTGTAACCATGAGACTGCATTGCCTCTGACAGCACAGTGGTCAAATCACACAACAGCTAGACACAAAGCCTAGTACATTTGAGGTGCATAGAACAGGGTGGTTATGATTGGCATTACCACGGTCAGTGTTCCCAGCCCACAGATGATGTGGTCAGGTGTCTTTTGCCAATACTGCTGAGAGCTGCCTGGGAACAGGTTTGGCCAATGTGCTGATGACCGGCAGCATCCTTGTCTCTATTTGTCCTTAGCAGGCAGCCTTCACTTTTATTTCGAAACAGAGATATTTAAGGCTAAGCTTCTGAGTAGCGGATTTTCTTAGGTGTCCTTTTAAGCTCCTTAGTTTTGGGGTAATCTGTTACACAGCAACCAAGTGGAGGACACCAAGTCTGAAAGGGCATCAGCATGTAGCAAGAGGGAGGCGTCTGAAGCCCGTCAGGCTCCAAAGTCCCCTTCCTACTCCGCTCGAGTCCTTCCCCCAAGAGCAATAACAACTCACTAATAACTCCTCACTAATAACTCCTCACTGTCAATAAATGTGAGGAGTTATTGCTGTTGGTATTTTGATGTGCAAAAAAGCTGAACATCAAGGAACCGTGTGTCCTCGCTGGCGGACCCACGTGTGTGGAACAGGTTGGGATGCGGTGTGATCTCTGTAAGCTCTTTTACCCCACCAGGGAAGATGCTTTTGGGGGAAGGACATGAGCGGAGTAGGGGGGGATTTTGGGGCCAGACAGGCTTCAGATGCCTCCCACTTGCCATACGCTTCTTTTTTTTTTCTTTTCTTTTTCTTTTCTTTCCTTTCTTTCCTTCCTTACCTTCCTTTCCTTTCCTTTCCCTTTCTTTCTCTCTCTTCTTTCTTTCTTTTCTTTCTTTCTTTCTTTTCTTTCTTTCCTTTCTTTGAGATAGAGTCTCGCTCTTTCATTTCTTTCTTTCTTTTTCTTTCTTTCTTTCTTTTTCTTTCTTTTCTTTCTTTCTTTCTTTTCCTTCTTTCCTTTCTTTGAGATAGAGTCTTGCTCTGTCACCAGGCTAGAGTGCAGTGGTACAATCTCAGCTCACTGCAGCCTCCACCTCCCGGGTTCAAGCAATTCTTCTGCCTCAGCCTCACAAGTAGCTGGGATTACAGGTGCGTGCCGCCACACCCAGCTAATTTTTGTATTTTTTTTTTTTTTTTTTTTTTTAGTAGAGATGGGGTTTTGCCATGTTGGCCAGGATGGTCTCAAACTCCTGACCTCAGGTGATCCACCCCCCTCAGCCTCCCAAAGTGTTAGGATTACAGGCATGAGCCACTGCACCCGGCCTACATGCTTATTTTCTTTCAGCCTTGATGTCCTCAACTTATCTATTGCTGTGTAACAAATTACCCCAAAACTTAGTACCTTAAAATGACAGTATCAGTCATCTCACAGTTTCTGTGGGTCAGGAATCCCTCTGCAGTTTAGCCTTGTCCTGCTTCAGGGTTCCTCCCAAGCTGGGATTAAGGTTGTGGACTCACTCATGTGGCTGCTGGCAGGTTCAGTTCCCTAAAGACTGTTGGCTGGAGGCCTCCCTCAGTTGTTCCCTGCCACCTGGGCCCCTCCAGTGTGGTGGCTGGCTTCCTCTGTGCGATCAAGCCAGAGTAAGACTGAAGCCTCACTCTTTTATAACTTATGTCTCAGAAATAACATCTTGTGTCTTTTGGGTTTTGTTGTTGTTGTTTTCTGTGAATTTCTTCTTCTTATGTTGTCCTTTTTTTATGTTAAAAATCGTTTAGGCTGGGCACAGTGGCTCATGCCTGACATGCCAGTATTTTGGGAGGCTGAGGCAGGAGGATTACTTGAGCCCAGGAGTTTGAGGTAAGCCTGGGCAACATAGCAAGACCCCATCTCTACAAAAAAAATTTAAAAATTATCAGGGCGCAGTGTGCATGTCTGTGGTCCCAGCTACTTGGGAGGCTGAGGCAGGAGGATCGCTTGAGCCTGGAAGGTTGAGGCTGCAGTGAGCTATGATCGTGCCACTGTACTTCATCCTGGGTGACAGAACGAGACCCTGTCTCCAAAACAAATAATGTAGTTTAAATCTTTAATTGTAGTAAAATATCACAACAAAAATTCCTATCTTAACCATTGTTAAAGGTATACTTTGGTAGTGTTAAGTACATTCATGTTTTGCAACTGATCTCCAGAACTCTTTTCATTTTGTAAAACTAAAACTCTGTCCTCACTAAACAACAGCTCCCCATTCCCACCTCCCCCCATTCCCGGGCAACTACCCTTCTACTCTCTGTCTCCCTGAATTTGACTACTCCAGGTGCCTCATATACGTGCAGTCATGTAGTATTCATCTTTTTGTGAAGGGCTTATTTCACTGAAGATAATGTCTTCAAGGTTCATCCTTGTTGTAGCATGTATCAGAAATACCTTCCTTCTTAAGGCTAATATTCTATTGTGTGTATATGCCACATTCTGTTTATTCCTTTCATCTTTTCAACACTTGGATTGCTTCCACGTTTTGGCTATTGTGACTGGTGCTGCTGCAAACATGGGTGTACACATATCTCTTCAAGATACTCCTTTTAGTTTTTGGGGGGTATATATGTAGAAGTAGGATTGCCAGATCATACAGTAATTCTATTATTTTGCTTTATGAGAACTGCTACACCGTTTTCCACAGTGGTTTCTCCATTTTACATTTTTACCAACAGTGTACAAGGGTTCCAATTTCTCCACATCCTCACCAACATTTGTTATTTTCTGTGTTTTTTTTTTTTTTTTTCATTATACTTTAAGTTTTAGGGTACATGTGCACATTGTGCAGGTTAGTTACATATGTATACATGTGTCATGCTGGTGCGCTGCACCCACTAACGCGTCATCTAGCATTAGGTATATCTCCCAATGCTATCCCTCCCCCCTCCCCCCACCCCACCACAGTCCCCAGAGTGTGATATTCCCCTTCCTGTGTCCATGTGATCTCATTGTTCAATTCCCACCTATGAGTGAGAATATGCGGTGTTTGGTTTTTTGTTCTTGCGATAGTTTACTGAGAATGATGGTTTCCAATTTCATCCATGTCCCTACAAAGGACATGAACTCTTCATTTTTTATGGCTGCATAGTATTCCGCGGTGTATATGTGCCACATTTTCTTAATCCAGTCTATCATTGTTGGACATTTGGGTTGGTTCCAAGTCTTTGCTATTGTGAATAATGCTGCAATAAACATACGTGTGCATGTGTCTTTATAGCAGCATGATTTATAGTCATTTGGGTATATACCCAGTAATGGGATGGCTGGGTCAAATGGTATTTCTAGTTCTAGATCCCTGAGGAATCGCCACACTGACTTCCACAATGGTTGAACTAGTTTACAGTCCCACCAACAGTGTCAAAGTGTTCCTATTTCTCCACATCCTCTCCAGCACCTGTTGTTTCCTGACTTTTTAATGATTGCCATTCTAACTGGTGTGAGATGATATCTCATAGTGGTTTTGATTTGCATTTCTCTGATGGCCAGTGATGATGAGCATTTTTTCATGTGTTTTTTGGCTGCATAAATGTCTTCTTTTGGGAAGTGTCTGTTCATGTCCTTCGCCCACTTTTTGATGGGGTTGTTTGTTTTTTTCTTGTCAATTTGTTTGAGTTCATTGTAGATTCTGGATATTAGCCCTTTGTCAGATGAGTAGGTTGCAAAAATTTTCTCCCATGTTGTTGTTTTTTTGATAGTAGCCATATTAATGGGTATGAGGTGGTATCTCATTGTGGTTTTGATGTGCATTTCCTTCATGGTTAGTGATGCTGAGTATGTTTTCATGTGCCTACTGACCATTCGTATATCTTCTTTAGAAAAACGGCTATTCAAGTCCTTTGCCCATTTGCATCTTATTTTATTTTACTTATTCATTTTGAGATAGAGTCCTGCTCTGTTGCTCAGGCTGGAGTGCAGTGATGTGATTATAGGTCACTCCAGACTCGACTTCCTGGGCTCAAGTGATCCTCCCACCTCAGCCCCCACAGTAGCTGAGACTGCAGGTGTGTGACACCAGACCTGGCTAATTAACAATTTTTTTTTAATCAAAGATGAGGTCTCCCTATGTTGCCCAGGATGGTCTCAAACTTCTGGGCACAAGTGATCTGCCTGCCTTGACCTCCCAATGTGCTGGAATTACAGATGTGAGCCACCATGCCTGGCTTTGCCCATTTTTAAATTGGATTGTTTTTTTGTTGTTGAATTTAGGGGTTTTTATATATTTTGGATATTAACCCCTTATCAGATATATGATTTGCAAATATCTTCTCCCATTTCATAGGCTGTCTTTTTACTCTGTTGATGTGTCCTTTGATGAACTGAAGTTTTAAATTTTGATGTAGTCCAATTTGTCTAGTTTCACTTTTGTTGTCTTTTGCTTTTGGTTTCATAGCCAAGAAATCATTGCCAAACACAATGTCATGAGGTTTTCTTCCTATATTTTCTTCTAATAGTTTTATACTTTTGTGTCTTACATTTATGTCTTTGATCCATTTTTAGTTAATTTTGTTTATGATGTAAGGTAAGGATCTAACTTTATTACTTTACATGTGGATACTCAGTTTTCCCAGCACCGTTTGTTGAAAAGACTGTGTTTTTCCCCATCAAATAGTCTTGGTGGCCCTGTTGAAGGGTGACCATATATGAGAGGACTCATTTCTGTCTATTCTATCCTATTCCATTGGTCTATATGTCTATCTTTATGCCAGTACCACACTGTTTTGATACTGTAGGTTTGTAACAAGTTTTGAAATCAGGAAATGTGAGACCTCTAACTTTGTCTTTTGTTCATTTCATCTTGGCTATTTTGCATCCCTTGAGATTCCATATGAATTTTGGGTTTTTCTATTCCCGCAAAAAAAACGCCATCTGGCCAGGTGCAGTGGCTCATGCTTGTAATCCCAGCACTTTGGGAGGCTGAGGAGAGTGGATTGCTTGAGCTCAGGAGTTTGAGACCAGACTGGGCAACATGGAGAAACCCTGTCTCTACAAAAAATACAAAAATTAGCCAGGTGTGGTGGTGCACACCTGTTGTCCCAGCTACTTGAGAGGCTGAGGTGGGAGGGTCCTTTGAACTTGAGAGGCAGAGGTTTCAGTGAGCCAAGGTGGGGCCACTGCACTCCAGCCTGGGTGACAGAGTGAGACCCTGACTCAGAAACAACAAAACAACAACAACAACAACGAAAACACCATTGGGGCCGGGCACGGCGGCTCACGCCTGTAATCCCAGCACTTTTGGAGGCCAAGGTGGGCGGGTCACCTAAAGTCAGGAGTTCGAGACCAGCCTGGCCAACTTGGTAAAACCCTGTCTCTACTAAGAATACAAAAAAATTAGCCAGGCGTGGTGGCACACGCCTGTAATCCCAGCTACTTGGGAGGCTGAGGCAGGAGAATTGCTTGAACCCAGGAGGTGGAGGTTTCAGTGAGCTGAGATTTCACCACAGCACTCCAGCCTAGGTGACAGAGTGAGACCTTCTCTCAAAAGAAAAAAAGAAAAAGAAAAAAAAAAACCACCATTGGGATTTTGATAGAGATTGCATTGAATCTGTAGGTGGCTTGGGGGTAGTACTGACATATTAAAAATATTAAGTCTTTCAATGTATAAATATGGAATATATTTATATTTATTGGTGTTGTCTTTAGTTTCTTTCAGCAACGCTTTATAATTTTTTTTTTTTTGAGACGGAGTCTCTCTCTGTTGCCCAGGCTGCAGTGCAGTGGTGACATCTCCGCTCACTGAAACCCTGAGACCTCCACCTTCCAGGTTCAAGTGATTCTCCTGCCTCAGCCTCCCAAGTATCTGGGCTTATAGGTGTGTACCACATCAGCTAATTTTTGTATTTTTAGTAGAGATAGGGTTTCACCATGTTGGCCAGGCTGGTCTCAAACTCCTAACCTCAAGTGATCCACCTGCCTCCCAAAATGCTGGGATTACAGGTATGAACCACCGTGCAGGCCTTATAATTTTTAGTGTCTAAATACTCAAGCATTTTACCTCCTTGGTTAAGTTTATTGTTAGGTATTTTAGTCTTTCTGATGCTATTGTAAATGGAATTGTTTTAATTTCATTTTTGGCTCATTCATTGTTAGTATATAAAAACATAACTGATTTTTGTGTGTTGATTTTTGTATCCTTCAACATTGCAGCATCCATTTATTAATTCTAGGAGTTTTATAAGTTCATGTCATTTGTGAGCAAAGATAATTTTTCTTCTTTCTTTTCAATTTGACTGGCTTTTTTTTCTTTCTTTTTTTTTTTTCCTGAAAATTCTGGCGAGGACTTCTTATACTATGTTGAATACAGGTTGATTCAAAAGTGGACATTTTTGTCTCATTCCTGATCTTAGAGGAAGCTTTCAGCTTTTCACCATGAGTATTATGTTGGTTGTGAGCTTTTCATTTGTGGACTGTCTTATGTTGGGGTAGTTTCATGTATTCCTGGTTTGTTGAGTGTTTTTTCATGAAAGAGTATTAAGTTTTGTTAAATGCATCAATTGGGATAATCTTGTGGATTTTTTCTCATCATTCTATTAATGTGATATATTACATTGACTTTTTTACGTTGAAATATCCTTTTATACTAAGAATAAATCCCACTTTGTCATGGTGCTTAATCCTTTTAATGTGCGGCTGAATTATGTTTGCTAGTATGTTTTCTTCTTTTTTGAGGATTTGTGCATCAAGATTCATTAGAAATATTAGTCTGTAGTTTTCTTTTCTTGTGTCTTTGTCTGGCTCTGATGTTAGGGTAATGCTGGCCTCATAAAGTGTATTTAGAAGTGTTCTCTCCTCTTCAATTTGTTGAGGAGTTTGAGAAAGACTGGTGCTAATTCTTCTTTAAATGTTTGGTAAATTTACCAGTGAAGCCCTCTGGCCCTGGGCTTTTCTTTGTCTGGAGGTTTTTGGTTACTGATTCAGTCTCCTGACATCCCATCACTTTTGCTATATTCTGTTTGTTAAAAGCAGGTAATTAAGTGTAGCCCACATTTAAAGGAAGGGGATTACCAGAAGGAAGGAATAATTAGGGCCATCTTAGAAAGCTGCCTAACAGTCTTTCTCTGTAAAATGGAGCTATTCCCAATCAACTGGTTAAACAAGATGATGAGTAGGGCACCCCACAGGGTGCCTGGTGTCTCAGAGGTACTTGGTAAGTGGTGAGTCTATCTCCCATTTGATTGGTTTCACAATGCAGTCTGGTAGACAAGCCATCAGATTCCATTCTGATAGCCTAGATTTATGGTCAGCGGTAACTGTTTTGCATCCTTGTGTATGATTCACATTTTAACACAAGATTGCAGTTTTCTCAAATCAATACAATTTCAGAGGAATTTCAGCCACACCCTGTGTGTTTGTGTTCTCAGGCTCAAGCAATGAATAGGATAAGCATCCGGGTCATGGTTTTCTGATTGTAATTCTCACGGCAGCTGTCATATTTGACTCCTTCAACCTGGATACGGCCCCTCCTATACCATCCTCAGTATCATGGGCTTCTTCTTACGTGACATTTGTCAAACAGTACTGTATTTGTCCATTTCAGGTCTTTTTTTTTTTTTTTTTTTTTCTCTAGATGGTGAACTGAGTCCAGAAATGATATCTTTTTGTTTTCTGTTTATTCCTGGTGTTCCTGAGTACAAGGTAGGCCCTCATTAAAGATTTGGCACATAAAAAAGGAAAAAGAATGAATGAGTGAATAAATATTGCCCTTGCCACTATATATACCTGTCTCTCCTGCTAGTCCTGAAGGCTCTGATTCAGTCTGCATGCCCAGGGTCCAGCCCAGGGCCTGACTGATTTAGAAGCTCAGTAAATGCCATGGGTTGAAGGAGAGAATGGCAGCTTAGCATCTCCTTACCTCGAGCCCATCAGCTATTGTAACCACTGGACAAAAATAGAAAGACCATTTTAAATTCATTTGAAGGAGCCATATTCTTGAGATGTCATTCCCATAGTGTTCTCACCACGGGAGCAAAATTCCCAAAGCAAGAGACTCCTTCAATCATTTTAATGGAATAAACAGCCAGATGCAGTGGCTCACGCCTGTAATCCCAGCACTTTGGGAGGCCAAGTGCTGTAATCCCAGAACTTTGGGAGGCAAGGAGTTCAAGACCTGACTGAAATAGTGAGATCTTGACTCTACAAAAAATTTAAAGGAAACTTTAGCTGGCATTGCTGTGCACGACTGTAGTTCCAGCTCCTGGAGGCTGAGGATTACTGGAGCCCAGGAGTTTAATATTGCAGTGAGCTAGGATTGTGCCATTTTACTCCAGCCTGGGTGACAGAGGGAGACCCTATCTCCAAATAATTAAATACATAAATAAAAAATAAAACACAGCATTTGCAGTTGGATTCTCCCAGAAGCCAAGTGTGAGACAAGGATTTGAGTATGTCTCAGGAAGCACGGTTGGGAAGTAGAGAAAGGGGCCAGGATACGGAAGGAATCCCGTGCATGTCACACTAATGAACAGGCGGCTGCAGCGGACACCTGAGGCCCAGTCTCACAGAGGATCATGCTAAGCATGCCTCAGCATTGGTCCCCCTAAGTAACATGAAAGCCATGAGATTTACACCAACTCCTGTCATCTTTCTTTGAGGGCTGTGCTCCCTGGTACCCTGGTCTGCCCTCCCTGGTACCCTGGTCTGCCCTGAGGCCAACAGAAACCTTACAGAGAGAGACTCAGGTGCTTGCAAGATGAGGATGTCTATGAATGCTGAGTGCTGAGGGGCTTGGGGAGGGACACTGACAGCATCTGCTGCAAATGTATGAAATTAGCTTTACAAACCTGAACCTGAGACCCAGTTTTGTTCCTTACCAGCAAGGGAAGTCCTATCAAACTTCCCAGCCCTCAGTGAGGCCCCAGCCCCTCTATGAGGCCCTGTTCTGCTCCACTAGGGTTTTTTTCCTCTATGAAGTCATAGGACTTGGGATTATGGACGGCGTTCCTTGTCAAAGTTCAGTTCCTAGAGTTTCCGTGTCCGCTGACTTCCTTCCATTTCCCTGTCCATGTTTCACATCAGTTACTCCAGCTGAGGTTCTGCAGAATTGAGTTCCTCTTTGCAGCTGATCTATGTATGTCTCACCACAAGTATGATTCACACATTGCCCTACTGTGGTGTTTATAGCATTTGATACTTTGATTACTTTGTTCAAAGTGATATCATTTGTTTATAAGCATTTGTTAAATCCTCAGAAATCCCTGCTCTCCTGTCCTCTGGGCTCCTTACCTATGGTCAGAGTTAAGTCTCCTGTTGCTGGGACAACCCAAAGTGACTAAGATGGTCTAATCAGTGAGTCACAGGCCTGTCATATTTCTTAATATAATCAGGGTAAAAGAGAGAAACAAAACGAATGCAAAAGAGTCTTGGCCGAGTTTTGTTAGTAGTAATTGATACTAACTTAGGTATGTGGGGATCGCACTTTGCAGTGTGCCCCATCTACTCCTTGCTGCTCTTTCTTGCACCTCCCACAACATCTTCACCTTTACTACTTTAGGACCAGATAACCACGTCCTAAATGTTCCACGGAATGTGAATGTGTGTATCAGGAAAAAAAAGAAAAGATTCCACAGTCTTTTCCTAGACTAGAAAAAAAGACTTCTAGTCTAGGAAAGGCTAGAATCAGCAAAACACAAAGGTGTCTTTGCTGCTGGACTTCTCAGAGACTTGTACATACCCAAGTGTACTGTGACACTTAGTGAGGAGGATGGAGTGAGCAGCATCTCCTAAGCTATTGTGATGACAGACACCATCTGATAGCTGGAGAAATCTTCTCCAGAACAAAGCTTGGGACATGCTTTCCCGGATCGTGCATTTGCTACAGGAGCGAGACAGACTGACGATTCAGAATGCTACCACCCGCAGGCTGCAAAGTCTTCATGATGACAGCTGCTGACAGAGCTACTTCATGGATTGAATATCAGCTATGAGCTGGGTGCTTTACCATAAGGAAACAGCTTTGCCAGGGAAGACAAAAGTTAAAGCATCTTCAAGGAAAAGGCTTTCTGGTAAGGCATTTGCTAAATCAGGAAAGCTGCTTTACCAAAGGATGGAGGCTGTGTGAGACTCACCCAGGGACCTGCCCTCAGTACCAGGACTGGCTAATTTGCAGGATCCAGTGCAAAATAAACATGTAGGCTCCCGTGTTTTAATGTGACTAAGAATTTCAAGATAATGACAGCAGAGCATCATAGCAAGCACGAGGTTCTCCTAACAACACAGAGGTTGCACCCCGTGAAGCCTACCATATGCAAAAAGTGCCTTCTGTAGGAGCCGCAGCCCTGGACCTCATGGGAACCAATCCGATTGTGCCAAACATCACCTCCTCCTCCCTTCCTTCAGTGTGCTGCTCCCAGACGGGCCTCCTCCCACTCTGCCTCAGCAGGAAGCTGGTTCTGCCGGCTCTCAATGACTCAGCAGCTGATTAAGCAACGTGCTGGGAGATTACCCAGAGGCAGCATGAAATCGTGGCAGGAGATTAGGAGTTCAAATTCCGGCTTTTACTCCTTACCTCTCAACTACGTTGGGCGATTTTATGTCCATTTTCTGTACCTTAGAAAGACCCTTTGGAAAAAGAGGTTGGAAATAATGCCTAGGCTGGAAACTGTGTGGTGCGAGCAGCCAGCAAACACAGTGACAAATGAGTCCGCCTTTTGCAAGTGGGCCAGTTCCTCACAGGTATAGGATTTTTTAATTTCCTCTCTTGGAGACTCTTGGCCACATCTCTCATTTACTTATTTCTCCATTCATTCCTTCAGTATTTGGAGGGTCAGTAAGAATGAACCAAGCAAAGCAGAAGGGGAAATAGCAGTGCAAGACCCCTTGACTGGAAAGAGTGTGCTACACAGAGGGAAGAGCCATCTCCTGGGTCTGGAGGAGCTTGGCTGGTGGAGAAAACAGAAGTTAATGGTAAACAAAGGCCAATGGGTTGTCTGTGGATTCTAATCATCCTTCTATCCCCACTGCACAGCAGCCCAAGTAATTGACGGTTGGCCACAAACCACCTCCAGGAAACTCCAGCCTCCTGGTGCCTTCAACCATCTTCAGCAATTAGGCTCAGCGTGACAGTTGTTTCTGAAATGAGGAGCCGAATGAATGGAATTAATCTCCCTGATTTAAATCCATTAGTGCCTGTGATATACTGGCACAGGCATTTAAGAGCCACTTCACCTCACCCCGTCATGCCCAAAGGGTCACAGGCTGACTCATAGTTAATAGTGGGGAAGACTTTAACGGAGGGGCGGCTTTGAAGAAGCGCAGGGTGTGTTTAGAAGCTTGAAGGTTTAATGCATTTTTAATTAAATGTGCTCTAATAGGATTCAGCACCAACTATCATGTCACTACAGATAGATTCATTATATTTGTTCAGTTAATTATGCGTGCATTATTACCCAAGTGAAAACTTCGATGACCTGGAAAGAAGCTTGACTTTGAGGGACACCCAAGAGTTCTGCTGGCACTTTCAGGATTAGATTAAGCCCTTCCCCACCCTCCAGCCCCTGTGTGTACTCTCACGACCACACATGTAGACACATGTGCACACACCAGCAAAGACACCCAGGCACAGGTGTGCACACACCAGCAAAGACACCCAGGCACAGGTGTGTACACACTCTCTCTGTCTCTGTTTTCTCTATCTCACTTCTATCTCCTTTCAAAAAGAAAGGAGTGGTAGGAGATCTTAAAGTTAGAAAAAAAGCATTACCAGATTGGACTCCATCCTGTTATTAGCTGAATGTCTTCAGATATGGCACTGATGTCTGAGCCTGTGTTCCTTCTCTATAAAATGACAACAATATTATTAATAATGAGTACATCTCCCAGGATTGCTATTGGCGCCAGTGTGATTTTGCCTATGGAGTGCTTTGTGCAATGCCTAGAGCCTTGCATGTGCTTCCTGTCGTTGGTTGTAACAACTCAATCCACCTGTATCCTCTCTGTATACTCACTCCCAATATATGCATCCACCTGTATTCGTTCTGTACACTCATTCCTCCCATGTGCATCCACCTGTATCTAATCCAGACACTCACTCCCCCAATATGCACCCACCTGTATCCAATCCAGACATTCACTGTCCCCCATATGCACCCACCTATATCCAATCCATATGCTCACTCTCCCATATATACCCACCTATATCCAATCCATACACTCACCCTCCCATATGCACCCACCTATATCCAATCCATATGCTCACCCTCCCATATGCACCCACCTATATCCAATCCATACACTCACCCTCCCATGTGCACCCACCTATATCCAGTTCATACGCTCACCTTCCCATATGCACCCACCTGTATCCAATCCATACGCTCACCCTCCCATATGCACCCATCTATATCCAATCCATATGCTCACCCTCCCATATGCACCCACCTATATCCAATCCATATGCTCACCCTCCCATATGCACCCACCTGTATCCAATCCATACACTCACTCCCCCAAATTCACCCACCTGTATCCAGTTCATAAACTCACTCCCCCCATATGCACCCACCTGTATCCAATCCATACACTCACCCTTCCATATGCACCTACCTGTATCCAATCCATACGCTCACCCTCCCATATGCACCCATCTATATCCAATCGATATACTCACCCTCCCATATGCACCCACCTATATCCAATCCACACGCTTACCCTCCCATATACACCCACCTGTATCCAATGCATACACTCACGCCCCCAAATGCACCCACCTGTATCCAATTCTTAAACTCACGCCACCCCCCCCCCGCATATGCACCCACCTGTATCCAATCCATACACTCACTCCCCTCTGTATACACCCACCTGTATCCAATCCATACTCCTCACCATATACACCCACCTATATCCAATCCATACACTCACTGCCCCCATATGCACTCACCGATATCTATTTTGTGCACTCAGGGCACAGGGTTCCTGCTTTATAGCGAGTGTTTGCATGCTGAAGCCTGACCTCATTTACTCATTCAACAAGCATGCACTGAACACTCGGCAATGACTTCCTGAGTACCTACCATGTGCCCAGCTCAGGGTCCTGGGCTTTTAAGTGTTTCTCATGCCTGGTGTCTTTCCTACCACAACCAGGTAAGTACATATTACAAGAGGGAAACTGAGGCTTAGATAATTGATTCAGTGGTGTTTATTGGATTTTTTTTTATGCTAAGTATTATGTCAGAGGTGGAGAATAAAGAGGAAAAAGAAACAAGTGTGGCTCTCGCATCAACGACCTGATCTTGTCACAGGAAGTTTTTGAGAGCTCACAAAAAAGTACTTATGTTTCTGGATCTTTTGTTTTCCCTTGGATCAAATCATGATACACAGATGGAGCTGTGTATCTCACAACGTGGTAGACTGAGCGCCTCACTGCCTGCTTCCCCACAATGTTGCTTCCAAGTTTGGGGAGTGGAGGAGGTGTCTAGGGGGCCAGGAAGGGGATCTGACATATCCAGAGAAGGCTCATGTGGGCATCCTGGATAAGCCTCAAAGGTGGTGCTTCTCAGACTTCCCTGCGCTTATACCTCTTCTGGGGATCTTGTTGAAGCACAGATTCTCTCTCATTCAGTAAGACTGGGGGTGGGGAGGGTATGATGGTCAATTTTGTGTGTCAACTTGGGAGGGGGGGCATGGTACCCAGTTGTTTGGTCAAATGCACAGGCTAAATGTTGCTGTGAGGGTATTTTTTGGGATGAGATGAGCATTTAAATCAGTAGACTCTGAGTAGAACAGACTATTGTCTTCTGTAGTGGGGACGGGCCTCACCCAAGCAGTTGAAGGCCAGAAGAGAAAAGACCAAAGTCTTCCTAACAAGAAGATATTATGGCTCCAGACACACTGCCTTTGTACTCAAGGTGCAACATCAACTGTTCCCTGGGTCTCCAGCTTGCTGACATACCTTGCAGATTTCGAAATTGTCACAACTGCATGAGCCAATTTATTAACAGAGGAATCAATGGATCTCTACCTCTATCTCCATCTCTATCATCCCTATCCCTGTCTCTATCCCATTGGCTCTACTTCTCTGGAGAACCCTGACTAATACAGGGGTTTGAGATTTTGCATTTCCTGCAAGCTCCAGGAGATACCAGTCCTTCTGGTCTATGAGCCAGACTCTGAGTAAAGTCATAGATAAATATCACGTCTGTAAATAGAAAGTCCATCACACAAAAAGCCGGGGCAAGTATTTTTTTTTTTTTTTTTTTTTTTGAGATGGAGTTTTGCTCTTGTTGCCCAGTGGTGCAATCTCGGCTGTCTTCAAACTCTGCCTCCCGGGTTCAGGCAATTCTCCTGCCTCAGCCTCTCGAGTTGCTGGGATTACAGGCGCCCACGACCACGCCCGGCTAATTTTTTGGATTTTTAGTAGAGACAGGGTTTCGCCATATTGGCCAGGCTGGTCTTGAACTCCTGACCTCAGGTGATCCACCCGCCTCGGCCTCCCAAAGTGCTGGGATTATAGGCATAAGCCACTGTGCCCGGCCAGGGGCAAGTCTTAAAGTTGCCCTGAAGACCTTCAGAGTGAGTTTTCGCTGAAGCCATTCCACTGTGTTCTCTCCAGTGATGAATTTCTACCTGATCATTTGAGTCCAGTGGTTTGTCCAAGCTGGTGAGCAACTGGAGTCTCCAAGAGTGTGCCCCCACTACTTTCAAGCTCATGGTTTTCAGTTGTCTAAACACAGCTTTTCTCACACATTCTCAAGTCAAGCAGAGGCAGCAGTATCCAATGCCAAACAGCTGGATGGAAACTGAGAAGAGAAGAAATCAGAGTTGCTGCAAAAGTTTTCCAGCAGCCCAGGTGTCTGGCATCCCACAAACACCCACGCTGGCCTCAGCAACCCCCTGCCTTTCCTGACACCTTTTGAACGCTAGACAAAAACAACGAGAGCAGAATTGGAAGCCATGGCAAATGCAGCAGGGGAAACAGTTGGTCTGCAGTGTGCTTCCTGGCTTGCAGCAGACAGCACGACAGCAGACCAAATGAAAAAGGAGGGGACGAATGGGGAAGAAAAGAGGATGTCATTAACAAATGATCTTTGCCTTCCTCTCCGATAGCTCAGACCACAAGAAAGCTCCCGCAGTCACATTCAGGTGGAAAGTGCCACTTTTCAAACATCCCAAGGCCTTGCCCTGCTGGTAAAAATGGGGTAGAAGAGGCCGGGCGCGGTAGCTCACGCCTGTAATTCTAGCACCTGGGGAGGCTGAGGCAGGTGGATTGCCTGAGCTCAGGAGTTCAAGACCAGCCTGGGCAACATGGTGAAACCCCATGTCTACTAAAATACAAAAGAAATTAGCCGGGCGTGGTGGCATGCGCTTGTAGTCCCAGCTACTCGGGCAGGAGAATTGCTTGAACCTGGGAGGCGGAGGTTGCAATGAGCCGAGATCGCGCCACTGCACTCCAGCCTGGGTGACAGAGCAAGGATCTGTCTTAAAAAAAAGAAAGAAAAGAAAAGAAAAGAAAAACAGAAAAAGAAAATAGGTAGAAGAGTCTGTGATGAGAAATGCATGGGGCCCAGTCCAGTCCTGTTCAATAGAAACATAACATGAGTCACATATGCGAAGTCCAAATTTTTTTCTTTTTATTTTGAGACAGGGTCTATCACCCAGGCTGCAGTGCAGTGACACGATCACAGCTCACTGCAGCCTCAATCTCCCAGACTCAAGCGACCCTCCCGCCTCAGCCTCCCAGATAGCTGGGATAACAGGCATGCACCACCACGCCTGGCTGATTCTTTTATTTTTTGTAGAGACAGGCTCTCACTATGTTGCCCAGGCTGGTCTCGAACTCCCGGGCTCATGTGATCCTCTCGCCTTGACCTCCCAAAATGCTAGAATCACAGGCATGAGCCATGATGCCCAGCTAATTTAAAAAACATTTTTTGTAGAGATGGGGTCTCCCTATGGTGCACAGGCTGGCATTGAAAAGTTTAAATTTTCTACCAGCCGCATTAAAAATGTCAAAAGAAACAGGCAAGTTAATTTTAGTAATGTATTTTATGTAACAGAAAATACCCTAAATATGATTTCATTGTGTCATCAGTACAAATATGTAAAACAAAGATACTTTACGTATATGGTTTTTGTCCAGCTCTTGGAAGTCTGGTGCATTTCCAGCCCATCTCAATTCACACTGGCCACGTTTCAGGCTGGGCGCTACCATATTGGGCAGTGAAATTCTGAGGGGCCTTGGGGAGCAGCATGGTGTGGCCACAGACCATCAAGTTGGTATTTTCCATCTGCCCCAGCCTCCCCTAAAAATAGAAACATGACAAAGAAAAAAAATGAGAAAAAAAAAATCTTTTGAGAACTAAGCATGCCCGGCAAATCCTGCCAGGTGAATGCTCACAGTGAAGTGAATAATCACAGTGATTCTACTCAAGCAAGCACCAAATGGGCAAGCATTCTTTAAATAAACAGAAATTGAGTATATTTCAGGAACCTATGTACCCTGTGGGTCACAGAGAAGGTTAAATAAAAATTTGTTTTAAAAATGTCTCCCAAGGGGCAGTCTCTGTTGCGCTTCTCCTGCCTGTTGTTGGAAGAGGGAGTGGCTCTCAGGGTGGAAGCTGGGGGCTGAGAAGTCAGGTTGAGGTGGACACCGGGGCCTCCAGATGGCCCCAACTGCCATGGCCATTCCCAGCTCTTAGAGTCAAGTATTGACCTCACCTGTGGATCTGCAGGGAGGGTGAAACCGCAACTCAAAGCCACTCTAGGAGACTTTCAGTTTCCGGTGGGGACCTTCCATTGAGTTTCTAGTGGAGACTTCAGCAGATGCTGTGCAAACCTGGAGGGGAACTGTACCCCAGATATCTGAGTATTCTTTCATTTGGTTAGCTGCTCACTCACTCCTTCATGCGTTGATTCACACATTGTCCCAGCTGGGCTCCCTGGGAAGCAGACAGGAGCTTTATTAGGAAGTATCTTGCAATCAACACTAGTGGAAGGGAGAGAAAGGAAGTGGGATTGGGCTTAGGGAGACAAGGAGCTGTGACACAGTCTCAGTGAAGGCCCAGCCATTACTAGGGGAGTTTTAAACATGGGAGGAGCTCCAGAGCTCTCCTGACTGGGCCCAGAAGACCAGGCCTTTATACCTCCATGCTGGTCAATCATCCGATGTGGGCTTTCCTGTGAAGGAGGCTGGACACAGGGCTAGGGGGCTTTCTTCAGCCGAGAGCTGAGGATCTGCAGGCGGCACTGCCAGCCTCTTGGCTAGTAGGTCTTTTATTCCCAAAGGGACATCTGGGTGGCACATTGTAGCATTCACCACATACATCCTTTAATGTAGTCACTCGTTTATGAACTCTTGTCTCTGGGCTCCACTTAATGACTCACTCATTGATTTAATTTATAAATGCATCTCCTTTGCTGAGAACTCTCCAATGGCTTCTCTTGACACTTTGAACCCTTCATGACGTGGGCTCTGGCCCCTCTGAGCACTTGCTGGATAAGACCCTTACCCTCACTCACTGTGTTGCAGTCACCCTGGTTTCTTCCTTTTCTTGGGACACACCAAGCTTTTTCCTGGCTTAGGTACTATTGCACTTATTTTGGTCTCTATCTGACATTCTGCTCCCTTGGGTCTTTGCAAGGCTGGTTCCCTTTTATAATTCAAGTATCAGCTCAGAGCACCCATCAGATGAACTTTGCAAACCACCTCATCTACAGCAATTCACTCTATCACTTCCTACCATCTGTAATCCTCTTCCCTAGTTTATTGGTTTTGTTTTACACAATCTATCACAATCTAAAATTACCTTGTTCATTTACTTATTTGTGCATTTTTTCTCACTCTCCATTAGAATGTAAGCTTCATGAGGACAGGATTTCTATCTAGTGTTTATTCTTATTAGTTACTCAAATATTTGTAAAATGATTAAATGAGTGATTCAGAAATTTATCAATTAACTTCATTCATTCATTTATATATTAACTCTTATTCATGTATTATTCTGTTTATTCATTTACTCAACAAACTTTTTATATGTATATGTGTGTATATGCAGCAAATTTACTGTGAGCTCAATAAAGATATTCTTTTTTTTTTCTTGAGACGGAGTTTCACTCTTTCACCCAGGCTGGAGAGCAATGGTGTGATCTTGGCTCACTGCAACCTCCGCCTCCCAGGTTCAAGCGATTCTCTTGCCTCAGCCTCCAAAGTAGCTGGGATTACAGGCATCTGCCACCACGCCCAGCTAATTTTTATATTTTCTTAGTAGAGATGGGGTTTCACCATATTGGCCAGGCTGGTCTCAAACTCCTGACCTCAAGTGATCCGCCTGCCTCGGCCTCCCAAGTGCTGGGATTACAGGCATGAGCCACCACTCCCGGCTCAATAAAGATATTCTTAGCAACATTATTGCAAACAGCAAAAACACAATTATATAAAAAACAAACTAGAATAACCTTGAGCTTGTCCAACTCTAGGGGATGGCCAAAAAAATGATGGTATGGCATGATAGAAAGTGAAGACCTCTCTACACATGACACTTTGTTATGACTTCATGGCGGTGTAGCAACATGGAACAAGGTCAGTAGGTCCACGAAAAGTGAAAGGAACACAAGTTTGATGAAAAGGCGTGCACACTATTATTGCAGCTATGCCAAATGTGTCTGCTTTGGGGCGAAGATGAGAAGGAAGCAAGCAACAGTAAATAGAGTCACTCTCAGGGAGTGAGATGTGGGAGAGTTTATCTTCCAAGTATTCCTTTGATACTGTTTCCCACTTATCTTTATGATAAGGATGGGATTATATGGCCCCCAAGGCAGGGACAGATCTGTATTTCTGAGACCTGGTAAGAAGTTATATTTATAAATCTCTTCCTGCATGTCTAGTGCTGAACATGCGTTTTTTTCAGTTTAACATTCAGAACAATCCCGTAAGGTAAACGGTATCTTTTATTGTTTTGGTGGATGTGGTAGGCAGAAAATGATCTAAAACCTGTGAATACGTTACCTTACACTGCAAAAGGGACGATGCTGCTGTGGTCAGCTTAAGGATTTTGAGATGAGTTGATGATCTCAGATCTTGGATAGGTCCAGTGTAATCAGAGTCCCTAGAAGAGGCAGACAGGAGGGGCAGAATCGAAGATGTGACAATGGAAGCAGAGGTTGGAGATATGCAGGATTACAAGACGGACAACACAGGCAGCTTCTAGAAGCTGGAAAAGGCAAGAGAACGCATTCTGCCCCACAGCCTCCAGGAGGAATGCTTACCATTTCAGACTCCTGCGCTCCAGAACTCTAAGTGTATAAATGTGTATTGTTTTAAGCCACTAAGTTTGTGATAATTTTTTAATGGCAACAATAGAAAACAAACACAGTTGCTAAATTGAAGCTCAGAAAGATAAAATAACTCATCCAAGGTCAGCGGCACAGTTAGGATTGAGGTCATAAAATCTTAACTCTTCATTGCTCTCCACTGCCACCTGTCTCTGGCCCATAACTGAAGTTGGAATTCTTTGCAATGAATTATCCACAACACTCTAGACATTTGCAGGCACCCAGTTGCTGCCTTAATTCTGGAAGGTTTAATTCTAAGGATTGGGCTGACATACATATGTTTCCTTTCCTTCTTTCTCCATCTTTTCTTCCCTCCTTCCTTCCCTCCTTCCCTCTTCTCTTTTCTTTATTTCCTTCCTTCCTTCCTCCTTTATATTTATTGAGCAGCTGTTATATGCCAGGCTCTGTCCAAGATTCTGAGAATATACTAAAAGTGAGATGGCCAGGTGCCTGTCCTTGGGGACTTCATGCCGAGATTTTGCACAGATTTTGAAAATATTTAGAATTTTGTGGATAATTTATGCTATTGAAGTTCAGCTTCAGCTTTAGGTCGTTATAGAAGTGAGGAGGCATTAAAGATTTAAAATTAGGGTCTCTTTTTCTTCAACCAGGTCCTACTCCTCCAGGAAGATGATGGAGAATGCTGAAACTGTGCTCCAAGGCCACGAGAAGGAAAAGGCCTGGATTTTCTCTTCACTCTCTTTCAGTCCTGCTGCCTCCCAGTTTCTCCAGGGGAGTTTTTGTCTCCCTAGGGCTTAAGGAGGATCCTGGGCTCACGTGCTCAGGATGTTTGAAAGAACCAAAAACAGGAAGGAGAAGAAACAGGCCCTGTTTGTTAGGAAGCAGAAAAACAAAGATGCAGAGTGGTATGGGAAGGAGAACACCTGCCTGAGAGACTGGGGTCTGAATTCCATCTCTGCCTTTCACTCCCCATGTGACCTTGGGCTGGTCCATGTACCACTGTAGACCTCAGTCTTCTCATCTGCCCAATGGGTAGGACAATATTACTTAAGGCTCCTTGTCCCAGTGTTAGGGATAGAAAGGATAAAATACATGTAAAGGAGCCTGTGAAGTGATGAATGACAGATACACATACAGCCTGCAGTGAGGAGTGAGCAAACACAGAAATGTTTATGGCCAGTGGCTGCTGTGCAGATTATGTGGGTAAAGATCACATTGTACCATGAATGGTCAGGAGTATTGTTATGTAGAGCTCTGGTTTTTCATCAGATTGTGCCTACATAGATGTGTATATACACACACACACACACACACACACACTCTGTCTCTCCTCTCTCTCTCACACACACACACACTCTGTCTCTGTCTTTCTTCTCACACACACACACACACTCTGTCTCTCTTTCTTCTCACACACACACACACACTCTGTCTCTCTGTCTTTCTTCTCTCTCTCACACACACACTCTGTCTCTCTTTCTTCTCTCTCACACACACATGCACACACTCTGTCTCTCTTTCTTCTCTCTCTCTCACACACACACACACTCTGTCTCTCTGTCTTCTCTCTCTCTCTCTCACACACACACACACTGTCTGTCTTCTCTCTCTGTCTCTCTCACACACACACTCTGTCTCTCTTTCTTCTCTCTCACACACACACACACACTGTCTTCTTTCTCACACACACACACACACACTCTCTCTGTCTCTCTGTCTTTCTTCTCTCACACACACACACACACACACTCTGTCTCTCTGTCTTCTCTCTCTCTCTCACACACACACACTCTGTCTCTCTGTCTTCTCTCTCTCACACACACACACACTCTGTCTCTCTTTCTTCTCTCTCTCACACACACACACACTCTGTCTTCTCTCTCACATACACACACACACACTCTGTCTCTCTGTCTTTCTTCTCTCACACACACACTCTGTCTCTCTGTCTTCTCTCTCTCTCTCTCTCACACACACACGCTGTCTCTCTTTCTTCTCTCTCTCACACACACACTGTCTCTCTTTCTTCTCTCTCTCTCACACACACACACACACTCTGTCTCTCTGTCTTTCTTCTCTCTCTCACACACACACTGTCTCTCTTTCTTCTCTCTCTCACACACACACACACACTGTCTCTCTGTCTTTCTTCTCTCTCTCACACACATACACTCTCTCTTTCTTCTCTCTCTCTCTCTCTCACACACACACATACACACACACATACTGTGCAATGCAGTAGAAAAAAATTCCCCAGTACAGGGAAGCATGAGACCCAAGTTTTGGTTCTTCTTTCTGGACTTCAGTGTTCCCATCGATAAAATGATCAGTGGTCACCAGCTGAGGGCTATGGGCCCCATCCTGACTGCAGATGTGTTGATTGATCCAAAGTATTGAAAAACAAAGCATTTAAACATTTACCTACATTAAAAAAAATCAGAGACTTTGCCTAGAAAAAAAAATCTTGTTCCTCACTTGAACAAGATTCTTTTGAAATTCCTAAGGTCTAGCAAAACTGGGTTTGCATTTTCCAAGGCTAAATCTGCCTGGCACTAAGTGGCAGCTGTCCCTCTGAAACCGAGTGTATTCTTGCGTGCAAGCCACAGTCCCCACCATTCCCAAACGCTGCACACCCTATGGGCTTCCCTATTCAATGATGCATCTTACTGCCTGGCCCTGCGGTGACTGTGCCTCCATCCGCACATTAGGAGTGTTTCATTTCTCAGCAGCCAGACCTCAGGCACAGTGCTACCCCCAGGGGCAAACAGATACACAGGGAGAGATAAAAATGGCTATGACTCCTGGAGATGAAAAGTGGCAAGTAAATAATACCAGAATAATTCCACTTCCTGCTGTGATAGAGAACAGGACTCCCAGAAGCCGGATCTTGCACAAGCCCTTTCCTCAGTTTCCCCATCTATAAAATAAGGTAGCTGGAACTAGAATCACCAAGGCTTTTTCAGCCCTTGGGTTCTTTGGTTCTCTCTCTCTTACACACATATGTGAAGGTGCACAATGTGCTGTGTTCTTACACACAAACACATTTCTACATCTTGCTGACAATCTCTTTCCATCTATCGGTTGGAAGCCCTGATTCCGCCTCCAATCTCCTGCACTTCTGACATCACTCCCTCTGCAGGCCTCCTTTATGACTAAATCCAGCCATTAAGCTTCAAATGAGTTACCTGCTGGCATTGTGTAAGGGCAGCCAGCAGATTTAGTCACCTAATCGCCTCTCTTATCAGTGTTCTCTCCCAGCGGGCAGACAACAACACGAGATTGTTCAGCAAGTACCACAAGTCCAGCAGGAGAGGGCTCAGATCCCGCCGCGGAGAGCTGGGGGTCAGGGAGAGGCGGGGAGAGGAGGGACTGTCACTTCTCAGTGGGCGGGATCTGAGAAAGGGTCAGCCGAACAAACGTTTGTTCTCATCCGCAGTGGGGTTCTCAGGACTGTAAGAA
Organism: Homo sapiens; assembly: GCF_000001405.40. Taxonomy (NCBI): domain Eukaryota; kingdom Metazoa; phylum Chordata; class Mammalia; order Primates; family Hominidae; genus Homo; species Homo sapiens. Next base: position 174,520,415 of record NC_000005.10, on the reverse strand, counting down.
AGAGATTTCAAAGATCCTTGAAAGGGTTCGAGTGAGGCCGGGTTCTAATCCTGGCCCTTGGTCCCCTGTGATGTAAAACAAGCCCTTCTTGGGTGGGGCCTGCCTGACCGCCCCTCTATAAAATGCATGCTCATTTCTCACTCCAGATGCCCAGGGATTTTTCACAAAGACTAAAAGGGGGCACCCCAAATCATTTCATATTCCACTTTTCCATTTTCTTTTTGGTCCTTGCAGAAAAGGAGTGACTTTTTAAGAGCCTGGGCATATTAAAAAGTGAAGAGATGCCAAATCAGAGTTACAAATACGGTGATAATAATTTACAATGCATGCTAATAGCCAAGAATATTACAGTGTAATCAAGTTGTACTATGCGTAAGAAAAGGAGTAGCTTTCTTTTTGGAAATATGAAGTGTGATCCGGATGGGGGATGCTGAATGAAAACTTTGAAGTGGGCGTCCTCTTCGTATAATCCATGTGACACAGGTGTTGTGTTTGCTGAGGAGTCTAAATTGGAGGCCTTTGGTGGGTGAGCAGTCTGGGCCTTGAGGCCACCCAGGCTTTTCGGGGACAGGCCAGGATGTCACTGCTCTGACCTGGGCACTGATTAAAGTCCCATGAAATGGCTCCCAGGTAACAATGACCCTCACTTTGAAAGTGACTTTGTCAGAACTAGGCTTAAAGTCCTCTATGCTGAGGCCCACGCTGCTCCTCTCACTCCTTTGTTAAAATCCCAGTTCCTCCTGGGAAGGGCTGCAGAAAAGCGACCTTTAGACACTCACCTTTGAGTGTGAATTAGTTAGTTCATCAGCCCCCTTGCAATGTGGCTGTCTGCTGTTCTCTGTGACACAGAAGCACACTGGATGGCAAGACTTGGCTTGGCTTGACTTGGCTGGGTGGGGAAAAGCCACAGGCTCAGGGGCTGCAAGATCTGGAATCACTTCCGCTCTACTGTTAGCCCTAGGACCTTGCTCAAACTTCTTCACTCCACTTTCTCCACAAGCAAAAATGGAAATAAATATATCCCTCAAAGGGTGACAGTCCAATGAGCTATCCTAGGCATTGAGTTTATAAGAATAAATCTCTGGCTGGGTGCAGTGGCTCATGCCTGTAATCCCAGCACTTTGGGAGGCTGGGGCAGGTGGATCACTTGAGGTCAGGAGTTCGAGACCAGCCTGGTCAACATGGCAAAACCGCGTCTCTATTAAAATTACAAAAATTAGCCGGGCGTGGTTGCGGGCACCTGTAATCCCAGCTACTCGGGAGGCTGAGGCAGGATACTTGCTTGAACCCAGGAGGCGGAGGTTGCATGGAGTAAGCTGAGATCTTGCCACTGTACTCCAGCCTGGGCAACAGAGCAAGACTCCATCTCAAAAATAAATAAACAAATAAGTCTTCATTATTTCCCAGCTCTGTCAGGGAAGCAACCAATCAAGAAATAAATGATTCACACTAAATGGTGGCAACTGTGATGAAAATGATGCAATAGGGGATTTGTAGAGAGGGCTATTGGAATGGGGGAATAACTTAATTTCATGGCAAGGAAACATCTCTTTGAAGAAATGAGGTTTGAGCCAAAGGAGAAGAGCAAAGGGCATCCTGCAATGTGTACGGAATGGATGTCGTAGGAAGGCTCTGGGTGGATGCATGGGGTAGGCGGGTGGGGTGAGGAACAGCAAGGCAGCCCTGTCTTAGCGGAGGACATGGCGGTGGGGAAGCAGAGCCCACATGGCGGGGGGGGAGGGGAAGCAGGGCCTCCTGCGTCATGCTCAGGAATGTGCATTTTATTCTAAACAAGCTAGGAAGCTGCTGGAGGGTATTTAATACTGCAAAAGTTTTTTAAATAGATGGAAGTGCTTTGTAAACTTGAAAGCACAAAGAAAAGTACTATTATTAAAAGTACTATTATTATCATATATGTATAACAACTTTCTGTTGCAGTTAAAACTATTACATTGGCAGAGTTCCCTCAGTGAAAACTTGCAGGAGCAGGATCCTGCGGGACTAGATGTGCGAGGGCTTTGGGGCCACCTCTCAGGCCATGAGCTGCTCAAAGGGAGTGGACAGTCTAGAGCCCAGGCACCCAGGACCCCAGACAGCAGGGGTCTCAGGCAGATGTGGCTTCTCCTACGGCCCTTGTTTCCTCACTTTAGTGGGGCTGGAAGGGCAGAGGCACCCGGTGATTGGTGGATGAACACCCCACAGGGTCTTTGCGCTCCCGGGCCATTGCATTGGTGTTGCTTCTGCCAGAGAAACCACCATCTCTTTGCGGGTTCTCACTTGAATTTGATTTTTCTCTGACTTACCCAGACCATGCATTATCATCAGTTTGCAATCAGTTTGCAATTGTTCTTTTTATTTTTGTTTTTATGGTCTAATTAAGGCTGAACTTCCCCACTTGACTGGCAATTCTGAGTCGAGGGCCATGCTTGAATGTGCTTACTTTTGCAGTCAAGCAGGACAGGCTGAATTATGCTACAACCACAAGCAACCTCCCAGTCCCAGTGACTTACAGCAACGAATATTTATTCCTTGCTCAAGCTCCATGCGTCCATCACAGGTGGGCTGGGGAGCTCTGCTCAGGGTAATCAGTCGGGCACCCAGGCTGATGGATCTGCCTCCTTCTTAGGCAGCTTCTCAATGCCATGCTTCAGGGCTCACTACAGGAGGGGTGGAGTGTTGAGACCAGCAATGAACTTCTTTGGAATGGAAGTGACACCTGTCACTTCACCTCACAACTCCTTGGCCAGAACCAGTCACATGGCCATGCCAAACGTCAAAGGCTGGTGGTAGTAAAGTCTTCCACACTTACGTATCTGGAACCCAGTACTGAAGGATGCAATGCATAATTTTGGAAGTGTTGCAAACTGATCTAAGACAATCTGACCATTCACCAATTACAAGTTTCTTTTGGTAAATATCGGGGGGAGATTGGGGAGGTGGGAACTATGTATTTCTCCCTCCACAGCTTCACTACTGGATAGTAGGGTATAAGGAAAATGAGTCACAGATTGAATTTTGCTACATGTACGACATATGTTAGCAAATGGGTGGGGGGAGGATTTCACTTAATAACAAACAGACACAAACAGTTATGAGTGCCTATAAAATAAGTGAAGTCCTAGCTGTCTGTCATGAGAAGTATTTTTCTGGAAAGATTCACTCCACAGTGTATGCAGCATATTCTCATGGCAAATTTAACTGACCTCATAGTACAACCAGGTGGCTGGAAATGCACCAGACAGAGAGGACCTCAGTGTCTGTACAGTCTATCTGCCCCCCTTCAGTTCTTGGGCAACACTCATTTCACCAAAGAAAAATGATCTCCAACATTCTTTATTCTAGATAAGCAACTGGATATTTGAAGACCCTGTGGACATGGATTCCTAATAAAGGTCCTTCGAATTTTCACTACTTCTGGGTGTAGATAAAATTAATTCACATATAATGGAAAGACAAAATGTGGTATATCCATACAACAGAATACTATACAGGAATAAAAATGAATGAATCACAGATACAAGCAACCACATGGATGAACCTCAGAAACAAGACTCTTCAGTGAAAGAGGCCAGACATAAGAGACCAACCACTCCATTCAGATGGGATGTCCAGAAAAATGGAATCTATAGAGACAGAAAGAAAATTGGGGTTACCTGGGATGGGGGTGAGGGATTGCAGTAAATATGCATGAGGGATATTATTGGGGTGATGGAAATGTTCCCAAATTGATTTACTGTGATGGTATGCAACTTTGTAGATGTACTAAAATGTCATTGAATTGTGCACTTGAAACAAGTGAATGATGTGTAAAATGTGCAATACAGTTATTTATAAAATAAAAAATTAACATATATGCATCACACTACTTATAATGCATTTAAAAATAACTTATAGACAATGTAACACAAATAAATAGTTTCTTTCCCAAGGAGGTTTAAACACTTTTATCTGCATTTTGTGCTTTTTCTTTTGAGATCGGGTCACAAACTCCTAGACTCAAGCAATCTTCCCACCTTGGCCTCCCAAAGTGCTGGGATTACAGGGGTGAGTCACTGCGTCCAACCTTCTATATGAGCTTTTAAAGTAATAAATTTATACAATCCCAATACCAGAGAAGCTTTGGGATTTTCCTCAAAAGGCATCTAGACAAATCAGCTAGAAAACACAACTTGTAGCTGAGATTTTATATGTGTTATCTTTTCCTATCTATACATATACAACAGGGAAGGGGGCTTAGGAGGGGGAAAAAAGAAGCCGTGGAAGGCCTTGGATTTTAAGTTTCAAGTCAGTTCTTCAGCCCTGGTTCCTTCAACTGCAAAATGGGGATAATATCGGCTCTTTGTGGGGCGTCAGCATCTGGGCTCATGGCAGACGGTGTTATTGCCCAGGCTCTCTGCAGAAAGGTGTTGGTTATCTATCATGATGGAGTCAGATCCTCAGGAGACCCTCTGGGATGCACTGAGGGGATATAGCAGTGCTCCTCAAGCTGGAGAGCATGCCAAGATGCAGAATTCTGATTGAGGACCTCCTGGGGATGCCAGTGCTGCTAGGCTGTGCCCCTACTTTTAGTTGCAAGGAGAAATAGCAACCTTCATCCAGGAGGACTTTAAACTTCCTGTCAATCTCAACTTCTCAACCACATCTGCTGATGTTCAGAATTGCTTGGGAAGCACAGATGCCTGGCTTTGCCCATAGGCCTACTGAATTAGTATTTCCTGGGTGGGACCATGGAATCTGAGATTTCTCAAAGCTTCTTTGGGGCTGGGAGACACTGGGTAAGAGAATCCTGTAGAGACTAAAGAAATACCTAGGATTTGGAGAGGTCTTTCGAGTCCCCTCTTTGAGTCCCTTCTCTGCCACTGCGTGGCCTCAGTGAGAATATTTTCCCTCTCTGGGACTCAGTTTCCCCATCTTGACAAGGTGGGTTGGAAGAGATGTCCTCCACCTAACTCCTGTCCAGTACTTCTGTTCTGAGGCTCTGTGAGCCCCAGCTTTCCTGGCCTGCTCCCCATTTCCAATTGGCTGTGGCATTTTTTTGACTCAGAGGGGCAGGCCCAGCAGCCAGGAGGCGGGGAGCTGAGGGCGGGGAGCCAGGTTTTCCGCCCCATTGCCACTGGAGCCGGGCGCCCCGCTCAGGCTATTGTACTCATGGGAGGTCTTAGCTGGCAAGGCCGCCAGCCTGACTGCTCAGGCGCCAGGGCTGTTTCATTATTTCATCAAAGTTCATTATGCTGGGGAGGAGACCAGTAATAAAACATGATTACAAGTGTCTCCAATGAGCACTTAAAGACATAATTGGGGGTGTACATTCTGCTGCATCCCTGCTTGTGGTCACATAACGCTAGGAGATTTGCACCTCTGATATATGCCAGTCTTCGTGTTAATTGAAGTGAGAAAAAAAAACACCCAGAGAACTTGATTCAATTTGTCTCTGGACTGAGTTTGTTGTTGTATATGGAGGAATGATGTGCCATTTTTGAAAACACACAATTAATTATGTGTGCAAAAGGCAGGTACAGAGACACAGGAGACAGCGAGGGACTGAATGGCAGCCAAGCATATCAGCTATCAATGGCAAAGCACTTGGGGAGAAACGGCTTTTGTTTCTTTCTTTTTCTTTTCTCTATCCCCTCCCCAGCTCACCTCTCATCTTTGTGAGACAGCAGCTGGCGACGAATGCCGGCAAGGTAAGAGACGATACTTTACATGCCAGAGCTCACACAAAAGGGTCTTCTGCCCTGTCCCAGGTCATTCATCTGAAGGGATTGCCAGGGTGCTGGGGCAGTGTTGTCCTCTGATCCTCTGAGGATAAAGCCTTGATTGACATTGACTAGTGGGTTTGAGTCCAGTTGCTCAGGATGTAGATTGGAGACCTGTGGATTGTTTTTCGTTGTTGTTTTTTTGGCTGAGCACAGGGGACTTTATTGATGGTACATGACAAGGTGGGGCGCCCTAGGCCCCTCCCTCTTCAGGGTGTCTGCATGGAAACTGTGAGGAGGGGTGATTCTTAGTTAGTGTGGTGGGGGACTGAGTGTGGCAGGGACTCCCCAGCAGTGAGGGTCTCTCTCTTCCTCTGGTGCTCTCGCTGGGGCTGGTGGTCAGGGGGTCTTACTCCTTGGCGGCCATGTGGGCCCTGAGGTTCACCACCCTGTTGCTGTAGCCAAATTCATTGTCATACCAGGAAACGAGCTTGACAAAGTGGCCATCGAGGGCAGTGCCAGCCCCAGCATTGAAGGTGGAAGAGTAGGTGTGGGTGTCGCTGTTGAAGTCAGAGGAGACCACCTGGTGCTCGTGTAGCCCAGGATGCCCTTGAGGGGGCGTTGGATGCCTGCTTTACTACCTTCTTGATGTCATTGTATTTGGCAGGTTTTTCCAGATGGCATGTCAGGTCCATGACCAACACATTGGCAGTGAGGACACAGAATCCCATGCCAGTAAGCTTCCTGTTCAGCTCAGGGATGACCTTGCCCACAGCTTTGGCAGTGCCAGTAGAGGCAGGGATGATGTTCTGGAGAGCTCCACGGCCGTTATGCCAGTTTCCCGGAGGGGCCATCCACAATCTTCTGGGTGGCAGTGATAGCATGGACTGTGGTCATGGGTCCTTCCACGATACCAAAGTTGTGGATGACGTTGGCCAGGGGCGCTAAGCAGTTGGTGATGCAGGAGGCATTGCTGACGATCTTGAGGCTGTTGTCATACTTCTCGTGGTTCACATCCATCACGAACATGGGGGCATCAGCAGAGGGGGCAGAGATGATGACCCTTTTGGCTCCTCCCTGCAAGTCAGCCCCAGCCTTCTCCATGGTGGTGAAGATACAAGTGGACTCCGCAATGTACTGAGCACCAGCATCACCCCATTTGATTTTGGAGGGATCTCGCCCTGGAAGACGGTGATGGGATTTCCACTGGCGACAAGCTTCCTGTTCTCAGCCTTGACGGTGCCACAGAATTTGCCATGGGTGGAATCATACTGGAACATGTAGACCATGTTGTTGAGGTCAACGAAGGGGTCATTGATGGTGACAATATCCACTTTACCAGAGTTAAAAGCAGGCTTGGTTACCAGGTGTTCAATACGACCAAATCCATTGACTCCAGCCTTCACCTTCACCGTGGTGTCTCAGGGATGCGGCTGGTGATGCATGAGAAGATGTGGCTGTCTGTCGAACGGGAGGAGCAGAGAACTCCTGTGGATTGTTCTTGTGGGTGTATATTGGGTAGAATTTTCCTGGGCAGTGGCTGTGTGAGCCCAGACAGGCCATATCTCTTTCTGGGTCTCAGTGCTGCAGGTAAGACCATGCCCAGGCTCCAGCCCTGGAAAGCACGGGGCATGGCCCAGGCAAGGGGGTGAGGCTGCGTGTCAGCCCTGGGTTCAGCCCTGACTCCCCTGGTGCCTGGAGGTCAGGCCCTTCCCCTCTGTGGGCCATGTAAAATCCCCACACTTACTGCATTTCTCATCAAATGGAAAGGTTGGGCTAGACAGTGCCACTCAAATTTGCCTAATTTTAAGACTCATCTGAGAAATCTGTTAAAAACTGATTTTTCCAGCATCACACCAAGGATGTCAGGTTAAAATCTCCTGGGAGAGGCCATGGAATTAGCACTCAATAAATCTTCCAGGTGATACATGGCAGTCTTAACAATCTTTTAGATGTGAGACATTCATATCATAGATCTTTGACAGAGTATACATGAGTGATAATAAAGCATTTCCATCCACTTTGCCCCCCACCACCAGCCTCTTGGTTCCCATCCCCAATTACAAAATTAGTGGCTCTCTGTGTGTGTACTTGTGTGTGTGTGTGTGTGTGTGTGTCTGTGTGTGTATTCTTCCAGTGAAATCTGTGATACACAGGCCAGTATTTATATACGTATATATTTTTTACCCTCTCCTCTTTTTTTATGTTAATAATACCTACTATGTATACTGTTCTGTGTTTTGCCTTTTCTTTTATTCAATACATCTTGGAGATCTTTTCATATCAGTTAATAAAGGCAGTAATGGGCTAGAGTCAACAGAGATGAATCTTTTCTCAAGTTCAAGTTCAGTGACCTCATGTTGGTTGCTTGAAGTTGACCATGGTGGAAGTATCTAAACCACAAGCAAATGCTGCAGTCAGAGTGAACCCCACCCCAGCCTCCCCAGCTAGAGAACTGGATGTTAAACATTTGCCAGCACACCACTAGATAAAGTGCTCTCTTTTATTTCATTTTATTGTATTCTATTTCATTTCATGTTTGTAGCAAGAATACTTACCAAGAGATTTACCCTCTTCACATTTTTTAATGGCTGTGTAGTAATCTATTGTATAGATGAACAATAGTGTATTTAATCAATCCCCTGTTGATGGACATTTACGTTGTTTCTGATCCTCTGCCAATGCAAACAATGCTGAAAGAAGCAATTTTGTACCTACATCTCTTCACATGTGTACATGATTAAGAAACATTCCTAGAAGTGGCCTGACTGGGTCAAAAGCCTGTGCCTTTGTTGTTTTGAGTGGTATTGCCACATTGCTTCTGAGAGGCGGGAACCATGCCCATTCCACAGCAACAGATGAGACGCACCGCTGCTCTCACACCCTCCACGTTATCAACTTTTAGCTATCTCCACCAAGCTAATGTGCATTTCCTCATGATGATGAGACTGAGCATTTTCCCCATATTTAAGAGCAATTTGTAACCCCTTTTCTGTGTGACTCAGTGATTCTTCTGATTAGGAAAGTTTGGAAAAGTCAGACTAACCTAATCTTGTTTTTTTCCCCCTAACAAATGGGAACCCTAAGGCCTTGAGAGGCGTAAGGAGTTAATCAAGACCCCCCTCGCCCATGAGTGATGGCAGAGAAAGGATTAAAACTGGGAGCTGTGGCTCCTTAAAATCAAACAGGGTGCCAGGTAAGCAAGTCAACCATCCAATGAATCTGTAGTTAAAAATTCCGTCAAGTGTTACAAAATGAACTACAGTGGTGGCCCACAGGCTAGATGTGGCCTGCAGACATTGTTTATTTTAGCTTCTTTTCTTTTTTAAATTTTAATTTAAAATAGTTGACAAATTTAAAATAAGAAGATTTGACACTTTTTTTTTTTTTTTTTAAGACAGGGTCTTACTCTCTTGCCCAGGCTGGAGTGCAGTGGTACGATCTCGGCTCACTGCAACCTCCACCTCCCAGGCTCAAGCAATCCTTCCAGCTCAGCCTCCCAAGTAGCTGGGACCACAGGTGCACACACCACTACGTCTGGATAATTTTTGGTGTTGTTAGTAGAGACAGGGTTTTGCCATGTTGCTCAGGCTGGTCCCAAACTCCTGAGCTCAAGCAATCCACCCGCTTCGGCCTCCCATAGTGCTGGGATTACAGGCATGAGCCACCATGCCCGGCCCATAAAAAATCCTTACTTCTGGTTTCTCTTGCGGGAAAAATAAACACAAGAAGCTGTAGCGCTACTGGACTGAATACTCCAGCGGCAGCAACCATCTGGGTGTGGGTAGCAGCTGCCTCCCTGGACAGACACACGAGCTCCGGTTCACTGCACTTCTCACCACTCTGTAGTGACCCTCAATAAGCTGTGCAGCCACTACTTGTCCTCTGTCATGAGGTATCACACTTGTGTTATAACAAAGAGGGAAGTGAAATATTTCTTGTATCTACTGCCTATCAAAATAGGATGACAAAACCTAGACCTAGAAGGTTGTATCTTTAAAGACAAATCTCAGGGGTGTTTTTTTAAGCAAAGAGCATTCCTATGTGTTTAACATGTAGAAATGAATGAATGAATGAATAAATGAATGAATGAAGCAAGTATCTGTATAGATGACAACATACAGAATATGAAATTCACTATGGTAAGAACCCATCAGCTTCCATCATTAATATTGTCTGCCTGATCTTGGAAGTATTTGGTTTTGGGGAGTTTTCATACCCTGGTCTCAAAAACCAGCAAGGGTCTTTCACAGAGGTCATTCTAGAATTTCTTTATAGGAGGGTTTTAGAAATGACCAGCTGACTGGGAGTGGGGGTTGGAGGAATTGTCTTATACTTATTATGTAAGCATGCTGATTTTACCTGGATTTTCTTTTTATCAAGGACGGCTTGGGGAAGATGTTGGAGATGGGGAAGGGGAATACCTTAAGGCTCTTGAGGCAACTTATCATTTTTTTTGTGTCTCCATCTCTGATACCTGTGAACCTGTCTTTGGCCAGGATCTTGCACAGAGAAATATCCATGGACTTGAGACATCAGAAGCTGTTGTCCCAATAGTCCAGAGTGTGATTCAGATGCTCCCTGGTCTCTCTGGCCTTGCTCTGAGCTCTTTGGCAACGTGTGGGACCTCCGTTCATCTCACCTCCTAAGCTGGGATGAGGCTTAACACCGCAGGGCTCAGCCAGGCTTCCCAGGGCTGATCATGGGCATGACGGTGGTTAGCCAGCATCCGGGACCCTTTTTCTGCACACAGAAAATGTTCGGTGGCTCAAAGGAAAATGAGAGGATGCTGTGTCCAGGTGGGCTGGGTTAAACCATGTGCTTGGGGCAAATAAGGGGTACCACTCAAAACATTTGAATCAAACCTGCATGACTAAAAGAGGGTGGTGAAAAAAGCCAAGAAGATTAGAAATGTCTTTTGAGGGAAATTGTAGAAATTCTTATATCTAAAGGGAGGAGAGCCCCGCTCAGAGGCCTCCCATGGCTCACGCATGACTTGATGGTCATTCAGCTAGATGTCCAGTGGATGTCTGGATGGGGGTGCAGAACTGCCCTCCCTCCTTGCTCAAGGCTGCCCCAGCCCCCATCACCCACAGACTGATTGCATCACACTCTCTGTAACCTGTATTCTCTCTCCAGGTAGCCCAGCAGTGGGGGCACTTAGAGAAGGGCAGGATGCCTTTGCTTATGCTAGGCAGGCCAAGGGAGCTCCAGGTGGCAGTGGGATGAAGTAGGAAGGGCCATGAAGAAACTTCCGGGAGAGGCAAATGTTCTATATCGTGGAGGGGTCTGGGCTTATCAGCGTTTGCATTCATCAGCACTCATAGGATGGTAACACTTAAGATTGTGCAATTCACTATATATAAATCTCATCTCAAGAAAAGAAACTAAGCAAATGTTGAGCTCTAATGAATGACACAGATGGACACATGCAAGCAGAAGTGTTGCAAGGTAAAGTATACTGATGTTAATGACTTTGAAATGCATCAAAAAGAATATGAGCGAACGGAGAGATGGGAAGATAATCAGGTAAGTAATAAAACAAGTAGAGTAAAATGTTAATGGTAGAATCTAGGTATTTGGTGTTCACTGCACAATTCTTTCAACTTTTCTGTATGCTCAACATTTTTCATAATGCTGGGAAGAATTGCGAATTAGGAATCCAGTGCTAAGACAATAGGGAGTAGTGGGGACTGCAGTGAACTCGGGGGCATAGGTCTCTCCTACTTGGCTGTAATTGTTAATTGGCTTGTGATTGCAGGTTTGGTGTTGCCAGATATTCTCATTTTTACATGACGTTTAAATGTAAACATTTACATTTTTCTGATGTTTAAATGACAAGAAACAATTTATGCCAATGGTCAAGTGAAACATTTGCAGGTGCACTCCAGTGTGTTACTTCTGCCACAAAGCAAAGCTGATTCAGAGCACGTGTTTTGTGATCAGACTGTCTTCTGGTCCTGGCACCCATTCCCTCTGGCAGTGAGGCCTTGGGCAGGCGTCTCACCTCTTGGTGCCTCTTTTTTTCATCTGTAAAACGGAGCTAAAAATGGAGCCTATATCAGTAGGCTAAAGTGAATCTTAAATGTGATAATACTAGCTTAGCATAGTATCTGGCATACAATAGGCATTTAATATAACTGTTGTTGCATCACTGGTTACTGGCTTTCTGGAAATATGCACCAGGAAGTTTCTTCAAGACCCTTCCCAGTCTATCCCACTCCCAGCCCCCTGCTTTGCTTTTTAATGTTACCAGCCTACAGTCATTTGATTTTTGGGGTCATGGCATATGGCAAAGAAAGAAAGGGCAGAGAGAGAAAACAGCCTCACTACTGGATAGAGGAGGTAAAGGAACCCAGGTCAACCTTCCTTGCCTCATGGACCAACTCTTCCCAATGGGAGCCAGTTTCTGGCCCTCCGGATGCATTCTGCACTGCTCCCTGATACCCAAGGACGCCACCACACCCCTTTCACAGCATACCTTTGCTTGTGCTCTACCTTTTATCTGGGATGCTCCTCCACCTGGCCAACTCCTACCCCTTTCTAGAGTTAATTCAAATTGCATTCTGGCATGGTGAGCAAATGGTAAACCTGGCCTGCAAGCAACATGTAATCAATGTTCTCAATTAATGAGGTAATGGATGATCGGATGAAGTTTTTGTTTGTTTGTTTGTTTTGTTTGTTTTGTTTTTTGTCTTGGCACCTAATTCAGTGTTTGGCACATAGTAGGTAGATGAGAAATTAGTGTAAGGTAGATATACACCTGTAATCTCTGTGACCTGTGACAGATTTATTATAGTGGAAAAATGTATTTGCTTTCTTTGTTATCAAATTCATGATTCCTAGAATCACATAAAGATGTAGAATTGAACACGAGTCAAAAGATCTGACTCTAAGGTTTGACTCTTCCCTTCTCTCTGTGATCTTGGGCAAGCCACCTAATCTCCCCAAGCTCTTGGTTTTCCTCTTCTGCAAATTAGAGACAAATTCTAAGTGAGGTAACTCAAGAATAGAAAACCAAACATCATATGTTCTCACTCATAAGTGGGAACTAAGCTATGAGGATGCAAAGGCTTAAGAATAACACAGTGGACTCTAGGGACTCAGGGGGAAAGGGTGGGAAGGGGGTGAGGGGTAAAAGACCACAAATAAGTTGTGGTGTATACTGCCCAGGTGATGGGTACACCAAAATTTCACAAATCACCACCAAAGAACTTACTCATGTAACCAATACCACCTGTTCCCCGATAACCCATGGAAATAAAAAGTAAAATAAAAGGGGGAAAAATAAGACCTCAAGGAATTGTAATAACCGGCAAAAGAACATAGGCAAGGAGTGGAAAAGCTGATAAAGTCACTTGCCCACGATCTCTTTTTCCCTCCAGAAAACATAACATTCAAGGCAGTACCGCTTTATCATAGCAGCGACTTTAGTCTCAGTTGCATGAACTTAAAACTGGAATAAGATGATGTGGATTTGGAGCCTGGCTCAGCTGTGAACCCTGGGCCTGTCCCTTAACTTTCATAAGCTTCAACTTCCTTATTAGCAAATGAGGCATAATAGTTCTTTTTTTGTAGAGGTCACACAAATTAGATAAGATAATGTGTCTGAAAGCACAGTGTGAACTGAAGAGGACTGTGTAGCTCGAAGGGTTTATTATATTAGTGATGTGCTCCCCTTCGTTGCCCTGCCTTAGGTCCAGCCACCATTGTTTTTTTTGGTTTGTTTGTTTGTTTGTTTTTGACAGAGTCTTGCTCTGTTGCCTAGGCTGGAATGCAATGGCATGATCTCGGCTCACTGCAACCTCTGCCTCCCGGGTTAAAGCAATTCTCCTGCCTCAGCCTTCTGAGTAGCTGGGATTATAGGCGCCTGCCACCATGCCCAACTAATTTTTATACTTTTAGTAGAGATGGGGTTTCACCATGTTGGTCAGGTTGGTCTCGAACTCCTGACCTCAGATGATCCACCCACCTTGGCCTCCCAAAGGCTGGGATTACAGGCGTGAGCCACCGCTCCCAGCCACCATTGTTCTTATCTGGATTCTTGCAACAGCCTCTTTCTGTTCTTTTTCTACTTCCACTTTTGTCCCTTTCCAATTCAATTTCTCCATTTCAGCCAAAAGGGTCTAATCACATCACCTTCTTCAGAAGGCTCTGTGGCCTTCTGGAAAGGCTATCCTATCTGGACCTGCCTCCCTTGCCTGCCTGGTCCTTACTGACCCCCTCTGCACCCCAGCTTCCCTCTTGCTGTGTGACAGGCCTGACCTCAGTTGCTTTAGACCTTGTGCATGTGCTTCTGTTTGCCTTCAACACTCCCCCCTCCCTCCCTGTGGGCAAGGACTGCGTCCTGTGACTGTATCCCCCAGAGCCTAGCACTGGGTCTGGCAGGTAGTAAACACAAAGAAACGTTCATTCAGTGAATGAACCTAATCCTTAAGGAGCATTCACACGATGGCAGGCTCAGGGCTCAGGGCAGTAAGATGCTTTATCTCATGCATAGATATTTCTACTGTCATAATAACTCTTTTTATTACAAGATTACAGTAAGTAAATACATAAATAAATAATTTTTGGCCCTAAAGGGAACAAGGCCTTTTGCATTTCATATTCTAGAAGGTCTACATGTCCATAATACTTTCCTTGTTGCTGGAGAAAATTTTATGATTTAAAAAATAGTTTGTTGCCTTTTTATGACCATAAGCATGAATACATCCACTGTCCTTCATTTTCCTCTTGGGGAGAAGAGATGGGCTGTGCCTCAGATCTAATGTATCTCTGTCCATCCAATACCATAATCCTACCAGCAATCTACTGGGAACCCATAAAAACTTAACATAAGGGGAAAGCCTCAGAACCCTGTTGATTGATTCAGCGGAAGTGGCTTCCAATTTCACTGCTTCTCTCCCCAGCCGGGTGACTTATAAGACTCTTTGTACCTGGACGACTTCCAAGTTTATCATGTGAGTGTTTTAGTAGGTCAATGAGATCATTTTCGAAACTTTCTTCCTATTCTTTCCATGATCATCCCACAGCACCTCACTCTGACACAAGCCCATCTAACACACCTTGGGGGAGGAAGAGTTGGTATCTGTGAACTTAAAGCAACATTAGACTTGCACATGAATCCCAATGCCACCATTTACTGCCTGTGTGAACTTGAGCAAGTGATTTTATCTCTCTGTGCCTCACTTTCCTCACCTATAAAACAGAATAAATTTTGACCCTTGGGGTTGCTGTGAGAGTTGGGTGGATCAAAGGTGCCAAGTATCTAACATCACCCCAGAGGCAGATCTCAGGTATCAGGCACCAGGTACCGGTACCAGGGACATGTGCTCAGGTGCTTTCATGCACCTTATGACTTCTGGCAAGGATAGGGAGAGGGTTTCGCCCAAGGGCCAACTCTGATGGGGTGACGAGTCTACATTCTGTCAAGTTTTCTGGGACCACATTTGGTCTCATGAGGAAGAAGGAGCATGATCTCTCTGTCAAGGTGGACGGGAGGATGAGTAGTGGTTGCTGAGTCCACACCAGCCCTGATTTTTCAAAATGTCACCCTTTGGAGACCTTTAAACACCTTGAGAGAAAGCATTTCTCTCCCCCGCATTTGAATTCCCTTCAAAGTCTGGGAGGAATGAGGGCCACTGCTTAGGAAAATGAATGTTCCTTAATCAAGATCAGAGGAGCAAAGCGGGTTAAGTGGTGGTCAGAGAGACTGGATACTAGGAGAGCTCGAGGCATCACCGTTAGGGCCAGCGTGGAAGCTGACTGAGCCCAGATGAATGCATCTGCTGGCTGAGGCACGTGCATGGTGGAGGTGGCTTTGCATGAGTCTTATAGGCACTGCCTCCATGGTCACTGTGTCCCACCTGGTGCAGAGTGGGGCCTGGGAGGGTCTGTTGCTTGGTGGGCCTTCCTGGAGATGAGGAGATAAGGAACACTTTGAAGGAGGGTGAAGACATTGAGTAAAACTAAACCTTTATTACAATTTTCTTTCCATCTTGAGTTGAGCAAATACTTGGGAGCTTTTTCTACTACTATTTTCCTGTGAGATTATGAACTACAAATTCAGAGGGATGGAAGTGAAATGTTTCTGATTCATTTACAGTTGGGTCAGCAAAATGGGCATTGGTTGGGAGGAGACCGCCCAGGAAGTTATGTAAGCTTCCTCCCGGAACCAGGAATCCTCATTCCAGCCAAGCTTAACAAAATCACCAGGGTCCGTCCGCGCTTCGATTCTAAAGATAGAGCAGGAATGGGGGTTGGGGGATTCCCTTCCCTCCCCATCATTTTTCTGGTCTTAATTACACAAATCGCATCCCTACCTCCCTGCACTCCGGAAACAAATTTTAATTCACAGTAACCGAAGGAGGACCACAATCTATATTCCAATGTGCCTTATCTCAGTAATTTCAGAAGTGAAGTGAAAAAAACAGAGATTCAGAACAACTATTTGCCTAGTAAACGGCAGCCACCACCCCCTTCATTTCCTGCAAAGAAAGCTCTGTTGCAAGCTAATCCATGCTGGCTCCACGCAGAAAACATTATCATTTTTATCGGCCTCATAAATCGCCTTTCCAGATTACACAAAAATATACATTGCCCCACTGTAATTATTCCAGACCCCCCCCTTCTCCCTTTTCATTTTGATCCCAGGTAAACCCAGTCATTACCCACATCAGTGTGGCTTCCCAAAACGTCAAGATTAAAACGGACCAGGGAGACTTACGCAAGACTGAGTCAGCCGAGCAATTTGAACCAATAAATATCAAAGTCGTGTCTAAGCAGAGAACAATTCATTTGATACCACATCTGTCAACAGGACCATGGAGGATTTTCCTTCCTGGGGCCGCGCCCTGGTGGCCCAGCTTGCCTTCTTCCTGGTGCTGTAGAGAAGCTGGGTTTGGTCTCGCTGGAGGACTGTGTCCCGTGCCCAGGACAGGACTTGGTGCCCAGACCAGGGGGGTTTAGAGGTTGAGCTGCCTGCCCTCCAGCCACTATCAAAATGCCCTGCTCCAATGCCTCAGCTGGGCAAGCGCACTCTGCAATTAGCAATTCTTTTTTATTGGTTGATGTGGGCTTCTGGCCAAGAGGAGTTGGGATTGAATCAATATTCCCTTTATTATGTCATCGCGGGCAAAAGAATTATGAAAACAAAAGCTCAATATGAAGCTGCCAATGCTAATTACTGGGTAGGATGCAGAGGCACAATAAACAAAGGGTACTCTGTCCGGGTGGGAAGAGTGAGAGCTGCCTCCTTGCTAGGTCTGGGGGCTGCAAGGCCCATCTTCCCCTGTCCCCTCAAGCCCTAGGCTCCAAGAGGGAAGTTGAAAAGGATCTAGCTTGGTCTCCATGGGTCCAGAAATCTTGGAATGCCAGTATTTAAACCAACACAACCCAATTTAAAGAAGCATTTATTGAGCACCTACTGGATACCAGGCATTGCATTTTCCACATACTGCCACCATCATTATTTATTGCTGTCTCCAGAGTCTGGTGGTAAAGAGGGTATGGCTTTAGAAACAGACACACCTGTCTTTGGATCTCAGCTCAGATGGTATTTACTATGGAAACTTGGCCTCTCTGAGCCTCAGTTTCCTCATCTGTAAAATGAAAATAATAATATGCATGTCACAGAGCCCCAGGAGAATTAACTGAGAAAATATGTGCCAAATGGTTGGCACGAAGTAGTCAATAAATGTCAGTGATTCTTCCTGTCCTCTTCTTCTTCTTCCTTCTCATCTTCCTCCTTTTCCTTATCCAACTTCTTCTCCTCCTTCTTCTTCATCTTATAATCATCATCATCATTCAGTGAGCTTCCCTAGTACCCAGAGCAGGGCTCACTTGCACATTGTTAATTGATTTTATGAATGAGTGAATGAGAGGAAAGAAGAAAGGAGATCAGGCTTGGCAATGTGGAGTGATACAAGATAATTTACATCAGTCTTGGACCCCAGAGCTGACAGCTTAATGAGGAGACAGACATATGTCAAGTTAACTGTCACAGAACGTGAGGAAAGGACATACCATCTTGTAATGGTGAACACCCACCTCTGTCCACCTCCCTGCTCTGTCTCAGAGAACCAAGTTGGAAGAATCAAACATGTCCTTTGTGAGAATGTCCTTGCTTTCTCCTTGAGTGGAGGAATAAAGTGGCATCTGCAAGCCCAGTTTTGCTCTTCCCATCAAGTCATGGGTGGTAGGAGGTGGGCTGGTCAGGGGCGCATGTGGTAGGGGAGGGTGGAGTGGGGTGGGAATAGACAGCCTCCAGCCTCCAAAGCCCATGATCTTTTTGTGTCTCCCCAGAAGCCTCTAGGGTTCACTCCCATGCTTGGCACTGCCCTGGGTCCAGCAATGAGTGCCAGGTCAGTCTTTGCTAAATGAAGAACAGTAGTGGTAATAACCAATTTTTATGCCATGAGTAACAGCTTTCAAATAATTTCCCTTTCACAGGGTCACAGGAAGAGCGTCTGTTGTGGGAATTATTATATGATCATCTCACTTTTTAAGGAAAAACTGAGGCTCCATGAGGGGAAGCGAAGAGACAGTTTTCACACAACTACTCAGGGCCACTCACTAGGTCTAGAGCCTTTCCCATCACTCCAGGCCTTCTGGAATAAAGAGGGGAGCCAGCCCTCCACCTTCTGCTTATGGGATGACTCCAGACATGTGCCAGATCCCGCGTCCCTGGCTTTTTTAGGAAGGTGAGTGCTCCCTAGCTGAGTTTTGTGGGACTCTTTTCCTCACAGGCAGATGATTCGGTCTTAGTTACTAGTTAATTGGAGGCAAAGAGCTTTGACTTCCCTTTCACATCCTGGCATTGTGTGGCTCCCAGCCATGGGATTAGGTAAGTCTCTCTGAATCCCAGATTGGAAACATTCCCATGATAAAGGGCTTCTGAAGGTGATGGAATCAGACCGTGGGAGAATCACACTTCCAAAAATAGACAAACTGGACTTCATCAGAGTTAAAATCCTGTGTGCAGGGAGGGGAGAGAATTGGAGAAGCCTCATTTCCTATTTTACTACTAAAGAAGCACATGGGTGTGTCATCAGTGTAGCTGGTACTCAAACGGGCCCCACACTTGGAGTTTAATGCTCATGGTCATTGTCCTGCAACTTTCAGTAGCTGTCTTTGAATTCGTATTTTGTAAGTGAAGTCTGATGGGACAAGGAAGACTTGGAAACTTGAAGCCTCATCTCCCTCCTGGTCCCACCTCCTGTTGCCTTCTTGCCTACCTGGGATGGTTCCTTGGCTGTCTTTGTCTCCACCCAGTGACCACTGCCATCTTCTGACTCTGGCAGGAGCCTGGGCACAGAAGCAGGGAGGGTTGGGGTTTTGGAGACATGGTCCTGGCATCTGTAGGGGCTTTACTCACTTCATGAGTATCCCCATGCCCAAGGGAATGTGGCATTAAAAAACAAACTAAAAACACCATGACAGGTCAAGAGAGATGGTGGAAGAAAGAAAATAAGCTTTTCCCATGATTTTTGAACAAGGACCCTGCATTTTTCTTTTGAACTGGGTCCCGCAAATTATGGAACTGGCCCTGGTAAGACTTCAGCAGGACTAGACACAAATGGAGACTGTGGTTGTTCTAAATCATCATCATTATATGGCCCAAGAATGGCTGCTAGAGGGAAGTCTAGGTCCAAAACAGAACAGCCCAGTGGTTGCCAGCACAGGCTATGGAATCAGCCTCTGCTCCTACCTGCTGTGTGACCTTGGACAAGTTACTTTGCCTCTCTGATAATTTGTCTTCTTATCTGTAAAATAATAATAGGGTTGTCGGGAAGATTCAATGAGAGTATGCAAGTAAGAGCTCTTGGCAATGTGCCTGACACAGAGCCAGTGCTAAATAGCTGCTGATTGTTATTGTTTGATCATCGTCATTGTCCTTGTCATGGGTGTTATTGTTACGAGTTCTGCTTCTGCCAGCTGTGTGACCTCGAATACATTATCACCCCTTGGAAACAGCTGGCATCACACCCATTATGCTCCAGGGTCTCTAAAAGTAACAGTATCCTCGCAGATTTGGTCAATTGATTTTCATCAAGGGTGCCAAGACCACACAATGGGGGAAAAGACAGTCTCTTCAACAAATGATGTTTTAAAACTTGGATATCCACATGCAAAAGAATGAAGTTGTATACCTCATACTATATACAAAATTTACTTCAAAAATGGATCAAAGACATAAAAGTAAGAGCTAAAGCTCTTAAGAAAGAAGATGGGAGAATATCTTCATGATACTGGATTTAGTAATGATTTCTTAGCTATGACATGAAAAGCACAGGTAATAAAAGAAAAAATAGATAAACCGGGCTTCATCAGAATTAAAACCCTTTGTGTATCAGAAGACACTAGCAAGAGATGGGAAAGACAATTCACAGAAAGGGAGAAAATATTTGCAAATTATATCTGTAATTTATAATTGCTTGATATAGGAGTTATAGGAGTTCTCTACATATTTTGCATATTATCAGATTATTAACTAATATCAGAGTATCAAGTAATCTAATAATATCAAAAATATATAGAGAACTCCTATAACTCCACAGCATAAAAACAAACAATCCACTTCAAAAGTGTGCAAAGCATTCAAATAGACATTTTTCAAAAGAAGGTATTCAGATGAGCAATAAGCACATTGTATTAGTCTGTTTCCATGCTGCTGATAAAGACATACCTGAGACTAGGAAGAAAAAGAGGTTTAATGGACTCACAGTTCCATGTGGTTGGGAGGTCTCACAATCATGGGAGAAAGCAAAAGGCACCTCTTACATGGCTGCAGCAAGAGAGAATGAGAGAGAAGCGAAAGCGGAAACCTCTTACGAAACCATCAGATCTCATGAGACTTTTTCACTACCACGAGAACAGCAGGAGGGAAACTGTCCCCATGATTCAACTATCTCCCAGTGTGTTCCTCCCACGGCATGTGGGAATTATGGGAGTAGAATTCAAGATGAGATCTGGGTCAGGCCACAGAGCCAAACCATATCTTTCTGCCCCTGGCTCCTCCCAAATCTCACGTCCTCACATTTCAAAATCAATCATGTCTTCCCAACAGTCCCGCAATGTCTTAACTCATTTTAGCATTAACTCAAAAGTCCACAGTTCAAAGTCTCATCTGATACAAGACAAGTCCCTCCCACCTATGAGCCTGTAAAATCAAAAGCAAGTTAGTTACTTCCTAGATACAATGGGGGTACAGGCATTGGTAAATACAGCCATTCCAAATGGGAGAAATTGACCAAAACAAAGGGGCTACAGGCCCCATGCAAGTCTGAAACCCAGCAGGGCAGTAAAATCTTAAAGCTCCAAAATGATCTCTTTGACTCCATGTTTCACATCCAGGTCATGCTGATGCAAGAGCTGGATTCCCATGGTCTTGGGCAGCTCTGCCCCTGTGGCTTCGCAGGGTACAGCCTCCCTCCTGGTTGCTTTCACAGGCTGGCATTGAGTGTTTGTGGCTTTTCCAGGTAAATGGTGCAAGCTGTTGGTGGATCTACCATTCTGGGGTCTGGAGGACAGTGGCCTTTTTCTCACAGCTCCACTAAGTGGTGCCCTAGTAGAGACTCTGTGTGGGGGCTCGGATCCCACATTTCCCTTCCACACTGCCCTAGAAGAGGTTCTTCATGAGGTCCCTACCCCTGCAGCAAACTTCTGCCTCGGTATCCAGGCGTTTCCATACATCTTCTGAAATCCAGGTGGAGGTTTCCAAATCCCAGTTATTGACTTCTATGCACTCACAGGCTCAACACCACGTGGAAGCTGCCAAGACTCGGGACTTGCACCCTCTGAAGCCATGGCCTGAGCTCTATTTTGGCCCCTTTCAGCCACAACTGGAGCAGCTGGGATGCAGGGCACCAAGTCCCTAGGCTGCACACAGCATGGAGACCCTGGACCTGGCCCACAAAACCATTTTTTCCTCCTAGGCCTCAGGGCCTGTGATGGAAGGGGCTGTCGTGAAGACCTCTGACATGCCCTGGAGACAGTTTCCCTATTGTCTGGGGGATTAACATTCGGCTTCTTGTTACTTATGCAAATTTCTGCAGCCAGCTTGAATTTCTCCTCAGAAAATGGGATTTTCTTTTCTATTGCATGGTCAGGCTGCACATTTTCTGAACTTGTATGCTCTGCTTCCTTTATAAAACAGAATGCCTTTAACAGCACCCAAGTCACCTCTTGAATGCTTTGCTGCTTAGAAATTTCTTTGCCAGATACCCCAAATCATCTCTCTCAAGATCAAAGTCCCACAAATCTCCAGGGCAGGGGCAAAATGCTGCCAATCTCTTTGCTAAAACATAGCAAGAGTCACCTTTGCTTCAGTTCCCAACAGCTTCCTCATTTCCATCTGAGATCACCTCAGCCTGGACTTTATTGTCCATATCATTACCAGCATTTGGGGTAAAGCCATTCAACAAGTCTCTAGGAAGTTCCAAACTTTCCCACATTTTCCCGCCTTCTTCTGAGCCCTCCAAACTCTTCCAACCTCTGCCTGTTACCCAGTTCCAAAGTTGCTTCCACATTTTCGGGTATCTTTTCAGCAGCACCCCACTCCTGGTACCAATTTACTGTGTTAGTCCACTTTTATGCTGCTGATAAAGACACACCTGAGACAGGGAAGAAAAATAGGTTTAATGGACTCACAGTTCCACGTGGCTGGGGTGGCCTCACAATCATGGCAGAAGGCAAAAGGCACCTCTTACATGGTGGTGGAAAGAGAGAATGAGAGAGAAGCAAAAGTGGAAACCCCTTACCAAACCATCAGATCTTATGAGACTTATTCGCTACCATGAGAACAGTATGGGGGAAACTGCCCCCATGATTCAATTATCTCCCACTGGGTCCCTCCTACAACATGTGGGAATTATGGGAGTAGAATTCAAAATGAGATTTTGGTGGGGCACAGAGCCAAACCATATCACACATGAAAAGATGCTTAGCATCACGAATCATTAGGAAATTGCAAATCAAAACTACAAGAAGATACCACTTCCTACCTATGGCTATAATAAATTAAAAAAAAAAACAGAAAACACCAAGTGTTGACGAAGATGGGAAAAATTGGAACACTTACGCATTGCTGGTGGGAATGTAAAACAAGGTAGCCATAGTGGAAAAAGGTGTGGCAATTCCCGAAAAAATTAAACACATGACCAGCAATTCCACTCCTAGATATATATTCAAAAGAATTACTAGCAGGGACTTGAACAAATACTTGTACATCAATGTTCATAGCAGTAGTGTTCACAATAGCTAAAAGGTGAAAACAACCCAAATGTTCATTAAGGGATAAATGGATAAACAAACTGCTATAGCCATACAATGGAATGTTATTCAGCTGTAAAAAGGAATGAAATTCTGATACATGCTACAACATGGATGAACCTTTGAAACAATTTGCTAAGTGGAATAAGCCAGACACAAAAGGACAAATACTGTATATGAAGTGCCTAGAATAGTCAATTTATAAAGAAGAAAGTAAATTAGTGGTTATCAGGAGCTGGAGGAGGTGTGAATGGGGAATTACTATTTAATGGATACAGAATTTGGGATTCTCTTTGGGATGATGAAAAGTTCTGGAAATGGATAGTGGTGATGGTTGTGCAACACCATAAGTGGATTTAATGCCACTAAATCGTACACTTAAAAATGGTTAAAATGGTAGATTTCATGTTATATTTATTTTACCACAATTTTTAAAAATGGTTACTTCTTAATTTCCCAGAGCCTCAGTTGTCTCACCCATAAAATGGTAGTAAGAACATACGCCTAACCTAGCTCCATGAAATAATGCTGCAGGAACATCCCTGGACATGAACAAGTCGGGAGTAAGTGTTGAAAAACTGCCTATCAGGTGCTATGTTCACTACTTGGGTGATGGGATCCATAGAGGCCCAAACCTCAGCATCACACAATATACCCGTGTAACAAGCCTGCACATGTAACCCCTGAATTTAAAATAAATTTAAAAAAAAAAAAGTTGGGGGCTGGTGTCTTGTTTCTGGCCCTGCCATGCCATTCCAGCCAAACTTGAGGCCTTGGCTTTGACAAGTGAGAGCTGGCGGTTTGATTAAGAGCTGAGAATAACACAAGCATATATTTTTTGATCTTAGGCTTATCGTTTCCTAGAACAGCATTTTAGAAATTGTTTACCCTGGAGCACTTGTCCCAGTAGTTACTCATCAATCAAAAGATGAAATAAGGCTGGGAAATCATCAGCATTTAAGGGCTCAGAGAAGTCCTGCAATTTAAAAAGCATGTCTAAGATTTTCAAAACTTCTGTGAGAATGGGTCTTTTTCCATGTAACATCTACAGACTATGTTTAGGGAAATTCTTGTCTAGAGGCATTCAAAGGTGAAACACTAAGTAGGCCTATTAGGAAAGACACTTGGCCCAGACATGAAGACAGACACACCCATAATTCCATGATTTTTTTTTTTCCCTTCATCCACTACATTAATCTGAGTTCAATTAAGTTCCCCTTAAGCAACTCATTTATTCTCTCTTTATTTATTTGCTCATGCACTCCGCAGAGCTTTACTATGCACCTACTGTATGCAGATGCCAGGAGACAGAGGTGAGCCCCCAAGGCTCAGCCCTTGTGGCACTCACAGCCCGAGAGGGGAAATAGAGAGTAGGACAGCAATGGCACCCCAGGGTGAAAGGGGCTAGTTTGGAAGCTGGGGCACTAGAAATGTGGGCACACAGAGGAGCGCACATCTAGATAATCACCAGAGATTCCCCTACCCCGCTGTAAATTGAAGAAGCAAGAAAGTTCATGGAGAGATTGAGCCATGCTTCACCTCCCCAGGGGCCGAAAGTGGAGCCTCTGAATGGATTTAAAGGGATTTGGAGACACTTCCAACTGGTGATCTTCAGGTCAGTTTGTTTAATTAACATTCAGTCTTTAAGATGTAAGCTACCAGTAAAAGAATGGAAGGTTTCACATTAAAATTTGGATTTCATTTTTTTTTTTTTTTGAGTGGGGGAACAATGGAATGAGCTGACATCTCTGGGCCCACATTCCAAATGTTGCAATTGTTTGAAGCTTGCTGGTCCCCCTCAATTCCCCCATTTCTATCTGCCTGCTTTATTTATTTAGGCTTATTCATTACATTTTCTATGTGAACCTCAGAAATATTTGAGTTTTTATCCCTTTTGAAGATACCGTACCACCCAAACTGTTCCCCAAACATTAGAAATATATAAAAATATGTAGGCTATGTTGTTTGGGTCTTTTCCTTCAATTACAAAAAGTAATATATGAAAATGGAATCATAACGTAAAATGTCACTCCAACCCCCAGCTCTGAAACTTCATGCCCCTTATTACCAATTTTCTATATACAGTGCACTTCTCCTGACTTCTTTTCCCCCTCTGCCTGTAGTACAGCCAATTATTTTGAAAACAGTTACTGTTACCAAATGTTTTTAAAGACTGGTAACATTTCCCAGAAATTTTCTGTGTGGGACACACATCTCTTGGTTTCCAAACAATCAACTGTAACAGGGACCAATAGTTTTCAAAATAACTTGTTGTTTCAATGAAATTGCCCCTTAGTTTTCCCTTGTCGGTGTTTGTGGAACTTCTATCCATGGGTGACACAGAGTTCTCTCTCTAGTGACTGGCAAGATCAGGAGGGGAGGGAGGGAGAGCAGAAGGGGAGGGAGGGAGAGCAGAAAGGGAGGAAGTGACCAGCTTGTTGGTCACCTACTGTGTGCCAGGACCGTTCTGGCCCTTTCTGGGCCTCAATTTTCTCAACTAAACTCTGAGGATAGAAGAAATATTCTATCATGGCTTGTTCATCTCTGAGACAGCATCTTGTTCAACTGGCATTGCATGTTTGGGGAAACTGAGGCCCAGAGAGGTTGTGACTTGCCCAAGATTACACAGCAGTGGAAGAGGACCTAAGAGTTTGTCCTCCTTGTCCCTCTGGCCAGTACTCCTTCCTTTACACAGGTGTTTTTCAGATGTCAGTTATTCAAGCACCACTTTCATAATTTCTGCTGTATTATCATATCATTCATAGAATTATGTACTTAAAAGTTTAAAAAAATCAATTCACTATTTTTGCATAAAACTTTATATCATTACCATAAATGGAAAAACATAATCATTTTATGTTAACAGAAGGCAATTGTACAAATTAAAACTTTAAAAACAAAAGGATATTAAATTTTAGCTTGATGCCATTGTCTGCCAGACTTCTATTTAAAAATATGCCTATCAGTTGCTGAGGGAGGTGTTAAGACAGGCTAGCGCCTAACTGAATCCTTTTCCTTGATCTAATCAGAAGAACTGGAAGGAAAATGAAAGAGAAATAATTTTCTGTTGGGTAAGTTTGACATCCTTTAAAGTCACATACATGCCCCTCAGCACCCGTAAAACAATCTTTTCCATATCAGTGTCAGCCCACTGCCTCCATCTACCCCTGAGACTGGCTCTGTGGACTGTATCAGATCCTACCCTGTAGTGCATGGCAGAGAGTGGCCAGCCCTTTATTGAGGGGAAATATTATGATTACCAAAGCAACCAGCTCTGTGGTCATTTCTCAAAGCAACCAGCTCCAGGGTTGTTATTAGTTAACTTCTCTGAAGGCCTAAAGTCGCCTCTGAATCGAGTTGATTAGTTTGTCCAGCATTGTTAAGGCTAAGACCAGAAAGAAAATTAAAAACCAAAGCCAAAACCAAAAAACAACAGCTGAAATCACTCCTCACGATCCAGCTTCTTTATTTGGAGCAAAAGCAGAGCTTTTCCCTGAAATTGGAAGGTGGAGTCACGGAAGCCCCACCTTGTCTAAAGACACCTGCAGGCCAGATGATCCGTATCCTTGTCCTTCTCTGATCATTCTTTCCTCCTTCACTGTGAACTTTCTGTCCTACCCAGTAATTAGTACTGGAAGCCTCATATTGCCTCTTTTGTTTTCATAATTCATTTACTTTTGATGATATCATAAAGAGTGCAGAAATTGCATCCCCCTCCCCTTAACGTCCTGGCCCCACGCCCACATCCACTAATACAAAGACACTAATTGCTCCTCGCTCTTGTGCCAGGCGCTTTGAAAACATCTTTGGCTAATGGATGGAATTAACCTTGTTTAACATACAAATCAGCAGCCTAATTTGCCTTGAATCCCGACTTTGTGGCTCCATGACTATAGCTGGAAGGAAACGTCTTCTCACTTTCCTGGGCCACACCAGGAGAGAAAACCTCTGGTTGCTAGGATGAGACAAGCCTTCCTCCAGGCCTCCTCCTCTCCTTCTGTGATGGAATCATCATCTGCTTGTGGCGTGTGGGTCTTTTCTCACCACCTCTCAACCTCAAGTCCCTAGGGCCGAGAACAGCTTATTCACGTTAGCGCCCTACCCTGGCACAGTCATGGTGCATGGGAAGTGCTACGGCCTCCTTGCTGAGTGCATTGAGTGGCCACTTCTACATGGAGCATCTCCTGTGTGCCAGGTTGAGTTCTGGGCTCTGTGGACCCAGCAGTCAGAAGGCAAACCTCTTGCTCTCATGGAGCCTACTTTCCAGGGCGGCTGGGCAGCAAAACACAAGGAAATGCATACATTGACTCCATAGATAAGATGTGAGAGAGTGGACCAAGAAAATAAAGCAAGCGATGGAGTAGTGAATGAGGTAGAGGGAGAGGAGCTAGGGAGGCTGGGGAAGCCTCACTGAGGTGGTGACATTTGAGCTGAGACCTTTTCATGGGGGAGCATCCTTGGTGCAATGGTAGCCCCCAGGTATACTGCCAGGCAGGCTCTCCCAGAGGCCATGAAACAGAAAGACTCATGGACCAAACAATGATGCTCAACCACATGGTTTACTAAATTGATCTAAAATATACACTGAGAAACAAGGGGAAGAAAGAAGGTTGGTTACTACACTTAGGACAGGATGCCACGGGGCAAAAGCCCACACACTGTCTGTGTTCTGGGCCATGCAACGCTTCTACATCCTGTCTTTCTCTCTCCCCCTCTTTCTGTCTTGTCAGCCTGCTCTGCTGATGGTGAGGTTATAGACCAGAACTGAGGGCCTGGAGGTGCCAGAACTGAGGTGGGAGGTGCCTGGAGCCAGCACGCTTGTTCTTCCTGAGAGGTGGCAGGCCAGGCCACCTGGCCTGAGCTGTGGCTTGCCAGTGGAAGTTAGTGTTTCTCTCTGAGGGTTTTGGACACAGGATACATTTGGCCAGAAAGGGTGTCACTAATGGTGGGCGATTTGAGACCGTATGGACATTGAGTGCCCATGGATATTTACGATTGGGTGCTCTTGTGTCCCTTTACCCTTTTCTCCCCCTGGTCACACACAGGTGCTCTACTCACTTCCGCTTTGTCTAACGCAGCTCATGAGCTTCTTGCTTACTTACTGTTCTTATGTAGTTTCACCCCACCGCTTTATTTCTTTTTTTCTTTTATTCTCAGTAAATCAAAATTGAATGTTCTTATTAGTGGAAGAAATACACATAATAGACCTGAATGTTGAGCTGCAGCCACACACGGGAGGATCTGGAGAGAGTGTTCCAGAGGACAGAGAGGCATTCTCTGTTGACTCAGCCTCACGGCTTCCTGTTCCACAAGCTGATCAGGTCTCAGGCTCCCAGCAGCTCTGACCCCTTCTGAATGGGTATGCCCATGGTTAAGAACAAGGCCTTGGGGTTCGACATACCTAGGTTAGAATCCTGGTTCTGTTGTTTACCAGCTGGGAAACATGCAGCAAGTGTCTTCCCCTCTCTGAGCTTCCAGCATTGAGGTTTGAGAACATGCATGTAAAATACTTTGCAGATAGTAGATGGCAGGGGCTCACTTATGTATTTGTTAATGCAATAGATACTTATGGAGTGCTGATCACAGCACAGGCTGTGCCATGTGATGGGGACCATGCCAGAAAAAGGTAGGCATGGTCTCTGGTCTCACTTGAGCTTAAATCTAGTAGAGGAGAGAGACATTAAACAGGCAAATATAGAAATTATAAATTGTGCTAAATGCTGCAATAAGAACACAACACTCTGCAGCCTGACCCAGATGGGTCAGAACTCCCTGACCAAAGAGGAGCAGAAAGAACCGGGTGAAGGTGGGAGGGGTGCTTTCTGCAAGGGAGGATGGTGGCTGCAAATGTCTGGAACTGGAAGGGGCAGGAAGGGATTAGCTCAAAGGGTGCCCGTGTGTTAATAGGCATTGAGCAAGACAGAAGGCACAGCAAGAGGTGAGGCTGAGAGGCAGGCAGGGAGCTTGTTCATGCCTTCACCACCACATTAAGAAGGTTACCTTTTGCAATGAATGCAATGGGCACCACCGGAAGTGTCTAAACAGGGGAGCCACTTCATCCAGTTCCTGTTTTTAAGTGTTGGGGAGAGATATTCCATCGATGCAATGGTAGCCTTCAAGTATGATGCCTGACAGGCTCTCTGAGAGGCCACCAGATAGAAAAGCCGATGGACCAAATGAAGATGCTCAAACTGTGGAGTTTCTGGAACACATCTAAAGCATACAGTGAGACGCAAGGGGAAGGAGGTAGGGCTGGTTAACACACTTAGGATACGCTGCTGTGGGTGCAAGGACCACACTGCCCCATTCCTGTGTCACGCAGTGTTCCTATGTCCTGTCTCTCTTGCTGCCATGTCAGTTCCCATAAACTTTCCCTGTTGATGGGCCTCTATTTCCATATAGCCAGCAGGCCCTTCAATGAGTTATAAGCAACAGCGACCCATTCTCTTCCTGTTCCCGTGGTTACATCTACTTCCTCATTCCCACCTGTTGCCTGGATGACTTTTGTGAAAAGGACAGAAGTGGAAGGGTCATTCCTCACATTGCAGAACTGTCTTTGGCACCTTTCCATCGTATGGCTTCTGGGGAAAAAGATAATCTTTGGCACCTTTCCATCGTTTGGCTTCTGGGGAAAAAAATAAATCTCCAATATGGAGCCTGGTGTGGTGGTTGATGCCTGTAATCTCAGCTACTCAGGAGGCTGAGGCAGGAGGATTGAGTGAGCTCAGGAGTTGGAGGCTGCAGTGAGCTATGATTGCATTATTGCACTCCAGCCTGGGCAGTAGAGCAAGACCCTGTCTATAAGTAAAAAACAAATCTCAAATATGTGTCCTAGCCTTATGTTTTCTTTTTTTTTTCATGTAAAAAGGACAAAGTGAATTAAATGTTGAGTTCCTAAATTGTCATTGGTTGAATAGTTTTAAGCAACATCAGGAATGAGACACATCATCTGGCCTTGAGAGCCAGACTTAAGTTGGGATCACTGAGAGGGCAGGGAGGTAACCTCCCCTGCCTCACCCGAGCAGCACACATGCTTTTTCTTGTTAGGAAGGCTCTTCCTTGGCAGGCTCCCTCGGCCCTGCTGCTGCCTCTGCAGGTGCCACTATCCTGGTGGACATTGCCATTCATTGAGTCAGGCCAGCTGCCTTCTGCATTTATGGGACTCCCAAGCTGATTCCAATAGAAGGGGACTCCCCACACTGGTGTCAAGATTCTGTGCCTCTGCAGCTGCAATTCCAACAGCTTATGGTGCCTACACCTCCGTCACTCTGTCCTCCTGAGAATTATCTCTACTGTGTCCTCACTCAGGCCTGGTTATCTCGATATCCCCGCACCGCCCCCCCGCGCCCCCGGCCCAGTTTCCTCTTTCTCTCCATCAGGGCAAAAATGAGGTCAGTATGTCAGGATCAGATCATTCAGGGTTTGGACCTTATGCACAAATCAAAGGTATGTGCCTCATGTCTGATATTTCTAGCCTAACATCACCTTCTTGTGAGGATAAAATGAAACAAAACTACATACAAGAAAGTTCACCATGAAGCATCTGGCACACAGTAGATGCGTGGCCAATGGTAGCTATTGTTAATTTAAGTCTTGGATTTAACACATCCTGTCATAGATTCCTTGCTAGGTTTATGATGATATTCTACAAAATTAGGACTGGAGGAGTAAGATGGAAAGGGTCATTTGCAAATGATTTTGAAAGTTCAGGAAAGGCGTTTGCAACTAGGCCTTTCCACCATGCTCAGCATTAGGCCAGCCGCCAGGTGTTGTGTGACATTTGGAGTCCCTGGGGCTCGCACCCCTCTTTGCAATACCTTCTCTATAGCTCAAGGATAACATTCAACAACCTGGAGCTAAGATAGTGGAACTATAGCCCACAGTAACGTGAAAAGGAGCGTTTAGGGTCTTTCCCTGAGTCCTGAGATCTAGTCACTCAGTAGCCACTTATTCCCAGGAAACACTGGCCTGTGAACTCTGATCTAATAGAAACACAGCCTGTTGGCCGCTGTCATCCCTGATGCCCTTGTGACTATAGTATTACTCAGACAGGTTCACAGCACATAGGATGCATTCAGAAAATATTCAATGAATAAATGAATAAATGCTCTCAAATGGCATAAAAATAAGTGAGCTTGGCTTATGGAGCAGATAGGGCAGGCATCTAAGTGTAGGCTCCTACCAGCAACCACATACTGTCTATAAAATGTCTACCTCTAAAATTGTAGCACATCCCTCATGCCAGATGCTATGCTAAGCGTTGTGTGTGTGTCACACTTAGGAAGAGAAATTTCCCAGCCACACCTGCCAGGGTGAAGCACTTTCACCCATTCCCTCTACCCCTTTACTCCTGGCCAAGCACCTCCTGCACCCTCCTCCTTCCTACCACTGCAGGGTGGAAGTTGGACAAGGACGGGAAGGATGTAGACAAAGGCTTCAGGGTATCTTTGCAGCATACGCAGCTCTTAGGGGAGGCTGGCTGGGAAATGGCTGCCCAGCCTGCCGAGAGGCGAGACGGAGGCATACTGGAATGGAAGGAAAGCCAATGCAAATCCTGCAGGTCTGAGGCTGCTTGAAGGTGATTTGCGAGGCCGACTGCACTGGAGCTGAAGACTACGTGTGTGTGTGTGTGTGTGTGTGTGTGTGTGTGTGTGTGTGTGTGTGTGCACGCATGCAAGAATCCTGCCTATACAAACACAGCAACCAGCCAGAGGCAGGCGGATGTGCTGTTGATACAGTAAAGAACGTGGGAATCCACGGCTGTCATGCTGGGTTCACAGCCCAGCTCTCCTCATCCTGTGGCCTTGGGAAACCTACTGTTTCTCTCAGAGCTCAGTCTTGTCATCTGTATACTACGGTTCAAATGTATAACTTGAGATACTGCAGTAATAGTTGTATTTTAGACACTGGCCTCTGGGCAACCTTCCTGAGTCTGAAGTTGCAACTTCCTTTAATTTTTTTTTTTTTTTTTGAGATGGAATCTCACTCTGTCGCCCAGGCTGGAGTGCAGTGGCACGATCTCGGCTCACTGCAACCTCCACCTCCTGGGTTCAAGCGATTCTCCTGCCTGAGCTTCCTGAGTAGCTAGGACTACAGGCACATACCACCACACCTGGCTAATTTTTGTATTTTTAGTAGAGACGGGGTTTCACCATATTGACCAGGCTGGTCTCGAACTCCTGACCTTGTGATCTGCCCGCCTCTGCCTCCCAAAGTGTTGGGATTACAGGCATGAGCCACAGCCCCCAGACTAATTTTTTTATACTTTTAAAAAACAACAATAACAAAAAATTAGAATAGATTGAGATTTACAGGACAATTACAAAGACAGTACAGAGCATTCCCACGGACTCCACAGCCGGTTTCTCCTATTAGTAGTATATTACCTTACTTAGTATGGCACAATTTTCACAACCAAGGGGCTGACATTGATACTTTATTAGTAATTAATGCCTCTACTTTATTCGAATTTCTTTAGTTTTTATCTAATGTCCTTTTTCTCTTCCAGGATCTCATTTAGAGACACCACATTACATTGAATCATCCATCTCCTTAGGCTTTTGTCGGCCATGGTAGTTTCTCCGACTTTCCTCATTTGTGGTGATCTTGACAGCTTTCAGGAGTACTGGTCAGGTATTTTGCAGAATGTCACTCGATTGGGATTTAGCTGATGTTTTCTCATTGTTAAAGTTACATTGTGAGTTTTGGGGAAGTCCATGGAAGTGAAGTGCCATTTTCATCACATCATATCAGGGGCGTACACTAGCAACATGATTTATCACTGTGGATGTTGACTTTGATCATCTGGCTGAGGCGCTATTTGTCAAGTTTCTCAATGGTGGAGTCACCTCCCGTCCTTCCTCCCCTTCTGTACCACAGTCTTTGGAAGGAAGTCACTGTGGCACTGACGCTAAAGGAGTGAGAGTTATACCCCACCTCCTTGAGAGTAGATTATCGGTCTTCTCATCTATAACCTCCCACTCAATAGTGAGAAACCTACCATCATTCACCATCCGTTTATTTAATTGTCCAATTTAGGTACCCGTGTAAAGTGGCTTCAGAACTGTCAACCTGTACCTCCATGGGAAACAATTTATTAACTAGAGTACAGCGCTTATGTGCAGTTCCTTTTGCCATTCGTTTTACAGATTCCACTCATTTCTGAAGTTACATAAATCAGCCCCTTTATTTCTCCACCCTCTTCAGTGAGATCGTTTCATACATTTAAAATGCAGTTAGATTCTTTTGTCACAATCTGCATTCCATCCTGGGATTGTCAAACCTCCTAAATGATTTTTTTTTTAAGCTTACATGCATTAAGGTTCATTGTTTCTGTTACAAAGTTTCCTTCCTTCCTTCCTTCTTTTCTTTCTTTCTTTCTTTCCTCCTTCTTTTCTTTCTTTGCTTTTCTTTTCTTTCTCTCTTTCTCTCTTTCTTTTTTTCTTTTTTGAGATGGAGTTTCGCTCTTGTTGCCCAGGCTAGAGTGCAATGGTACAATCTCGGCTCACTGCAACCTCTGCCTCCCGGGTTCAAGAGATTCTCCTGCCTCAGCCTCCCGAGTAGCTGGGATTACAGGCATGCACCATCACACCTGGCTAATTTTGTATTTTTAGTAGAGATGGGGTTTCTCCATGTTGGTCAGGCTGGTCTCGAACTCCTGACCTTATTGATCCACTGGCCTCGGCTTCCCAAAGTGCTGAGATGATAGGCGTGAGCCACCGCACCCGGCTGAAGGTTTTGACAAAGGCACAGTATGATGTGTCCATCCTTGAAGTGCTATATAGAACAGTTTCACCACTCTAAAAAGTCTCCCATGCTTCATCTATTCAATCCTCTCTCAAACGCCCGAACAACTGATCTGCTTATCATTTCTATAGTTTCTCTTTTCTACAATGTTTATAAATGGAATCATATAGTATGTAGCCTTTTTAGTTTTTTTTAACTAAACAATATATCTTTCAGAGTCATCCATGTCTTTGCTTAACTTAATAGTTAATTCCTGTTCATTGCTGAATAGTATCCCATTGCATGGGTGTACCACAGTTTGCTTATCCATTCACCTATTGATGGACACCTTGATTGCTGCCAGAATTTGGTAATGATTACAGAAGTTGCTTTAAACATATGTGTTCAGGTTTTGGTTAAGTTTTCAAATCAGTTGGGTAAATAGCTAGGAGGAGGATTGCTGGATCTTATGTGCTGCAGTTACTTTTAATCTCTTTTCCCCGACATAACATTTAAATGAATGAAGCATTTCTTTTTCCCCATCTCTAATTTAATGGAATCTGCACAGAAGCCCTTGTGAGGTAGGTGAATCCAGTACAGTTCTTGGCTCAGATACCAGAAACTGATACTTATGAATTCAATGAATTCAAGCAGACAAGGAAATGGAGTGATATTCAGAGCTCACAACATCAATGGTAAGACTGGACAGCCTGGCATGGAAAAGGAGGGACTATAGGAAACTAGCAGTGGCAGGACCTCACAAAGTTTTTATATGAACAGCTTGGTTAAGACGTTGCTGCCACAGGCCACTGAATGGCACTGATGATGTTGCCAGAATTGGTCTTAATTAGTCCAGTATCTTCAGGTCACACTCCCTTAAAAGTCAAAATCCTAGGCAGGGACATCTGATTGACCAAACCTGGACTCCAAGAACTGACATTAAATATGAGAAGAGCAATTACACACTATTCATGCTTCTACTCACCCTGGTAGAAGGATATGGAGCCACAAAGTGAAAGTAGTTTAATTCCCCAAAGATCATGTAGAGGAGAGTCAGTTGCTCCACCCCATACATATCAGCAAGGAAATTTCTACAGTGATGAGCCATTACGTGCTAAAGTCTATTTGTTACAGCAGCTCTGCCTACCCTTACTATTCAAGAAGCCAGATTGCAGAGGGCACAGAAGACTTGAAACCAGGATTAGGGGCATGCACTTCATGCAGGATCCAGAGGAGTGTTTTAAGATGGGAAGTTCAAACTGCAGGCTTGAAATGAAGCTGAGGTGGGTGGATTGCCTGAGATCAGGAGTTTGAGACCAGCCTGGCCAACATGACAAAATCCCATCTCTACTAAATATACAAAAATTAGCTGGGTGTGGTGGAGGGCACCTATAATCCCAGCTATTCAGGAGGCTGAGGCAGGAGAATCACTTGAGCCCAGGAGGCTGAGGTTGCAGTAAACCAAGATCGTGCCACTGCACTCCAGCCTGGGCCACAAGAGCAAAACTCCATCTCAGAAAGAAAAAAAAAAAGAAAGAAAGAAAGAAAGGAAAAGAAAAGAGAAGAAAGAAAAAGAAAACAAGAAAAGAAATGTGAGCAGAAATACCTGACTGGGACTTGGTCTTGAGAGAAAAGGCTAAAGCTCAGGTACTAAGTCTGGGGTCTAAAATCTGAGAAAGAGCAAGAGTCAGGCTGACCCACTATTTCAGAATTTCTTATAATTTACCTTTCTAAGATGAGACATAACCTTTCAGTGGCTATTGAGTTGCTCAGCTAAAAAGTTTTTTCGGAATAGGGATATAAAGCCTAGTGTGGAAGGCTGAAAAGTAGCCCCCTAAACACATCAGGTCCTAATCTCTGGAACCTATAAATGTTACCTTATAGGGAAATAGAGGATCTTTGAGGATATGATTAACTTAAAGATTTTGAGATGGAGAGATTATCCAGATGGGCTCTAAAAGCAATCTCAAGTGTCCTTCTAAGAGAGAGGAAGAGGTGGATGACACACACAGAGGAAGCCATGTGACAATAGAGGCAAAGATGGGAGTGCTGCAGCCACAAGCCAAGGAATGCTGGCAGCTGCAGAAGCTGGAAGAGTGAGGAATGGATTCACCCCTAGGGCCTTTGGAAGCTCTTGACTTCAGCCTAGTGATACTGATTTTGGACTTCAGGGCTCCATAACTACAAGAGAATACATTTCTATTGTTTTAAGCCATCTTGTTTGTAGTAATATGTTACAGAAACCATAAGAAACTAAAACAACCAGGAAATTACAGTAGGGAAGGCTAAAATGGATATAGTAGAAAGAGTGGGTGCTTTGGATAAAAGTAGAACTCAAATCAAATCCCTCCTGGTATGACCTTGGGCAATAATAGTAAACCAGCATGGGAAATACATATGCAGCCACTCGCCCTCCTATGCCAAAGCAAATGTGGCTCATCGATACCAGCATTTTTTCCCAGATATGAGCTCAGAATATATTTCAGCACAGGTCTCTTGACAACCATAAGAAATGACATGTGATATTAAACTCAGTGACTATTCCTGTAATTACACTAACCATTATTCATTGGGTACCTACTATATGCCAGGTATTTTAAATAAAAATATACTTAATTGTCCCAACAAATTGAGGAGACAGTTTTCTTCTTTACCTTGGTTTACAGACAAGATAATCATATATCAGAGTTGAACTGGCATTTCCTGAGGCACAAAGCTATAAAGAAACAGGATGGGCATTCAAAGCCAGGTCTCCCTGACTCCAAATCCCATTCCACTACCAGACTCAACCAGACACTTGGATTTTCTGAGCCACAGTTTCCTCGTCTGTAAAATGGGGCTGCTGATCTCCACCTGGAAAAGCACATTTGAGGGTTGAGTGAGATCATTAAAAAAGACAGCGACCCCAGCAGACTGTTGTCTGGCACAATGCTGCACGGGCTAATGTTAGCAATCCAGGCCTCTTTACTGCAGTGCAACGGAGACAGGTCGGGCCTCAGTTGGTGTAGCATAAAGCCCTGACCTGGCGGCTGTTGGAAACTCAGCCCATTCCTTGACACACCTCAATCCCACAGCTTGGTCTTTTTTCTCTGGAGGGACCACACCTAGAGCCAGGGAGCAACAGGGTCACAGTGACCTGGGCCAGAATACTCTATAAGGTCAACATGAGCCAGGACAAGGAATTAGAATTACAAAACCAACAGTCTTTTAACCAGGATCTAACTAAGGACCAGTCACAGGGAGGACATCAACAGTGTGGAAGTGAACAGCATTTTGATCTGTTCTCCCTGGACTCTCTGGGGGCTCTTCTCCCATTGTGGGGAGGCAGATTGAATCAGAGGAAACAGCAGGCCATCAGCACCAAAGAACCCTGGGTTCAAATCCTGGCCTTCCTTACCTACTGGCTGAGTTGTCTTGGATGCACTTTTTTACCTCCCCAGGCTTCAGTTTCCTTACCTGTAAGATGGGGGTACGAATCCCAACATGCCATGTGGATCAAATGGATTAGTGCAGGCAACGGAGTAGATGCTCAATCAGTGTCAATTCCCCTTATTTTACCCGTTCCCCCAAGTCCATGCCTGAGCCTGCTTGCAGAGCACCCTCCTTCCTGGAAACTCTCCAGCTAGATTCCAGCAGCAAGTCTAGGGTCCACTGGGAAGGGCAGTAACATCCTGGGCAGGCAGGTGCTGTCCTGGGAGGAAGGAACCATGGAGATGGCAGGGCCTCCTAACAAGTTCTAGTCCCGAGAGGCTCACTCACAGCTCTCTCTCTGTAGAACGGGGGTGGGAGGGAAAGGAGTTAGGCACAGCCCTGCAAACCTAGTCTCAAGCAGATAAAATATAAATTGCATCTTCTAAGGAAAAAGAGTGCAGTCACCTTTGTATTTTGGTATCAACAATGTATGAACAGCAGGCTCTGGGCACAACAGGAAACCTACACCCACGCTACTCCTTTATCGCAGTTCTTCTCTTGGCAAATAATTACTCTCCCTGCAGGCACCCGCGTGCGAGCCTTCTAATTATACCATTGTTCAGTTTCATGTCAGCTGAACAATAAATCAAATGTGGACCAAGATGTCTGATCAAAATGTGCTGGGGAGTAAACGGTGGGAAGCACATGACATTAGTGACGGTACTGGGAATGGGGGCATCATCTTTCTTCCTAAGCTTTGTTTTGAGACAGGCTTCCTTTTTCTCTGTTAATCCTGTTAACGTTGAGACTGTAACCTGGACCCCGAGTGACCCAGATCACCCTACCTCTGAAATGGACAGAACTGCGTTCACTATCATTTCCCATCAAGGGACTGTGAGAGGGTTTGATTAATGAACGACTATAAAATGCTAGCAAATATATAGCAAAAAGAAATACTAGCAAATATATATATTTATAGCAAATATATATAGTAAAATACTAGCAAATATAGCAAATCTTAATGAATAATTTCTCAACAACTTTTTCCTTAGTGGCATTTGGCTTTCTTCTCTGAATTTTTGCTCCCATCAAAAGCCAAGTTCCTCATCAGCGAAAGAAAGAGGGCAGTGTTTATTTTAATATTTTATTTTAATATTTTGATTTATTTTATATTTAACAGTTTTTAAGGTTTAATTAAAAAAGTTATATATGTTTAATGTGTACAAACTGATGTTTTTATATACACACACACACACACACACACACACACAGGGAAATAATCACCACAATCACCACAATTAACACACCCATCACCTCACTAATTCCCTTTTTCTTTTTTCCTTTCTTCCTCCCTTCCTCCCTTCCCTCTCTTCCCTTCCTTCCCTTCCTTCTTTCCTTCCTTCCTTCTTTCCCTCCTTCCTTCCTTTCTTCCTTCTTTCCCTGCTTTAAGGTGAGGATACGTAAGATTGACCCTCTTAGCAAATTTCAAGTATACAGTATGGTATTGCTAACTATAGTCACCACACTGTACATTAGATCTCCAGAACTTATTTATCCTGCAGAACTGAAACTACACTTTGACCAACATCTCCCTCGCCTTTCAGCCCCTGGCAAGCACCATTTGACTCTCTGTTCCTATGAGTTTCACTTTTTTGGATTCCACATATAAGTGGGATCATGTAATATTTGTCTTTCTGTGTCTGGCTTACTTCATTTCGCATAATGTTCTCTAAGTTCATCCATGTTGTCACAAGTGGCAAAATTTCCTTCTTTTTAAAGGCTAAATAATATCCCATAGTAGAAATATACCACAATTTTTTTTATCCATTCATCCATCCAGGGGCATTTGGGTGTTTCCATATCTTGGTGATCGTGAACAATGCTGCAATGAGCACAGAAGTGCATGCTTCTCTGAGATCCTGATTTTATTTTTTTTGGATGTATACCCAGAAGTGGGATCATATGGTAGTTTTACTGCTAACTTTTGGTGAAAACTCCATACTGTTTTTTATAATGGTTGTACCACTTTAAATCCCTATAAAAATGTACAAGGGTTCTCTTTTCTCCACATCCTCACCAACACTTTTGTCTTTTTTGATAGTAGAGCCATCCTTGCAGGTGTGAGGTGATATGTCATTGTGTTTTGATTTGCATTTTCCTGATGTTGAGCACATTTTCATTTCCATGCTGACCATTTGTATGCCTTCTTTTGAGACATACAAATACACCACATCATACACAAAAATAAACTCAAAATGAAGTTTTGACCTGAAACTGTAAAACTACTGAAGAAAGTACAGAAAAAAGCCTTCTTGACATTGCTGATGGCAATGATTTTTTGGATATGACACCAACAGAACAGGAAACAAAAGCAAAAATAAACAAATGGGAAATATCTATTCAGATCTTTTGCTCATTTTCAAATTGGGTTATTTGTTTTCTTGCTACTGAGTTGTATGAGTTCCCTATGCGTTTTGCATATTAACTCCTTATCAGATATATGATTTGCAAATATTTTCTCCCATTTCATAGGTTGCCTTTCCACTTTGTTGATTCTTTTCTTTCTTTCTTTTTTTTTTTTTTTTTTGAGGTTTGAACAAATTTATTGAAACCTACAGGGTGTAAGCAGAGAAATCATTCATGGTGTGTTACATTTTGCCACTACCTTGAATGTATAATTACAAAATTATAAATACATTTTCCACAACTAAGCCTTTGTCCAAAAAAAGTCACTTAGCACATTTTTAAAGGTCAGTAAGAAATGGATTTTGGACATTAAAGAGATCAAGTCACTGAATTTAACAGCAGCAGCCCTCACTAATCTAGAATCCCATAGTGCCGAAGGTGTATGAGCTAGTCATTTATTACAGCAATCAGAAGAGACAGGGGCAGGCACATCTATCGGAGGTGGTGGCAGAGCTGGCAGGAGAGGATGGCTGGGCTGGTCAGGTGAGCATGTCCTGGAGACAGCAGCAACAGAAAGCAGTCCAGCAGGCTGTGAGGCAGGTGGATGGTTCCAACTCATGTCTTCTTTGGTCTTCTACCACATACACTGTGGTTTTAGGAGGCTCCCGAGGTCTGTCCTGCCAGCTGTACTGTGGGTATCTTTGTATCCTTGATAGGTGTATCCTTGAAGAGGTGGGTAGGGCCCCCTCCCATAGGTCCTGGGCCCATGTGTTTTTGTGGATAAGGTGGGTATGGGGCTGATGGACCAGGGCCTGGATGTGGTGGAGGGTTCTCTTTGTTCATCAGGGACCTGTAAAGTGCACCTCTCCTCTCCATGAACTGGCCGGGTAGTGGTTGGGTTGGAACCTGAGGAGACCAGACCAGCCCAGAGTAGACTCACTGCACCTGCCTCGAAGCAAGTAATGAGCCACCATGTGACAGAAGCTTTTTAGTTTGATACAATCCCATTTGTTTATTTTTCGGTTTGTTTCCTCTTCTGTTGGTGTTATGTCCAAAAAATCGTTGCCATCACCAATGTCAAGAAGCATTTTTTCTGTACTTTCTTCTAGTAGTTTTACAGTTTCATGTCTTCATGTCAAAGTCTTTAATCTATTTTGAGTTTATTTTTGTATGTGATGTGAGATAAGGGTCTAATTTTATTCTGTGTATGACTATCCAGTTTTTCTAATGACATTTATTGAAGATACTATCCTTTCCCCATTGTGTCCTCTTGCCATCCTTGTCAAAGATCAGTTAGCTGTAAATATATGGATTTATTTCTGGTCTCTTTGTTTTGTTACATTGGTCTACATGTCTGTTTTTATGCCAGTACCATATTGTTTTGATTACTATAGCTTTGTAATATATTTTGAAATGAGGAAGTGTGATGCCTCTGGTGTTTTTTTGTTTTTTTGTTTTTTGTTTTCTTTTTTTGTCCCTCAAGATTGCTTTGGATATGGGTAGTCTTTTGTGGTTCCATTTGAACTTTATGATAGCTTTTTTTTATTAATGTAAAAATGCCATTGGGGTTTTGATAGAGATTGAATTAAATCTGTATGTTTCTTCGGGCACTATGGGCATTTTAAAGATTTTAATTATTCCAATCCATGAACATGGGATGTCTATCCATCTCTATGTCTCCCTTAGTTTCTTTCATCAATGGTTTATAACTTTCAGTGTACAAGTCTTTCACCTCTTTAGTTAACTTTATCCTAAGTATTTTATTCTTTTTGTTGCTATTGTAAATAGAATTGTTTTCCTAATTTCATTTTTGGATAGTTTGTTATTAGCATATAGAAATGCCACTGATTTTTGCAATTTGACTTTTTATACTGCAGAGTTACTGAATTTGTTTATTAGTTTTAATAATTTTTTTGTATGGAGTCTTTAGGATTCTCTACATATATGATCATGTCACCTTTAAGAGGAGACAATTTTACTTATTTCTTTTCAATTTGGATAGCTTTTATTTCTTTTTCTTGTCTGATTGTTCTGGCTAGAACTTCCAGTATTATGTTGAATGGAAGTGGTAAGGTTGATCATCCTTGCTTTGCTTCATATCTGAGATAAAAAGCTTTCAAATTTTCCCCATCCATTATTATGTTAGCTGTGGGGTTTTCATATATGGTCTTTATTGTGTTGAGGTAAGTTTCTTCTATACCTATTTTTTTGAGAGTTTTAAATAATAAATGGAAGTTAAATTTTCTAAAAAAAATCTGAATCTTTTGGGATAATCATGTGGTTTTACCTTTCATTGTGTTAATGTGGTATATTACACTGATTGATTTGATATGTTGAACCATCCTTCCATCTCAGGGATAAATCCTACTTGGTCATGGTGTATGATCCTTTCAACATGCTTTTGAATTTCGTTTGTTAGTATTTTATTGGGGATTTTTGTGTTTATGTTAATTAGAGATATTGCCCTGTAGTTTTTTTTTCTTGTGGTATTTTTGCTAAGCTTTGACATCAGGGTGATCCTGGCCTCATAACATGAGTTTAGAAGTGCTTTCTCTTATTCAATTATTTGAAAAAGTTTTAAGAATTGGTATTAATTCTTTTTTTTTTTTTTGGGGATGCCCTCTCTCACCACTCCTATTCAACATAGTGTTGGAAGTTCTGGCCAGGGCAATTAGGCAGGAGAAGGAAATAAAGGGTATTCAATTAGGAAAAGAGGAAGTCAAATTGTCCCTGTTTGCAGACGACATGATTGTATATCTAGAAAACCCCATTGTCTCAGCCCAAAATCTCCTTACGCTAATAAGCAACTTCAGCAAAGTCTCAGGATACAAAATCAATGTACAAAAATCACAAGCATTCTTATACACCAACAACAGACAAACAGAGAGCCAAATCATGAGTGAACTCCCATTCACAATTGCTTCAAAGAGAATAAAATACCTAGGAATCCAACTTACAAGGGATGTGAAGGACCTCTTCAAGGAGAACTACAAACCACTGCTCAAGGAAATAAAAGAGGATACAAACAAATGGAAGAACATTCCATGCTCATGGGTAGGAAGAATCAATATTGTGAAAATGGCCATACTGCCCAAGGTAATTTACAGATTCAATGCCATCCCCATCAAGCTACCAATGACTTTCTTCACAGAATTGGAAAAAACTACTTTAAAGTTCATATGGAACCAAAAAAGAGCCCACATCACCAAGTCATTCCTAAGACAAAAGAACAAAGCTGGAGGCATCACACTACCTGACTTCAAACTATACTACAAGGCTACAGTAACCAAAACAGCATGGTACTGGTACCAAAACAGAGATATAGATC
This sequence comes from Homo sapiens, assembly GCF_000001405.40. Classification (NCBI taxonomy): domain Eukaryota; kingdom Metazoa; phylum Chordata; class Mammalia; order Primates; family Hominidae; genus Homo; species Homo sapiens. Next base: position 174,477,575 of record NC_000005.10, on the reverse strand, counting down.
AATGGAACAGAACAGAGCCCTCAGAAATAACGCCGCATATCTACAACTATCTGATCTTTGACAAACCTGAGAAAAACAAGCAATGGGGAAAGGATTCCCTATTTAATAAATGGTGCTGGGAAAACTGGCTAGCCATATGTAGAACACTGAAACTGGATCCCTTCCTTACACCTTATACAAAAATCAATTCAAGATGGATTAAAGACTTAAATGTTAGACCTAAAACCATAAAAACCCTAGAAGAAAACCTAGGCTTTACCATTCAGGACATAGGCATGGGCAAGGACTTCATGTCTAAAACACCAAAAGCAATGGTAACAAAAGCCAAAATTGACAAATGGGATCTAATTAAACTAAAGAGCTTCTGCACAGCAAAAGAAACTACCGTCACAGTGAACAGGCAACCTACAAAATGGGAGAAAATTTTCGCAACCTACTCATCTGACAAAGGGCTAATATCCAGAATCTACAATGAACTCAAACAAATTGACAAGAAAAAAACAAACAACCCCATCAAAAAGTGGGCAAAGGACATGAACAGACACTTCTCAAAAGAAGACATTTATGCAGCCAAAAAACACATGAAAAAATGCTCACTATCACTGGCCATCAGAGAAATGCAAATCAAAACCACAATGAGATACCATCTCACACCAGTTAGAATGGCAATCATTAAAAAGTCAGGAAACAACAGGTGCTGGAGAGGATATGGAGAAATAGGAACACTTTGACACTGTTGGTGGGACTGTAAACTAGTTCAACCATTGTGGAAGTCAGTGTGGCGATTCCTCAGGGGTCTAGAACTAGAAATAACATTTGACCCAGCCATCCCATTACTGGGTATATACCCAAAGGACTATAAATCACGCTGCTATAAAGACACATGCACACGTATGTTTATTGTGGCATTATTCACAATAGCAAAGACTTGGAACCAACCCAAATGTCCAACAATGATAGACTGGATTAAGAAAATGTGGCACATATACACCATGGAATACTATGCAGCCATAAAAAATGATGAGTTCATGTCCTTTGTAGGGACATGGATGAAATTGGAAATCATCATTCTCAGTAAACTATCGCAAGAACAAAAAACACCAAACACCACATATTCTCACTCATAGGTGGGAACTGAACAATGAGAACACATGGACACAGGAAGGGGAACATCACACTCTGGGTACTGTTGTGGGGTAGGGGGAGGGGAGAGGGATAGCATTAGGAGATATGCCTAATGCTAAATGACGAGTTAGTGGGTGCAGCGCACCAGCATGGCACATGTATACATATGTAACTAACCTGCACGTTGTGCACATGTACCCTAAAACTTACAGTATAATAATAAAATAAAATAAAATAAAAAATTAATTAATTAATTAATAAAAAAAGAATTGGTATTAATTCTTCTTTAAATATTTGGTAGAATTCACCCATTAAGCCATCTAATCCTGGGCTTTTCTTTGTTGGGAAGGTTTTAATTACTGATTCAATTTCATTGTTAAAATTTGTTCTTCTTAATTCAGTCTTGGTAGGTTGCATATGTCTAGGAATTTATCTATTTCTTCCAAGTTATCCAATTTGTTGATGAATAATTGTTCATAATGATCATTTATGATCCTTTTTATTTCTGACTCATCTGCTGTAGTGTCTCTCATTTCTGATTTTATTTACTTGAGACTTCTTTCTTTTTTTCCAAGTTAGTTTAGTGATGGAGTTTGCCAAATTTGTTTGTCTTTTCAAGAAACCAAGTCTTGTTTCCTCGATTTCTTTTCTACTGTTTTTTATTCTCTCTTTTATTTATTTCTACTCTTATTGTTATCATTTCCTTCCTTCTGCAAATATGGGGGTTGGTTTGTTCTTTTTCTGGTTCCTGGAGGTGTAAAATTAGGTTATTTGCAATCTTTCTTCTTTTTTTAATGTAGGCATTTGTCACTATGAATGTCCCTTTACTACTGTTTTTACTGTATCCCATAAGTTTTGGTATGCTATTCCTTCAGTTTTGTTTGTCTCTGCATATTTTAATGTTCCTTTTGTATTTTTTTGACCCAATTGTTGTTCAAGTGGTTTGTTTAGTTTCAATGTATTTGCAAATTTTCCCAGTTTCTTATTGTTATTGATTTTTAGTTTTATTTCATTGTGATCAGAAAAGATACTTGGTATAATTTTGATCTTCTTATATTTGTTAAGAGTTATTTTGTGACCTAAGATATGATCTATCCTAGAGAACATTTATGTGCACTTGAGAAGAAGATGCATTCTTTGCTTTTTGATGGAAAGCTTTGTATATGTCTGTTATATCCATTTGATCTATAAAGTTGTTCAAGTCAGTTTCTTTATTGATTTTATATCTGGTTGTTCTAGCTGTTATTGCAAGTTATGTAGGGAAGTCTCCTACTATTATTGTATTGCTGTCAATTTCTTCCTTCAGATATATCAATATTTCCATTACATATTTTAGCGCTCTGGTGTTGGGTGCACATCTATTTATAATTGTTATTTCTTCCTGGTTGATTGACCCTTTTATTATTATATAGTGTCCCCTTTTGTCTCTTGTGACAGTTTTTGACTTGAAGTCTATTTTTTCTCACGTAAATATGGTCACCCTTGCTTTCTTTTTGGCTACCATTTGCATGGATATATTTTTTCATCCCTTCACTTTCAGGCTGTGGGTGACCTTAAGTCTAAACTGAGTCTCTTATACACAGCATATTGCTAGATCTCACGTGTGTGTGTGAGTGTGTCTGTGTGTGTTACATCCACTCAGCAACTCTGTATCTTTCCAATGGGGAGTTTAATCCATTTACATTTAATGTTATTAATAAAGACTTACCGTTGCCAATTTGCGAATTGTTTTTTGTCTTTTTAAAATTGTTTTATTCCTCTTTTCTGCCTTACTGTCTTCCTTTGTTATTTTTTGCAGTGATTTGCTTTTTCTTTACCTTTTGTGTATCTATATAGTTGTTTCTTTGTGATAGCACAAGGCTTGTATTAACTAAATTGTAGTTATAGCCATCTACTTTAAGTTGATAATATTTTAATTTCAATCATATACAAAAACTTTACACTTTTACTCCTCCCCACACATATTTTGTATTCTTAAAGCCAGCATTTACTTCTTTTTTTTTTCTTTTTTTTTTTGAGACGGAGTTTTGCTGTGTCACCCAGGCTGGAGTGCAGTGGCATGACCCCGGCTCACCGCAACCTTCGGCTCCCAGGTTCAAGTGATTCTCCTGCCTCAGCCTCCCGAGTAGCTGGGATTACAGGCACCCGCTACCATGCCCGGCTAAGTTTTGTATTTTTTTTTTTAGTAGAGACGGGGTTTCACCATGTTGGCCAGGCTGGTCTTGAACTCCTGACCTCAGGTGATCCGCCCGCCTCGGCCTCCCAAAGTGCTGGGATTACAGGCATGAGCCACTGAGCCCAGCCAGCATTTATTTCTTTTAATGTTATGAATCCACTAACAAATTTTTGCAGTTATGCTTATTCTAAATATTTTTTACTTTAATATTAGCCGACTATAATTTATGCACCACCATTAAAGTGTTATATTATTATGCATTCCTCTGTATATTTACTTTTTTTTTTTTTTTTTTGAGACGGAGTCTTGCTCTGTCTCCCAGGCTGGAGTGCAGTGGCATGATCTCGGCTCACTGCAAGCTCCTCCTCCCAGGTTCATGCCATTCTCCTGCCTCAGCCTCCCGAGTAGCTGGGACTACAGGTGCCCACCACCACGCCTGGCTAATTTTTTGTATTTTTTAGTAGAGACGGGGTTTCACCGTGTTAGCCAGGATGGTCTCCATTTCCTGACCTCGTGATCTGCCCGTCTTGGCCTCCCAAAGTGCTGGGATTACAGGCGTGAGCGCCCGGCCTTTTACTGGTTAGATTTATGCTTTTGAATGCTTTGGGGCCGGGTGCAGTGGCTTACGCCTGTAATCCCAGCACTTTGACAGGCTGAGGCAGGAGGATCACCTGAGGTCAGGAGTTCGAGATCAGCCTGGCTAACATGGTGAAACCCTGTCTCTACTAAAAATGCAAAAATTAGCGGGGTGTGGTGGTGGGCGCCTGTAATCCCAGCTACTCGGGAAGTTGAGGCAGGAGAATTACTTGAACCCAGGAGGCGAAAGTTGCAGTGAGCCAAGATCATGCCACTGCACTCCAGCCTGGGCAACAGAGTGAGACTCCATCTTAAAAATAAAAAAAATAGTTAAATGATTTGGTATTGTTGTTTGGTGTGTTTTCCTTCCAATTTGAAGAATCCCCTTAAGCAGGTCTTTTTGTAAGACAGATCTAGCAGTGACCAACTTCCTTAGTTTTTGTTTTCCTAGGAAAGACTTTATCTCTCCTTCATTTTTAAAGAGTAGTTTTTCTGGGTATAGTACTCTTGGTTGTTAGTTTTTTTCTTTTTCTTTTAATACTTTAAGTATATCATCTCGCTGTCTCGAACTGCAAGGTTTCTAGTGAGAAATTTACTGACAATCATTTAGGGGTTCCCTTATATGTGATGAGTCACTTTTCTCTTGAGGCTTTAAAAATTCTGACTGTCTTTGATTTTTGAAAATTTAATTATAATGTGTCTTGGTATAAAATTTTTATGTTCAATCTATTTATGGTCCTCTGGGATTCTTGAATGTATATGTCTATTTCTTTCCTCAGATTTAGAAATTTTTTAGTCATCTTTTTTCCTTTTTTAAATAAATTAACTTTTAATTTCAAAGGCACACTGATGCAAAACCAACATTTGGCCCCTTGTGTCAGATTAACAAGGTTTTCTTGGAGCATTAACCCACTCCTTAATAAATAATGATAATGATTATAAAAAGATTTATGAAAATTATATCTTATGACCAAGGTGATTAAAATTTAATAGATTTTGTTTATAAAATTTTGAGAGACAGATTTAATTGGCCTTATGCTATCTTTATTATTAGGGCTTATTGTTTGGGAAATTAAGTCTCCTCTCTCAAAGAATGAAAATTTTTGCCTTTTTTTGAAATCTTTGAGTTATCACTTTGACTAAATGAATGACTTATTTTACAATAACCTGTGATTCTATTTTGTGATATCAAGTGTTTTAAGCTTTTTATATTTGACTAACTTTCCAAAATCAAACTCTAACTTCGGTCCTCATTAATTTTTGATATTAGGTAAACTTGAAGTCCAAAAAAGACACATTTGGCTTGTTTGATATAATAAAATCGTTGTCAAATAAAATCATTTTATTATAACAAAGGTGAATATGTCTCTTTTGGACTTCAGGCTAATAGTATTGTCAAATATGAATGGGGTTTAACCTTATTTGGATTATATTCATACAAATGTGTTATTAGTGTGTATTCCAGGATTGCATGAGATTCCTGTGATTCTAATATGTCTTAGCATACACTTTTAGTAGTAATTATGATCATTATGTAAAATTGTTGTATGCCACAGAAGTAAGCAAATTTCCTTGTGAATTGTGTTTTTAACCATTACTGTTCTAAGACTCTTGTAATCCACAGTTGTTTTATCTTTTTCAATAATTTTTTAAAATTATTATACTTTAAGTTCTAGGGTACATGTGCACAATGTGCAGGTTTGTTACATAGGTATAGATGTGCCATGTTGGTTTGCTGCACCCATCAACTTGTCATTAACTTTAGGTGTTTCTCCTAAGGCTATCCCTGCCCCAGCACCCCATCCCCCAACAGGCCTCGGTGTGTAATGCTCCCCTCCCTGTGTCCAGGTGTTCTTGTTGAATTCCCACTTATGAGTGAGAACATGCAGTGTTTGGTTTTCTGTCCTTGTGATATTTTGCTGAGAACGATGGTTTCCAGCTTCATCCATGTCCTTGCAAAGGACATGAACTCATCCTTTTTTATGGCTGCATAGTATTCCATGGTGTATATGTGCCACATTTTCTTTATCCAGTCTATTATTGATGGACATTTGGGTTGGTTCCAAGTCTTTGCTATTGTGAATAGTGCCACAATAAACATACGTGTGCATGTGTCTTTATAGTGGCATGATTTATAATCCTTTGGGTATATACTCACTAATGAGATTGCTGGGTCCAGTGATATTTCTAGTTCTAGATCCTTGAGGAATTGCCACATTGTCTTCCACAATGGTTGAACTAATTTACACCCCCACCAACAGTGTAAAAGCATTCCTGTTTCTCCACATTCTCTCCAGCATTTGTTGTTTCCTGACTTTTTAATGATCGTCATTCTAACTGGTGTGAGATGGTATCTCATTGTGGTTTTGATTTGCATTTCTCTGATGACCAGTGATGATGAGCATTTTTTCATATGTTTGTTGGCTGCATAAATGTCTTCTTTTGAGAAGTGTCTGTTCATATCCTTTGCCCACTTTTTGATGGGGCTGTTTGTTTTTTTCTTGTAAATTTGTTTAAGTTATTTGTAGATTCTGAATATTAGCCCTTTGTCAGATGGATAGATTGCAAAAATTTTCTCCCATTCTGTAGGTTGCCTGTTCATGCTGATGATAATTTCTTTTGCTGTGCAGAAGCTCTTTAGTTTAATTAGATCCCATTTGTCAATTTTGGCTTTTGTTGCCATTGCTTTTGGTGTTTTAATCATGAAGTCTTTGCTCATGCCTATGTCCTGAATGGTATTGCCTAGGTTTTCTTCTAGGGTTTTTATGTTTTTATGTCTTACATTTAAGTCTTTAATCCATCTTGAGTTAATTTTTGTATAAGGTATAAGGAAAGGATCCAGTTTCAGCTTTCTGCATATGGCTGGCCAGTTTTCCTGGCACCATTTATTAAACAGGGAATCCTTTCCCCATTGCTTGTTTTTGCCAGGTTTGTCAAAGATCAGATGGTTGTAGATATGCGGCGTTATTTCTGAGGGCTCTGTTCTGTTCCATTGGTCTATGTATCTGTTTTGGTACCAGTACCATGCTGTTTTGGTTACTGTAGCCTTGTAGTATAGTTTGAAGTCAGGCAGCGTGATGCCTCCAGCTTTATGCTTTTTGCTTAAGATTGTCTTGGCTATGTGGGCTCTTTTTTGGTTCCATATAAAATTTAAAGTAGTTTTTTCCAATTCTGTGAAGAAAGTCAGTGGTAGCTTGATGGGGATAGCATTGAATCTATAAATTACCTTGGGCAGTATGGCCATTTTCACAATATTGATTCTTCCTATCCATGAGCATGGAATGTTCTTTCATTTGTTTGTGTCCTCTTTTATTTCACTGAGCAGTGGTTTGAAGTTCTCCTTGAAGAGGTCCTTCACATCCCTTGTAAGTTGGATTCCTAGGTATTTTATTCTCTTTGTAGTAATTGTGAATGGGAATTCACTCATGACTTGGCTCTCTGTCTGTTCTTGGTGTATAGGAATGCTTGTGATGTTTGCACATTGATTTTGTATCCTGAGACTGTGCTGAAATTGCTTATCAGCTTAAGGAGATTTTGGGTTGAGACAATGGGGCTTTCTAAATATACAATCATGTCATCTGCAAACAGAGACAATTTGACTTCCTCTTTTCCTAATTGAATACCCTTTATTTCTTTCTCTTGACTGATTGCCCTGGCCAGAACTTCCAACACTATGTTGAATAGGAGTGGTGAGACAGGGCATCCCTGTCTTGTGCCAGTTTTCAAAGGGAATGCTTCCAGTTTTTGCCCATGCAGTATGATATTGGCTGTGGGTTTGTCCTAAATAGCTCTTATTATTTTGAGATATGTTCCATCAGTACCTAGTTTACTGAGAGTTTTTAGCATGAAAGGCTGTTGAATTTTGCTGAAAGCCTTTTCTGCATTTATTGAGATAATTACGTGGTTTTTGCCATTGGTTCTGTTTATGTGATGGATTATGTTTATTGATTTGCATATGTTGAACCAGCCTTGCATCCCAGGGATGAAGCCAACTTGGTCATGGTGGATAAGCTTTTTGATGTGCTGCTGGATTGGTTTGCCAGTATTTTACTGAGGATTTTCACATCAATGTTCATGAGTGATATTGGCCTAAAATTCTCTTTTTTTGTTGTGTCTTTGCCAGGCTTTGGTATCAGAATGATGCTGGCCTCATAAAATGAGTTAGAGAGGATTCTCTCTTTCTCTATTGATTGGAGTAGTTTCAGAAGGAATAGTACCAGCTCCTCTTTGTACCTCTGGGAGAATTCGGCTGTGAATCCATCTGGTCCTGGACTTTTTCGGTTCGTAGGCTATTAATTATTGCCTCAATTTCAGAACCTGTTATTGGTCTATTCAGAGATTCAACTTCTTCCTGGTTTAGTCTTGGAAGAGTGTATGTGTCCAGGAATTTTTCCATTTCTTTTAGATTTTCTAATTTATTTGCATGGAGGTGTTTACAGTATTCTCTGATGGTAGTTTGCATTTCTGTGGGATCAGTGATACTATTCCATTTATCATTTTTTTATTGCATCTATTGGATTCTTCTGTCTTTCTTCTTTATTAGTCTTGCTAGTGGTCTATTTTGTTGATCTTTTCAAAAAACCAGCTTCTGGATTCATTAATTTTTTTGAAGGATTTTTTTGTGTCTCTATCTCCTTCAGTTCTGCTTTGATCTTAGTTATTTATTGTCTTTTGTTACCTTTTGAATTTGCTTCTCTAGTACTTTTAATTGTGATGTTAGGGTGTCAATTTTAGATCTTTCTTGCTTTCTCTTGTGGGCATTTAGTGCTATAAATTTCTCTCTATACACTGCTTTAAATGTGTCCCAGAGATTCTGGTACATTATGTCTTTGTTCTCATTGGTTTCAAAGAACATCTTTATTTCTGCCTTAATTTTGTTATTTACCCAGTAGTCATTCAGGAGCAGGTTGTTCAGTTTCCATGTAGTTCTGCGGTTTTGAGTGAGTTTCTTAATCCTGGGTTCTAATTTGATTGCACTGCGGTCTGAGAAACAGTTTGTTGTGATTTCTGTTCTTTTACGTTTGCTGAGGAGTGTTTTACTTCCAATTATGTGGTCAATTTTAGAATAAGTGCCATGAGGTGCTGAGAAGAATGTATATTCTGTTGATTTGGGGTGGAGAATTCTGTAGATGTTTACTAGGTCTGCTTGGTCCAGAGCTGAGTTCAAGTCCTGGATATCCTTGTTAATTTTCTGTCTCATTGATCTGTCTAATATTGACAGTGGGGGTTAAAGTGTCCCATTATTATTGTGTGGGAATCTAAGTCTCTTTGTAGGTCTCTAAGAGCTTGCTTTATGACTCTGGGTGCTCCTCTATTGGGGCATATATATTTAGGATAGTTAGCACTTCTTGTTGAATTGATCCCTTTACCACTATATAATGGCCTTCTTTGTCTCTTTTGATCCTTGTTGGTTTAAAGTCTGTTTTATCAGAGACTAGCATTGCAACCCCTGCTTTTTTTTTGCTTTCCATTTGCTTGGTAGATCTTCCTCCATCCCTTTATTTTGAGCCTATGTGTGTCTTTGCACGAGATGTGTCTCCTGAATACAGCACACCAATAGGTCTTGACTCTGTTCAATTTGCCAGTCTATGTCTTTTAATTGGGGCATTCAGCCCATTTACATTTAAGGTTAATATTGTTATGTATTAATTTGGTCCTGTCATTATGACGTTAGCTGGTTATTTCACCTGTTAATTAATGCAGTTTCTTCATAGCATTGATGGTCTTTACAATTTGGCATGTGTTTGCAGTGGCTGGTACCAATTGTTCCTTTCCACATTTAGTGCTTCCTTCAGGAGCTCTTGTAAGGCAGGCCTGGTGGTGACAAAATATCTCAGCATTTGCTTCTTTGTAAAGGATGTTATTTCTCCTTCACTTATGAAGCTTAGTTTGGCTGGATATGAAATTCTGGGTTGAAAATTCTCTTCTTTAATAATGTTGAATATTGGCCCTCACTCTCTTCTGGCTTGTAGGGTTTCTGCCGAGAGATCCACTGTTAGTCTAATGGGTTTCCCTTTGTAGGTGACCTGGCCTTTCTCTCTGGCTGCCTTTAACATTTTTTCCTTCAATTCAACCTTTGTAAATCTGACAGTTATGTGTCTTGGGGTTGCTCTTCTTGAGGAGTATCTTTGTGGGATTCTGTGTATTTCCTGAATTCAAATGTTGGCCTGCCTTGCCAGGTTGGGGAAGTTCTCCTGGATAATATCCTGAAGAGTGTTTTCTAACTTGGTTCCATTCTCCCTGTCACTTTCAGGTACACCAGTCAAATGTAGATTTGGTCTATTCACATAGTCCCATATTTCTTGGAAGCTTTGCTCATTTTTTTTCACTCTTTTTTCTCTAATCTTGTCTTCTCACTTTATTTCATTAATTTGATCTTCAATCACTGATATCCTTTCTTTTGCTTGATTGAATTGGCTATTGAATCTTGTGTATGCTTCACACAATTCTCGTACTGTTGTTTTCAGCTCCATTGGGTCATTTAAGCTCTTCTCTACACTGTTTATTCAGTTAGCCATTCTTCTAACCTTTTTCAAGGTTTTTAGCTTCCTTGTGATGGGTTAGAACATGGTCTTTTAGCTCAGAGATGTTTGTTATTACTGACCTTCTGAAGTCTACTTCTGTCAACTCATCAAACTCATTCTCCATCCAGTTTTGTTCCCTTGCTGGTGAGGAGTTATGTTCCTTTGGAGAAGAAGAGGAGTTCTGATTTTTGGAATTTTCAGCCTTTCTGCTCTGGTTTCTCCCCATCTTTGTGGTTTTATCTACCTTTGGTCTTTGATGTTGGTGACCTATGGATGGGGTTTTGGTGTGGATGTCCTTTTTGTTGATGTTGATGCTACTCCTTTCTGTTTGTTAGTTTTCCTTCTAACAGACAGGCCCCTCAGCTGCAGGTCTGTTGGAGTTTGCTGGAGGTCCACTCCAGACCCTGTTTGCTTGGGTATCACCAGCGGAGGCTGCAGAACAAAGAGCAAATATTGCTGTCTGATCCTTCCTCTGGAAGCTTCATCCCAGAGGGGCACTTGCCTGTATGAGGTTTCTGTTGGCCCCTACTGGGAGGTGTCCACTAGTCAGGCTATGTGGGGGTCAGGGACCCACTTGAAGAGGCAGTCTGTCTGTTATTGGAGCTTGAACACCGTGCTGGGAGAACCACTGCTCTCTTCAGAGCTGTCAGGCGGTGATGTTTAAGTCTGCAGAAGCTGTCTGCTGCCTTTTATTTAGCTATGCCCTGCTCCCAGAATCTAGAGTGGAATCTAGAGAGGCAGTAGGCCTTGCTGAGCTGCAGTAGACTCTGCCCAGTTCAAGCGTCCCTGCCACTTTGTTTATCCTGTGAGCATAGAACCACCTACTGAAGCCTCAGCAATGGTGGACGCCCCTCCCCCCACCAAGCTCCAGTGTCCCAGGTCCATCTCGGATTGCTGCACTAGCAGTCAGCAAGGCTCCGTGGGCATGGGACCCGCCGAGCCAGGGACAGGAGGGAATCTCCTGGTCTGCCGGTTGTGAAGACCGTGGGAAAAGCTCAGTATTTGGGCAGCAGTGTACCACTCCTCCAGGTATAGTCACTCACAGCTTTCCTTGGCAAGGAAAGGGAAGTCCCCTGACTCCTTGCACTTCCTGGGTGAGGTGACACCCCACCCTGCTTGGACTCGCCCTCCATGGGCTGCACCCATTGTCTAACCAGTCCCAGTGAGATGAACCAGGTTCCTCATTTGGAAATGGAGAAATCACCCATCTTCTGCTTCGATCTTGCTGGGAGCTGCAGACCGGAGCTGTTCCTATTCGGCCATCTTGGAAGTGACCTCAGTCATTATTTCTTTAAATAAACTTTTCGTTCTTTTCTTTTTCTTTTAACTTTCTGTAACTTCCAAAATGCACATATTCATTTCTTTGTTGGTGTCCCATAAGTCTAAGTTTTCTTCACTCTTTTTTATTCCTTTTTCCCCTTTTTGCTTCTCTGACTAAATAACTTCCAAATCATCTGTCTTTGAGATCACTAATTCTTTCTTGTGCCCAAACAAATCTGTAGTTGAAGCTCCATATTGCATTTTTCACGTCAATCATTGTATTCTTCAGATCCAGAATTTGTTTAGTTCTTTTTTATGATTTTTATCTTTTTGTCAAACTGCTAGTTTTGTTCATATACGTTCTCCTGATTTCAATGAGTTTTCTATCAACTTCTTTTGCAGCTCTCTGAACTTCCTTAAAACAATTTTTTTGATTTGTATTGTCAGACAATTAATAGACCATTTATTGGAATTGGTTCCTGGGAATTAATTTTGTTCTTTTGAAGGTTTCACGTTTCCCTGACTTTTTGTGTTCCATATAGCCTTGCATTGGTGTTTGCTCATTTGAAGAAGCAGTTACTTCTTCCAGGCTTTATAGACTGGCTTTGGGATGAAAGACCTTCACCTGAATACAAGGGCATCAACTGGGCAGAGTATGCATAGGTATTAGCTTCAGGAGAATGTCAGGGTGTCAGGTCTTGGGATGTATAGGTGTGCTGGGTCCAGTGGAAGCTCTGGATCAGTGGGTGTAGAGCAGAGCCAGGTCTAATGAGTGCATGGCAGCACTGGGTCCCATGGATGTGCAGGAACACTGGGTTTGATGGGGTTGCAGTAGTGCTGGGTCTGGTGTGTGCACAGTGGTGCTAGCTGTGAGGAGGTTGTAGCAGCACCAGCTCTGGTGGATACTAGGCAGTCTCAGCTGGGGGTCATGGTATCTCTGGCTTGGGAGGCTCAGGAATGTGAGCTCTAGGCAACTCTGGCAAGTGGAGCCCATGTTGGTAAAGATTGCAAGGGTCCTTGCTGGCAAAGGCTGCAGCAGTCTGCAGCCATCTGGGCTGCTGCGGTCCTCAGTGGCCAGAGCTTCTAGGGTCTTCTGGCTTTCTAAATAGTTTTTCTACAATGCTACTGTTTTTCCTACCCTTTTCTGTTTACTAATCCTCAGGATTTTTTTTGTTTGTTTCATTTTCCTTTTTTTGCCTCCACTAGGTGGCTACAGTTTCTTAACTGGGCTTCAGAGCTCTCCCATAACTACTTTTATTTGTGGATAGTTATTGAATCATTGTTTTTGTAGGGTACAAGGCCTGGTACATTCTAGTTCACCATCCTGCTGACATCACTTCTCCCCACATTGCCATCCCATTTTATTATATTTCACTGAAGGAGGAGTAGTGAGTGGTTCTGGAAGGAGGAAGGAGGCTCTGGACCTGGATTTTCAGGGCATATAGGAAAAACTCTTATTTTAATACCCTCTAGTATTCATTTCCATACCTAGTCATCATGGCCACAGATGAGAAAGGAGGTCAAAAGAGGCATCCTTGACGTCTGCCATCAACCATAAACCTCCTGGCATTGTCACCACTGCAGAGCTAGAATGAATCCTATCCAGACTCAGGAGTGGTGTTGGAGTTAATGTTCTATTATATTTAATTTCTCATAGAAAGTGAGTCTGAGCTTGCTTCAGGGGCTGGCCATCTCCAGCCAGGCCTAGATTTTCTGGGTCTTTGGCTAAGCAGAGCTGTAGACTCAGGCTCAGGGCCAGCACATAGACCAGTCAGGGCCTTGCTCATTCACTTAATGTTGCAAGTGTCCGTCAGCCCTGCTCTGCACAGGGACACAGGGATAATTCTCAACCTCTCAGGGTGCTCACATTTTAATGGGGGAAGACAGGCGCTCACTCTAATTTGTCATCAAATGACAAGCAGTGACAGAGGCCATGGAAGGTATAGATGATATGCAGGGGGAGCATGACCAGTTCTGCAGGCCGTATGATAATTTCTGTGGCTCACTTTTTCTGAACTCAAGTCCATACACTGGGCCAAAGTCCAGCACAGAAGAGTTCATTCAAGATTGTCAGTTTGGCTTAAAAAATATACCTGGCAGCTGCCGGATACCCTACCCTGTGCCAGTTGCCAGGGGTGGACACATGAGGAAGATATAGCTCTGTCCTCAAGGAGCTCCTCTGAAGTAGAGGAGACAGATTTAAAAACAGATAATCATTATGTAATTAGTAAGTGCGATGATTGGGGTATGTAAAGGGTATTTAGCAAGAGTAGTAACTGAGGCCAGGCATGGTGGCTCACTACTGTAATCCCAGCACTTTGGGAGGCCACAGTGGGTGCATCGCTTGAGGTCAGGAATTCAAGACCAGCCTGGCCAACATTTAATAGAGAAATCCCATCTCTATTAAAAATTAGCTGGGCATGGTGGTGGGTGCCTGTAATCCCAGGTACTTGGGAGACTGAGGCAGGAGAATTGCTTGAACCCAGGAGGCAGAGGTCGCTGTGAGAGGAGATCACGCCACTGCACTCCAGCCTGGGCAACAGAGTGAGACTCCATCTCAAAAAAAAAAAAAAAAAAAAAAGAGTAGTAATTGAGTAGGAGGTAATCATGGGCACCAAATTGACCCTACATCCATCAAACTGAGAAAAAAGATACCCCAATATTCCAGGTCAATAATGATGCTTTCTATTTTAAACCTCCAGTTGACTGAACAATTATTTTGTTCAGAGATTAGCGCTGTGCTAATCTCTTTTCTATCAGCTCATCTCATTCTTACAGAAACCTTATAGGATAATAAGAAAACAATAAAAAATGACTCAACATTATATGTCATTAAGGAATTGCTAATTAAAACAAAAATGAGATACCACTACACACCTATTAGAATGGCCACAATCCAAAACACTGGCAATAACAAATGCTGGCAAGAATGTGGAACAATGGCAGCTCTCATTCATGGCTGATGGGAATGCAAGAAGGTCCAGCCACTTTGGAAGAAAATGGGACCATTTCTTATTAAATTAAACACACCCTTACCATGTGATTCGGCAATTACAATCCTTGGTATTTACCCAAATGAGCTGAAAACTTATGTCCACAGAGGAACCCACATAAGGATGTTTATAGCAGCTTTATCCATAATTGCCAAATCCTGGAATCAACCAAGATGTTCTTCAGTAGGTTAATGAATAAATAATCTGTGGTACATCCAGACAACAGAATGTTATTCAATACTAAAAAGAAATGAGCTATCAAGTCATGAAAAGGTATGGAGGAATCTTAAATGCCTCTTACTAAGTGAGAGAAGCCAGTCTGAAAAGGCTGCATGCTATATGATTCCAACTTAATGAAATTCTGGAAAAGGAAAAAATATGGGGACAGTAAAAGGACCAGAGGTTTCCAGAGATGGAGTAGGAGGGAAATAAGTTGGAAGAACATGGAGAATTTTTAGGGCAGTTAAACTATTCTGTATGATACTGCAGTCGTGAATACAAGTCATCATTCATTTGTCAAACCCCACAGAACGTACAACGCTAAGAGTGAATCTTAATGTAAACTGTGGACTCTGGGGGATAATGATGTGACAATGTAGGCTCATCAGTTACAACAGATGTCCTCTCTGGCGTGGGATGTTAATCATGGGAAAGGCTGTACATGTATTGTGACAGGGAGTATAGGGAATCTCTGTACTTTCCCCTTAATTTTGGTCTGAACCTAAATCTGCTGTAAAAAAATGAGGGCTACTAAAAAATAGGAAAATAATTGTTCATATTTACTGAGGCTCACTATCAGCTGGGCAGTGGGTTACAGACTTTGGAATCACTTTAGTCCTTGAAATAAACCTTGGAGGAAGGTACTGTGATCATCGTCTTCTTATACCAATGGAGCAATCGAGGCTTTCAAGGTTGAGGAAGGAGCTTCCCTCAAGTTCTTCCAAGAGGAGCCAGATCCAATCTTCCAACTCGGGTTGTCCTGACCCCAGAATCCAGGCCATTTAACCACTGTGCTAGACTCCTACTCTGAAGTCCAGGCCATCACTCCATCTTGGTACAGGTCCATATAAGATTGGCAGCTCTCTTTTCCTCCCTCCCTCCCTCCCTCCTTCTCTCTCTCTCTCTTTCTCTTTCCCTTTCTTTCTTCTTTCTTTCTTCCTTTCTTTCTTTCTTTTTCTTTTCTTTCTTTCTTTTCTTTCTTTCTTTCTTTCTTTCTTTCTTTCTTTCTTTCTTTCTTTCTTTCTTTCTTCCTTTCTTCTTTCTTTCTTTCTTCTTCTCTTGCTTGCTTGCTCTCTTGCTTTGGTCAGCAGTTGTTTGGCTCCCCCTCTGCAACAGGCTCTGTTCATTATATGTTCATTTTCACTGTCCTGGGAGATAAGAACCTTGAAATACCTGTTCTGCTTCTCCTGACCCTGGCTGCATGGAGAGGATCAGATGTGAACACTGGAATTCCAACCAGTCAGCACAATGACCTGCCCTTTATTGAACTATTTGAAAATATGGCAGAGTCCCCTTAGTGAAATGACACAGTACCAAAGAATACCAGGAAATTAAAATACATATAAAGTACGAAGAACCTGGCACAGTTTCAAACCAGTGAGCCATCAATTCTAAGCAAAGCTGCACATTTGCCTTGGAACCAAGAAGAGTTCTGGGCTTAGAAATGAGATAGAGAAAATTCTTCCCCTCTGCCCCCCAGAAGCCAGGCTTTTGGTATGCATTATTAGCCAGATTAAGGCTCTAATTGTCCCTTTATTGTTAGTGAGATGTAGCCAGCTGGCATTATACTTGTAATTATACCTGTAAAATCATTGTAGTTGTAGTTGTCTGTGCAGACAATTGAATACACATATATGAATATCACAGTCAAGAAATGGACTTTGAAGCTTATATTGAGCTCCAGTCTGCCTTGTTTAATTTACAGTTACTTTGAGTGTTCTTTCTTCCTTTTTCCATATCATATAGAGTTTGTTTGCCAACACCAGTATGTCCAGACTGTGCAAGTGCAAATAAACTCCATTGCTTCCTAGCTATGTGACCTGGGGAAAATTACTAAAGCTCTCTGAGCCTCCATTTACCATCTGTAATGAGGAAAGTAATGACTTTCTTTGAGGATAATAATAGATGCTTCACAGGGTCTATTTAAGGATTAAATAAGACCCTTCTGTTAGTAACACATACAAGCATTTTTACTTTTCAAGTGCATTTACTGAGAAGCCCAGGGTTCCCACCCTGGGCTGCTACTGAGACACAAAGGTGACCAAACATGGGCCCCTGCCTGAAAGCTCACCACGGGGGGAGGGAGACAGATGCATGAAGGACTAATTTTCACACCAGCCAGGCGTCTTCACTACTATGACCCATCAACTGTGAGAAATGCAATTGACTCAAGAGCATCATTTTAGGGAACATAAGTTAGTATGTTACACACTCATATTCTGATATCAGAAAGGATAAAATATGGAAAAAATTATCTTAGCATTAAAAAAAGTAGTGTATCTCATAATTGATATACAAAGGGCTGAGGGAATAGAAAACCCTCGCAGCTTTGAGACTGGGGAGTGGTCAGAGAACAGGATCTTAGCCCTGGACTTTGAGGGGTAGCCTAGAAATCCACACGTAGAGAAGGAGCAATGGGTGGGGCAGGGCGCAGCATGAGTCCAGGTTTGACAACTGGCAAGACATCGAAAGAGGGGAGGGTGAGTGTGGCGAGAGGGCCTTTGCCCTGGACCCTCTGGAGAGGCCCTGGACCCTCTGGAGAGGCCCAGATGTGTCTGGGTTCAGACCCCAGCTCTGCTGCTCATGGGCAAAGCAGAGCTAGCCTTTTCGTGTTCTGTGAGCATCGGTGTTTCTGTGCAAAACAGCAATAGAAATCACCACTTCCGGTTCTGGTAAGAATGACACAAGGAAAAAATATGTGACCGTGTGGGGACAGGTCTGGCACAGAGGAGGGGGAAGGAACTAGTGTTGGACTTCTTTGCCCATTTTTGCCTCCCACAACCCCCACCCACCCCCACAAGCAGTAATCTTCAAAATCCCAGTTCAGGAGGTGGATGGGCTACCCTACTAGCAAGAAGGGAGGGGCAATTTATAGTTTTCCATAGGCAAAGCACGAAGACTGGGGTCCGGGAATGAGGGGAATGGGCGAGCACTGAAGCAGCCTCATCCTGCACCAGGCAGCCCAGAGCAAGGCACAAGGCAGAAGGGCCCCCAGTTCATGGAATTGGAACAGGGATCAATATTCCCATGCCCCTCTTATTCTTCATTTTCCAGGGTTTTGTTGTCCCCTTCCTTGCCCCATTCTCTGCCTCCTGGGTCCTGGCCCCTCACCACCCCACTTCGCCTTGCCAAAATTATCAGATATGGCTGTCACGTGGCCCAGGCAGGCCGCCAGGTCAGTTCTTACACAATTTGTGGCGCCGACTTAAAGTGTCTGAGAGACTCACCACTCCATCAGGACCTGGGGGCAGAGAGTAATTATGGCTCCCTCTTTCTTCTTTTTTGCCTTTGTAAAGGTATAGTATGAATTGGTATTTTCCTCAGCGTTCCCCTCTCCTCATCCCTTAAAGCGACAGAAAAATCAAAGGGTATGCTCTTATTAGACCACACAGGAATGTGGGCAGGGAAGGAAGCCAATGGCAGGATTCCTCCGTCACCAGAGGGTTGGTGGAAAGATCCATCCAGGAGAGCTCAGAGGAGGCCCAGCCGTTGGGTTGTAGTCCCTGAACGAGCTCTGGGCAATGCATTCCTCATACACCTCTAAGCAAAAGTGTGTCAGCCCAGGTCGCAAACAGACTGTTTTTCAGACTCGCATTTATTCCATCCCATATTATTCACCTTGGCAAAGTTGTACAACATACTACTTTCCCTTCGAAAGCTTACATTCCAGTAACTTCTAAGAATATAGTTTCTGGGCCAGGTGCAAGGGCTTACACCTGTAATCTCAGCACTTTGGGAGGCCAAGGTAGGAGGATTGCTTGAGCCCAGGAGTTTGAGACCAGCCTGAGCAATATAGAGAAAGCTCATCTCTACTAAAAATAATTTTAAAAAATTAGCCAGGTGTGGTGGTGAACACCTGTAGTCCCAGCAACTCAAGGGGCTGAGGTGGGAGGATTGCTTGAGCTCAGAAGGATGAGGCTGCATTGAGCTATGATCAAATCACTGCACTCCAAATTGAATGACAGAATGAGGCCCTGTCTCTAAAACAAAAATAAAATAATATGGTTTTCTGAATTTCACAAATATTTATGTGTGTGGGGAGGTAGGGAGGTGGGGAAGGAGATGGGGAAGGAGGTGGGGAAGGAGATGGGGAAGGAGGTGGGGAAGGAGATGGGGAAGGAGGTGGGGAAGGAGGTGGGGAAGGAGGTGGGGAAGGAGGTGGGGAAGGAGGTGGGGAAGGAGATGGGGAAGGAGATGGGGAAGGATGTGGGGAAGGAGGTGGGGAAGGATGTGGGGAAGGAGATGGGGAAAGAGGTGGGGAAGGATGTGGGGAAGGAGATGGGGAAAGAGGTGGGGAAGGATGTGGGGAAGGGAGGGATTGTTTGGGAAGCTCAGTGCACTGAGGTTTTTCAGGATTATGAAAATGGATTGATGTGAGAAGGTAAAAGAACCAGTCACCATGTAGAATTTAGAAGGTTAGAACATCATTCTCATTTCTCCATTTTTTTAAAATGACCATGACATGCCCTAGGGAAGGCAATGTCACATCACTTTTTTTTAAGGGATCACTCACCATACTTGATCGTATAACTTATTGTGAAACTGGGACACATTTGAGAGTGAAAGTGGGTAATATTAATAATTATGTTGGGACAATAGGTGTAAACCTGGGTGATGACAGGCAAACAAGGAGAGAAGATCACCCTCCCTATCTGGCACCCTCACCCAGCTGGCAGAAGGAATAGAGTCTTGTAGGAGCTGGACTAGCTGTCCCCAAGCTCATGTACTAATGTCCATGCATCATCCTCAGAGGTGAGCCGTCAGTTCCTCCTCACTCAGAACCTGTTTGATCTTTGTTTTCTCAAGCAGCAAATCAGAAAGGTGATAATAGGTGTTGGGTACAGGTAGCCAGATTAATGAATGGCGGTCTAAGAATGCATTGCCCCCCAAAACAAAGTCTAAAGAGAATTTTTAGTGCTTAGAAGAGTTCCATTCAGTCCTATAGCTCCTTCCATTTAAAACAATGATTGAATTATCGAGAAAATATAAAGTTCTTTGACAGCCATTTGTGGATTCACTTCATGGAGCTAGAGATTGGGGACTAAAGATGTATGAGGCGTAGTAGCTGACTTCAAGGAGCTTATAGCCTGGAGCAGGAAACAGATGAGAAAACAAACAATAATGCATGAAATGTGTGTACTAATAGAGGGGTAGACATATCATGCAGTGACACAGATGGGCACATTTATTCTGTCGGAATGACTGAGGGCTTCCTGGAGGAGGTCACATCAGAGCTGGGTTTTGAGGTGTGGTTAGGCATTCAGGAGGCAGAGAATGGCCAGAAAGTCTTCCTGGGCAGAATAAATATCAAGAGCAACAGCAACAGGCTGCTTGGGAAGCAGCTGGGTCCTCAGGGAGGACCCATTATCAGAGCAGCAGGAGGCTCCTCCGTCTGCAGGACCGAGAACATGAGCCAGATGGAGGGCAGCTTATCCTGTGTCTAAACGTTTAAAAGTTGAGAATCAACTTAACTGTTAAGTAAACTATTTCTACTTAAAGTATTTAAAATGTGGATCTATTTTATCAAAAACATAAAGTAACTGAAAAAAGCTAAACAATAAAAAGGATTTTTCCATTATATATTTTCTAAAAAGAAATTTAAAATTTTCAAAATTATTTATTAAAATTAAAGGGCAAAATATAAATTATAATTAATGAATATAAAAAGTAGAATTACTTGTAAGAGCAGTATGTTAAGATATAATTTATTTAATTTTGTGTATATATATATATATTTTAAAATTGCGGCAATATATATAACAAAATTTATCATTTTAACCATATTTTATTTTATTTTATTTTTCTTTTCTTTTTTTTCTTTCCTTCTTTTTTTTTTTTTTTTTTTTTTTTTTTTTTTTTTTTTTGAGACAGAGTCTCCTTCTGTACCCAGGCTGGAGTACAGTTGCAAGATCTTGGTTCACTGCAACCTCTGCTTCCCGGGCTCAAGTGATTCTCCTGCCTCCCTCCTGAGTAGCTGGGATTACAGGCACCCGCCACTGCACCTGGCTAATTTTTGTATTTTTAGTAGAGGTGAGGTTTCGCCATGTTGGCCAGACTGCTCTTGAACTCCTGACCTCAGGTGATCTGCCTGCCTCAGCCTCTCAGAGCGCTGGGATTACAGGTGTGAGCCACCACACTTGGCCCATTTTAACCGTTTTTAAATATAGTTCAGTGGGATTAAATGTGTTCACATTGTTGTGCCACCATCACCACCATTTATCTCCGGAACTCTTCATCTCACAAAACAGAAACTCTGTACTCACTAAATAATAACGCCTCATTCCCCTTTCCCCCCAGCCCCTGGCAACTACCATTCTAATGTCTGTCCCGATGGATTTGACTACGGTAATTGCCTCATGAAAGTAGAATCACGCAGTGCTTGTGTTTTTGCAGCTGGCTTATTTCACTTAAGACTGTGTCCCAGGATCATCCATATCATAGCATGTACCAGAATTTCCTTCTTTAAAAAGCTGAATTTTTTTTTTTTTTCTTTTTTTGAGACGGAGTCTCGCTCTGTCGCCCAGGCTGGAGTGCAGTGGCGGGATCTCGGGTCACTGCAAGCTCCGCCTCCCGAGTTCACGCCATTCTCCTGCCTCAGCCTCCCGAGTAGCTGGGACTACAGGCGCCCGCCACCACGCCCTGCTAATTTTTTTGTATTTTTAGTAGAGACGGAGTTTCACCGTGTTAGCCAGGATGGTCTCGATCCCCTGACCTCGTGATCCGCCCGTCTCAGCCTCCCAAAGTGCTGGGATTACAGGCGTGAGCCACAGCGCCCAGCCTGAATTTTTAAACATTTTAAATATTTTCACATTTAAACATTTTAAGAAATTGCTTCAACATCCACCTAGCTGCTAAAATGGAGTCAGTATCATGCTTCGTGCATGTTATATGTAGACCTACGTAGGTGCAAATTTGAGTGTAAAGCCAGATGCTCAAGATTGCAGACTGTCCCTCAGCCTCCACGTGCAACTGTTGCAAAACCTATGCCAGTTCATAAATTCATCTCAAACCCCTGATTTGGAAAGCAAAGCAAAGTAATAAAATAGAAAACCTGGCGTTTTTGTGTGGAATCATACACTCATACTATCCAAGAAGAAAGACTGGGCAAGTTAATTAATTTATCTTTTCTCTTACCCAAGCCCTCTTGCAGCTGTCATACTCTCTACTCTTTGAAGCTGCGGCAACTTCAGTGTTGATAAGGGTGGAATGCACAAAGGCTCCTAGCATTTGAACCTGTCTACCTTTTGTTTCAAGGACAGAAGGCAAAAGACATGGAAAAGCCTTCCAGGAGCCTGAACAGTGTTCGTAATGAAGTGGATGTTGAGGGGTTTGGATCATCCCCTGCACCTGGAATTTTTTGCATCCTTTCGACATGGAAGGTTCTATAAAGGGAAGTTCAGGGCACAGAGCAGGGCACCCCTTGCCTGGGTCTGAGGGAATTACTGACCAGAAGCATCAACTTTTAGCTTGAGGGGTTGGTGCCGTGATCCTCCTCTTTAGCTCCATCAGCCACTCTCGGCTGCACCAAATAAACTTACAGTGTAAGGAAAAGTAATGTGGCCTCAAGAGAAGTCCTCCAGTGTGCCCTGTACCATGTCACTGCAGTTCATTTCTATGCCAGGTGGGGATAATGAAATGTTTTGAGGACAGGCATCCTAGAAGTCAGCTAGTTCTTCGTGCTCCCTGAAAATTAGGTAACTTTTGTCCCAAGTTTCTTTCTTCAGAGCCTGTAGAAGTCCAAAGCTTTATCACCAAGGGCTTACTTCTCATCTCCTCCTCATCTTCCTCCATTTCCTTGAGTTTTTATCTCCTTGGATGTTGTCTCTGTTCTGCACTCTGTCCTTCTAAGATGAAATTTTGAGTTTAAAGAAAAAGCACATACAAATAAAAAGTCTGTGCAAAAATGATACAACAGTAAAATTTATTTAAAACATCCTGTGTGTGTTTATGGAGCAGGGAGAGAATGCAGAGCCAGGGCTTATCTCACAGAAGGGCAAACCACATCAAATACAGCAGCAGGCTTCCTTGCTCTTAAAAGGTGCTTTGACCACTTTATTTCCTGAGGGCGTTTCTGTGACTTATCACACCAATAAGTCACTGTTGTTCTCAATATTATTGGCTTGTACCGTTCCACCGTTCCTCCTCATTTTTTTTTTTTCTTTTTTGAGACAGAGTCTTGTCCTGTCACCCAGGCTGGAGTGCAATGGCGTGATCTCGGCTCACTGCAACCTCCGCTTCCCAGGTTCCAGCGATTCTCCTGCCTCAGCCTCCCAAGTAGCTGGGATTACAGGTGTGCACCACCATGCTCGGGTAATTTTTTGTATCTTTAGTAGAGACGGGGTTTCACCATATTGGCCTGGCTGGTCTCAGACTCCTGACCTTGTGATCCACCTGCCTCGGCCTCTTAAGGTGCTGGGATTATAGGCGTGAGCCACATCACCCAGCCCTCCCCACTTCTTTCTTCTTTCTTCTCCCATCCCTCCAGCTTCCCACTTTGGAGCAACAAATTCACTCCTTGTCATATACAGAACAACTTCCTATACCTACACATACACAAGCCTCTGGAACTTTGAGCCAGCCAATATTTTGACTTTCAACACCTCAACATCTTCTCACAAACACTTACAAAGATACTTTTCTCAAACAAAGGTTATTCCCTCCCTTAGAAGAATTCTGGTGTCAATGTTAAGAGGATAACATTTTTTGTCTATTCCATTACAGAAAAATGGATGGACATGTTTTACTGCCTGAACGCTGGTGCCAGTTAGGCCAACAGTCATGTGGCAATGGCTATGAATTGCAAGCATTGCTGATTGTTATCTGCTGCTACTGCCTTTGAGCTGGAGCGGAACAGATCAACATGGGCCAAACAAGAGCCTCTTTGGAGATTTCTCTACTGCTTCAAGCACACAGATTCCAAGTTTAGAAGCTCAAGAGAAGGTTGAAAATAAAATACATTTAGTTTTTGTCATCTACCTGGGATTACTTCACTATTGGAAAAGAATATCACAAGATAATATAAATAACAAATTACCATAAACCTATTCTCGGTGGATCCTTAACCTGTACAAATGAGACCAGGTGTTAATTTGATGACTGTCAGAGCTGGAAGGGCACTAAGGCATTATCTAGTCCAATGAATGATGGTCAAACTTAATGTGGCACAGCAGAACTCTTTTTTCAGAAAGACTCGTATTCAGATGCCTGATAAAAACAGAAATTCTCTAGCTGAAGCAGGGGTTAGGGACTTGAGGTTTTATGTATGTGAAATGTGTGTGTGTGTATGTATAAATGTATATGTGGGGGGGTGTATGTGTATATATGTGTGTGAGTATGTATATATGTATGGCATTCTGTGTGCCAGGCTCTGTGGTAAGCCCTGGACTTAGAGCAACAAATAAAGGAAGACATGGCCTCAGACTTCATGGAGCGATTAGTCTAGTGATAAAGACCATTTTGCACTTCCCCTACAAGATATGTGAGGGTTTTAAAAAATTTTTGTTTTTATTTTTATTTTTTATTTTTTTGAGATGGAGTTTCGCTCTTGTCGCCCAGGCTGGAGTGCAGTGGTGTGATCTCAGCTCACTGCAACGTCTGCCTCCCGGGTTCAAGCAATTCTCCTGTCTCAGCTTCCTGAATAGCTGGGATTACAGGCACCTGCCACTAAGCCTGGCTAATTTTTGGTATTTTTAGTAGACATGAGGTTTCACCATGTTGGCCAGCACTCCTGACCTCAGGTGATCTGCCTTCCTTGGCTTGCCAAAGTGCTGGGATTACAGGTGTGAGCCACTGCACCTGGCCAAATTTTTTTTTTTATTTTTAATTGACATGTAATGATTGTACATATTTATGGGGTACAGAGTGATATTTTAATATATGTATACAATATGTAGTGATTAAACCAGGGTAATTCGCATACCCATTATTTCAAACATTTTTCATTTCTTTGCGATAGGAACATTCAAAATCCTCTCTCCTAGCTGTTTGAAAATCTACAACAAATTCTTGTTAATTGCAGTCATCCTTCAGTGCTGTAGAATGCTGGAACTTATTTTTTCTATCTAGTTGTAATTCTCTATTCAATAACCTATACAAATGAGAACAGGTGTTAATTTGATGACTGTCAGAGCTGGAAGGGCACTAAGGCATTATCTAGTCCAATGAATGATGGTCAAACTTATCCCTATCCCTACACTACCCTTTCCAGCCTCAATTCTACTCTACTTCTACTCTACTTCTATGAGATCGACCACAATTCTACTCTACTTCTATGAAATCAATGTTCTTAGCTCCCACATATGAATGAGAACATGTGATGCTAGTCTTTCTATACCTTGCTTATTTCACTAATGTAATGCACTCCGGGTTCATCCATGTTGCCGTGAATGACAAGATTGCATTTTTTTTTATGGATGAATAATATTCCATTGTGTATACATATCGCATTTTCTCTATCCATTCATCAGTTGATAGACACAACAGGTTGATTTTATATCTTGGCTATTGTAAATAGTGCTGCAATAAACACAGGAGTGCAGATGTCTTTTTAATATACTGATTTTCCTTCCTCTAGATAAATACCCAGTAGTGGAACTGCTGTATCGTATGGAAGTTCTATTTGTAGTTTTTTGAGGAACCTCCATATTGTTTTCCATAATAGCTGTACTACTTTACATTCCAACCAATAATACCTAAGTTCCCTGTTATTTTTTGTCTTTTTGATAACAGACATTCTAGCTAGGGAAATATAATATTTTGCTGTGGTTCTGATTTACAGTTCCCTGATGATTAGTCCTGTTGAGCATTTTTTCATATACTTCTTGGCCCTGTGTATGTCTTTTTTTGAGAAATGTCCTTTCAGATCATTTGCCCATTTTCTTAAATGGGATTTTTTTCTTTCTGTTGAATCATTTGAATTCCTTATATATTTTAGATCCCTTGTTGGAGGAATAGTTTACAAATATTTTTCCCCATTCTTCAGGTTATCTCTTCACTCTGTTGATTGCTTCCTTAGGTATGCAGAAACTTTTGACTTGATATGAACCCATTAGTTGAAATAGACTTTTGTTGCCTGTGCTTTGGAAGTCTTATTCATAAAATATTTTCCCAGACCAATGTCCTGAAGCATTTCCCCTATGTTTTCCTCTAGTAATTTTATAGTTTCAGGGATCACATTTAAATCTTTAGTCCATTTTTAGTCCATTTTTATGCATGGAAAAAGGTATCATTCTGGTTTTATTTTTCTGTTCTGGTTATGGATATTCAGTTTTCCCAGCACCATTTTTTGAAAAGAGTGTCCTTTTCTCAATATATGTTCTTGGCACCATTTTACAAAATCAATTTTCTGTAAGTTTGTGGATTTATTTTTGGGTTCTCTATTTTTCCATTGGTCTATGTGACTCTTTCTATACCAGTACATATAGTTTTGATATAGTTTTGTAGTATATTTTGAAGCCAGTAAGTGTGATGTCACTAGCTTTGTTCTTTTTGTTTAGAATTTCTTTGGATATTCTTTTGTCATTCCATACAAACTTTAGGATTTTTTTCTCTATTTTTGTGAACATAGAAATTGCACTGAATCCGTAAATTGCTTAGGTAGTATGGCCATTTTGATAATATTAATTCTTTGAATCCGTGAACATGGAATATTTTCCCACTTGTTTGTGTCCTCTTCAATTTATTTCATCAGTATTTTATAGTTTTTATTGTAGAGATTTTTCACACTCTTGGTTAAATTTATTCTTAAGTATTTTTTTAAACTATTGTAAATAAAATTGCTTTTTTGATTTCATTTTTATCTAGTTTGTTATTGGTGTATAAAAACACTACTAATTTTTATATGTTGATTTTCTATCCTGCAACCTTACTGAATTTGTTTATTAGTTCTAAGAGGTTTTTTTTGGTGAAGTCTTTAGGTTTTTCTATCTATAAGATCAAGTTATCTGCAAACAGGAGCAATTTGACCTCCATTTTTCCAATTTGTATGGCCTTTGTTTCTTTTTCTTGTCTAAATATTGTATTAAATAAGAGTTTGTGAAAGTGGGCATTCTTGTCTTGTTCCAAAAAGCGTAGAGGAAAAACTTTCAACTTTTCCTCATTCAGTATGACATTAGCTGTGAGTTCGTCATATATGGCCTTTATTATGCTGAGGTATGTTCCCTTTGTACATAATTTGTTGGGAGATTTCTCATGAAGGAATGTAGAATTTTACCAAATCCTTTTTCTGCATCTATTGAGATAATCATATAATTTTTGTACTTCATTCTGTTGATGTGAGGTATCACATTTATTGAGTTGCATATGTTGAACCACCCTTGCATTCCTGGGGCTAAATCCCACTTGATTATGGTGTATATTTTTTTTAATGTGCTGTTGGATTTAGTTTGCAAATATTTTGTTGAGGATTTCTGCATCTATGTTCATCAGGAATAGTAGCCTGCAGTTTTCTTTTTTTTTGTTGTGCCCTTGCTTGGCTTTGATATCAAATAATGCTGACTTCATAAGAATGAGCTTGGGAAAATTACCTCCTCTTCAATTTTTTGAAATAGTTTGAGAAGAACTGGTGTTAGTTCTTTTTTAAAGGTTTGGTAGAATTCAGCAGTGAAACCATTCAGTCCTGGGCTTTTCTTTGTTAGGAGACTTTTATTACTGACCCGCTCTCATTACTTGTTATTGGTCTGTTCAGATTTTCTATTTAGTTCTGGTCCAATCTTAGTAGGTTATTTGTGTCCAGGAATTTACCAGTTTCCTTTTATTGCTATAAACTTCCCTCTTAATACCACTTTTGCTATATCCCATAGGTTTTGATCTGTTTGTGTTTCCTCCTCCTCCTCCCCCTCCTTCAACTTCCTCCTCCTCCTCCTCCTCCTTCTTCTCCTTCTCCTTCTTCTTCTTCTTCTTCAGGGTCCTGCTCTGCCACCCAGGCTGAACTGCAGTGGCATAATCATAGCTTACTGCAGTCTCAAATTCCTGGGCTTAGTCGATCCTTCCACCTCAGCTTCCCAAGTAGCTGGGACTACAGGCACACGCCACCATGCCTGGCTTTTTTTTTTTTTTTTTTTTTTTTTTTTTTTTTTTTTTGAGATGGAGTCTCACTCTGTAGCCCAGGCTGGGGTATAGTGGCATGATCTCAGCTCACTGCAAGGTCTGCCTCCCAGGCTCAAGCGATTCCCCTTCCTCAGCCTCTCCAGTAGCTGAGATTACAGGCGTGTGCCACCATGCCCAGTTAATTTTTGTATTTTTAGTAGAGATGGGATTTTGCCATGTTGGTCAGGCTGATCTCGAATTCCTGACCTCAAGTGATCCACCCTCCTCAGCCTCCCAAAGTGCTGGGATTACAGGCATGAGCCACTGTGCCTGCTGCCTGGCTAATTTTCATATTTTTTGTAGAGACAGAGATCTTACTTTGTTGCCCGGGCTGATCTGAAACTCCTGGGCCCAATAAATTTTCTGCTTTGGCCTCCCAGAGTCCTGGGATTACAGGCGTGAGCCAGCACACCTGACTCCCAACCAATTTTTATGTATTTGTAACATTTCCAAAATTCCTCTTGTTACTGATTACTAGTTTTATTTCATTAGATATGAAAAGATACTTTATATGATTTAGGCTTTTTAAGAGTTGTTGAGACTTGTTTTGTGGCCTAACACATGGTCTTTCCTCCATAATGTCCCATTTGCTGATGAGAGGAATGTGAAATCTGCAGCTGTTCTATGAAATGTTCTGTAAATGTCTGTTAGGTCCTGTGAGGTCTTTTGTAACAAATCTAGAATAGCCTTTGATGAAGCTCATGGAAAGTCAAAAGCTCCAGGAGAGATTTTGCTTATCTTGTGAAGAAAGTTGATAGACTCTGAATGACAGAGGCATTCTCTGAGTATGAGTAACACATTTCAGAGTTTGGTCTGGCTACATGCATATGAGGGATTTGTTTAGTAGGCAGCTCTCTTAAGAAAATTGACACTGTGTCATTTAAGCACAAGGCAAAGGGGGAAAAGAAGAAATAGGTCTATTTTTCCATTCATTCATTCACTCATTCATTCATTCACTTCTTTAGTCACTATTTCTTCTGAGCCTGCCTCATCCCCTGAGCTAGAAGCTTAGTCTGGCAGGGACAGAAAAATAAAACAATTATAATATGATATGTAATTAGTCATTTTTTAGAAAGACAAACATGGTACCATGGGAACACTTTAGAGAGGAAGACAAATGATTCAGGGAGGAGGGGATGAGGGATACCAAAGAAAGTAATAATTGCATCCAGGTGCACAGGTGCCACAAGCTTCTGCCACTCATCTGGCTCCTTCCAGGAGTGAGCAAGCCTGGGGATGGAGTCTGCCTCAGCCTCTGGACTTAGCCCAGGCCCTCCATCCTCTGTAGTGTTTTAAAGAATTCATGCGCTCTATGCTCTACGTTTTGCTTAATTAGGCAAATGCTTGAAGTTAATTACCTGGCAATGCCTTATGGGTTAGTCATGCTACTCCCAGGGCTGGCCATTTAGAAGGTTCCTGGAGAGTGACTTGGGTCAGCGTGTGCTGACTCTGCACTGAACAGGAGATGGGAGGAGGAGGTGGGGGAAGGGAGGGCATCAGAGGGTCTGGAACATGACCCCTACTAGAGGAAGGGATTTAGCCCACATCAAGGTGTTGGGGCTTTATGCGTGGATCTGAAGTCAGACTGACTAGCCCCAATGCCCGACCTCACCCGTCAGCTGACTTCTTAGCAGACCTTTCCACCTCTCTGAGTCTCAGATTTGTACTGCTCCCACCCTCCTCTTCCCATGCCTGTCTCTTTCCTCGTGTCCACATGTCTTAAAAGAGGTTTTCAGTTTTTTAAAAATTGCATTTATTATGGAATAATTAATTTCTTCCAAATTTTATGAAGCACAGATTTGAATAACTGATGATAAGTATAAAATAGCCACAGTGACCACCTTGGGGTAAGTCCAGTCTGTAATAAAGACGCTTGTTGATTTCATGACCATGGGGACGTGTACAGCTTCTTTTACAATATGAAAGTGAGGCTTCCATCAATACCCTTGGAGACCTTGAGAGACCTGAGAGATTTTCAGTTAAAAAAGAAAAAGTTTATCTCAACCTCCATTTTATAGAGGAGGAAACTAGGACCTAGAGAAATAACAGCAAATCCAGAACTTGACACAAATCCCGTAAGCCTAGCCCAGCGATTTTTGCTTTACAACTCAAGCCTTCCTCTGTCCTCCTCTCTTCAGTGTGTGTGTGTTGGAAACACAAGTTTGCTGGAGAAGGATCTGCTGAAAGGAAGCCACAGTAGGCTGGGTTACCCAATCAGATGCTATATTTTAACAGCGCCAAATGGTGTAAAAGCTTTAACGTCTTTGTCTCTGAATATTTCCACCAAATAATTTAATCAAACTGGAAAGGATGATGCTTGCTGAAAGCAATATTTGTATTCTGCATTCCTAAACCGTGCCCGATGCAAGGAAGTGGACAGCTATGACTTCATCTGCTCAGCCCTCTCCTCTCTTCTGGGTTAAGCACAGCCTGACCAATCAGAATCCCTCCTGGGAGGCTTTCCACAAATGCTGAGGGAAGATCGGTAGTGTCACTTTTGTAAAAACGTGAGCCAGAAGCTGTAGGAAATGCTGAACTCTCGCTGGGTCGTGAAAGTCCATCACGGTGAGTGATAATGCCATCTGCCCTAACAGAGGCCGAGAGAGAATTCTGGGGATATTGCCCTCTTTGGTTTTTATTTTCCTTGGGGCTTAATTGTGCATCTGCTTTTCTGCGGGTACAGGGACCTCCCAATAAATTCTCAACCACACCTAACCTAGTTCATTGTGTAGCTCTGTCCCTTGCAACTCCAGCATCCTGACTGGATCACATTCCAGTAAATGCTAATGCTGCTTTTTTCTCCTTTTAACTACCCGTGCTGAGCACCTCTGATACACAAGGCATGATGCTGGGCATTTTTTTAATGTGGAATTTCCTCTTAGCAACTGCATGGTGAGGTCAGAGTTATTCATTTGACGTTTGCGAGGAGGAGACAGACTCAGAGCAATTTTCAGTACTTTTCACGCTCACCGCAGCCACTGTAATGAATTACCACAACTTGGTGGCTGTGAAACAGCTGAAATTTTTTCTCTCTCAGTTCCGGAGGCCAGAAGTCAAAAATCAATGTGTCAGCAGGGGGTGTTCCCTCCTGAGGCTCTAGAGGAAACTATGCTCCTTGCTTTTTCCACCTTCTGATGGTAGCCTGCATTCCTTGGCTTGGGGCTACATCACTCCCATCTCTGCCTCTATGGTCACCTTGCCTCCTTCTCTTCTGTCTATGTCAAATCTCCCTCTGCCTCTCTCTTACAAGGATATGGGCCATTGGATTTAGGGTTCACTCAGATAATCCAGGATGATTTCCCCATCTCAAAACTCTTAACTTCATTACATCTGCAAACATTCTTATTCCAAATAAGATCACATTCACAGATTCCAGGATTAGTATGTGGACACGTCTCTGGTGGGGGAGGATCACTGTTCAACCCCTACACTCACATCACTAGGAGCTGCAGAGCAGGCACCAAACCCAGGCTACCCAAACCTCTGACCAGGGCCCTTTCCAGCCAATGACATAGATCCCAACAGGAAGAGGGACTTAGAGTCACAGAATTGAGGGTTACCCAGACCTCCTTTTATAATCTCCTCTCTTTAATTTATAGATGGTAAAACTACAAGACACAGTAAGTGATTTGCCCCAAATCTCATGTCCATCCTTTGCCAGAATCATCCACAATCTTCACATGCCATAAGACAAACCCAGCCTCACTTCCAGAAGATCCAGAGCTCCCATTTTTTAAGGGTGTGACCTGGAACTAGCTCATTAGTTCATCCTAGAAGACCCTAGGATTTATTGTTATTATTTGCCTTTTTTGGTAGAGGGAGAAGCATCCCTTTGCAGACAATCATCGTGGTCCACGTTATAAAGGGGTTAGCCCTGTGCTTGACGGATTGCCTACTACACTTTATTAAAGCCCATTACAATTTCCAACATTTGTCATATGAAAATGCCTTCTAACAAATACCAGCTTGTTAGAGAATGGCTGTTAGCAGGATAAATTGGTCTTGCTTTGCTCCTACCTCGTCAACTCCAACCCTAGCACCTAATCAAACTTTGACAATCAAAACCCTATATAGGTTTCCTAATGGATGCAAAACAGGTGGGGAAAGCACGGTCCGCTGCAGTAGCATCCAGAGAACACAAAATATATCAACTTCCACTCCCACAGTACAGGCTTGCTTCCCCACAAAACTGGACAAGAAGCAGAGCTAAATGAACCATCTCTTTCTGTGCAAGCTATTACCAGCTAAATGACTTAAAAAAAAAAATCCAGAGCAGCCCGGGTTGAGCTTCCATCCTAATGAAATGCAGTCTGGTTGAAGTGTTGCTGGTTATACAAGGCCCGGTGCAGAAATCCTGATCAAAGCCTCTTGGCATCTGAAGTCATCAGTAATTCGACAGCCTATTTGGGTGAAAAGAGCTCCTTTCTGGCTGTTTCACTTCAGGCCCACCCCAGAGAGGGGCACAACTCAAGCAAACAAGACTGCTGGCAACTCAAGATGCCTCTTCCCAAGATGTGACATGAAACACAAGTCAGCAGCAGCAGCCGGATGCAGCGATCAGGTTTCGCGGGGGGAGCAGCTGTGTACATCACACATGCTATTTGCATGTATGTCATCTGTTCTGGTGAGGCTGAGACATGTTTCACAGAGACATGAGCAGTGGCCTTTTGACCTGTATGAGGCTGAGAGCAGCTCTCCCCAGGAGCCACTGCTCTTCCAGAGAAGGAGCAGTGACAGTGTAAGCAATGATGAGAACGAGGTGCTCCTGGTCACTCTTGGATTTCATTAAATATTGCCTGATACCTGCTTGTGCCGGACATGATGCTGGTTCCTGGCTATAAATATTCACAACCTCTGCCCTTTATGAGTTCACAATCTAGCAGAAAAGATGAAATATCGGAATACAATTACAATTCACTTAGTCAGTGCTATGACAGTGCAGTCCTAAGACTATGAGGACACAGAGGGCCCTAACTTGGTGCTGGGAAGATAAAGAACAGTGCTCAGCTGAAGGGACAGTAGCCAAGCAGAAACATAGTGGAGAGACCAGGGAGGGGGGAAACTGAAGTGCATACTCTTCCCAAGCAAACTCCTCTCCAAAGTGGTTTGTTTTTAGCCTTTAAAGGTAATATTTATTGACAAATTGTTATTAAGACTATACTAAAATATATTAGCAGAGTTTGGGAGCATTGGCTCCTGCCTATAATCCCAGCACTTTGGGAGGCCGAAGTGGGTATATCACTTCAGGTCAGGAGTTTGAGACCAGCCTGGACAACACGGTGAAACCCTGTCTCTACTAAAAATACAAAAATTGGCTGGGTGTAGTGGCGGGCACCTGTAATGCCAGCTACTTGGGAGGCTGAGGCAGGAAAATCAATGGAACCTGGGAGGCGGAGGTTGCAATGAGCCAAGATCGTGCCATTGCACTCCAGCCTGAGTAACAAGATTGAAACTTCGTCTCAAAAAAAAAGAAAAAAAAAAAAGAAAAAAAATTAGCAGAAAAAGTGTATAGTATATGACTGACATATCAGTGATCAGACTGTGTTATGTGCAGAAAAGGTGGTAGAAGGGTAAAACATTATTTTTCTGTTTGCTTTTTAAATACTCAATTGCACAGCCATACACCCTGTAGCCCTATTCCTAGAAGTACACCCTCTGGCAGCAGAATCTGGTTATACCTTTTTCTCCCAAATGAGGTAGTAGGTGAAGAGGAGTGGAGGCACGGAGTAAGGGAGGGGAGGATGGACCAAGCTGAGGCAAGAGTATATGCAAAGGCACTGGGGTAGGAAGGCACATAGCAGAGTTGGGAAACCCTGAACACATCCATTTGGCTGAAATGAAGATTTTGTTCAGGGGAATCCTGAGAGAAAATATTTGAAGAAGAGATTAGGGCCAGTTGTAAGGGTTTTTGATATTAAGCCAAAGATTTGGGTTGGGTTTTCTTTGGTAATGAATGGGAAACGCAGCTTCTGAGAAAGGGGCTGGCAGACTCCAAGTTTTCCTTTATGTACTTGACAGTGAAGCTAACCCTGTTCTAGGTTGTGGGAGAGGCACAAAATTTAACCACGTTATATCCCTAAAGGACTTAATAATTCTGATCGGGAGAGAAAAGGCATACATCCAGCACCAACTAGAAAATGATTACAAGTTCATATTAGCAAGCATGTCCTGGTCCTGTCTTGCACTAGCAGTTGGTCCCCAGGACCCCCAAATCACTTTCCCTTCTAGAGTTTCAGTTTTCTGATCTTTGAAATGGGCGTTATTTTCCCTACTGCATGAAGACATGGTAAGCAGGTGCTCTGTGTAAAGCTGAGACCTGCCAAGTTGCAGATTCAGAACAAATGGAGTTTTTGTATTGAAAGGTAAGTTTATAATCTTTGACGGGTCAAATAATAATTTTCTTTCTTTTTTTCTTAAAAAAAACCAGGATACATGTGCAGAACATGCAGGTTTGTTACATAGATATACATGTGCCATGGTGGTTTGCTGCACCTGTTAACCCGTCCTCTATGTTCCCTCCCCTCACCCCCCACCTCCCAACAGGCCCTGGTGTGAGTTGTTCCCCTCCTTGTGTCCATGTGTTCTCAATGTTCAACTCCCACTTATGAGTGAGAACATGCGGTGTTTGGTTTTCTGTTCCTCTGTTAGTTTGCCAAGGATGATGGCTTCCAGCTTCACCCATGTCCCTGCAAAGGACAAGATCTCATTCCTTTTTATGGCTGCATAGTATTCCATGGTGTATATGTACTACATTTTGTTTATCCACTCTATCATTGCTGGGCATTTGAGTTGTTTTCATGTCTTCGCTATTGTAAATAGTGCTGCAGTAAACATATGTGTACATGTGTCTTTATAGTAGAATGATTTAGATTTCTTTGGGTATATACCCAGTAATGAGATTGCTGGGTCAAATGGTATTTCTGGTTCTGTATTACTGAGGAATCACCATACTGTCTTCCACAATGGTTGCACTAATTTACATTCCCACCAACAGCCTCACCAGCAAGTATTGTTTCCTGACTTTTTAGTAATCGCCATTCTGACTGGCATGAGGTGGTATCTCATTGTGCATTTCTCTGATGATCAGTGATGTTGAGCTTTTTTTTCATGTTTGTTGGCCACATAAATGTCTTCTTTTGAGAAGTGTCTGTTCATATCCTTTG
Organism: Homo sapiens; assembly: GCF_000001405.40. Classification (NCBI taxonomy): domain Eukaryota; kingdom Metazoa; phylum Chordata; class Mammalia; order Primates; family Hominidae; genus Homo; species Homo sapiens. Next base: position 174,442,453 of record NC_000005.10, on the reverse strand, counting down.
CCCATTTTTTGATTTTTTTTTTTTGTCTTTTTCTTGGAAATGTGTTTAAGTTCCTTGTAGATTCTGGATATTAAACCTTTGTCAGATGGGTAGATCACAAAAATTTTCTCCCAGTCCATAGGTTACCTGTTCACTCTGATGGTAGTTTATTTTGTAGTGCAGCAGCTCTTTAGTTTAATTAGACCCTGTGTGTCAATTTTGGCTTTTGTTGAAATTGGTTTTGGTGTTTTTGTCATGAAGTCTTTGCCTATGCCTATGTCCTGAATGGTACTGCTCAGGTTTTCTTCTAGGGTTTTTATGGTTTGGGGTTTTACATTTAAGCCTTCAATCCATCTTGAGTTAATTTTTGTATAAGATGTAAGGAAGGGGTCTAGTTTAAGTTTTCTGCATTTTCTGCATATGCATAGTTTTCCTAGTACCATTTACTGAATAGGAGATCCTTTCCCCATTGCTTGTTTTTGTCAGGTTTGTCAAAGATCAAATGGTTGTAGATGTGCGGTGTTATTTCTGAGGTCTCTGTTCTGCTCCATTGGTCTATGTGTCTGTTTTGGTACCATTAGCATGTTGTTTTGGTTACTGTAGCCTTGTAGTATAGTTTGAAGTTAGGTAGCATGATCCAGCTTTGTTCTTTTTGCTTAGGATTGTCTTGGCTATATGGGGTCTTCTTTGATTCTGTATGAAATTTAAAATAGTTTTTCTAATTTTGTGAAGAATATCACTGGTAGTTTGATGGGAATAGCATTGAATCTATAAATTACTTTGGGCAGTATGGCCTTTTTCATGATATTGATTCTTCCTATCCATGAGGATGGAATGTTTTTCAATTTGTTTGTGTCCTCTCTTGTTTCCTTGAGCATTCGTTTGCAGTTCTCCTTGAAGAGGTCCTTCATATCCCTTGTTAACTGTGTTCCTAGATATTTTATTCTCTTTGTAGCAATTATGAATGGGAGTTCATTCATGATTTGGCTCTCTGCTTGCCTATTGTTGGTGTAAAGGAATGCTTGTGATTTTTGCACATTGATTTTGTATCCTGAGACTTTGCTGAAGTTGCTTATCAGTTCAAGAAGTTTTTGGGCTGAGATGATGGGGTTTTCTAAATATAAAATCATGTCATCTGCAAACAGAGACGACTTCCTCTCTTCCTATTTGAATACCCTTTATTTCTTTCTCTTGCCTGATTGCCCTGGCCAGAATTCCAGTATCATGTTGAATAGGAGTGGTGAGAGAGGGCATCCTCTTGTACAGGTTTTCAAAGGGAATGCTTCCAGCTTTTGCCCATTCAGTATGATACTGGCTGTGGGTTTGTCCTAAATAGCTCTTATTATTTTGAGATATGTTCCAACAATACCTAGTTTACTGAGAGTTTTTAACATGAAGCAATGCTGAATTTTATCAAAGGCCTTTTCTGCATCTATTGAGATAATCATGTGGTTTTTGTCTTTGGTTCTGTTTATGTGATGGATTACGTTTATTGATTTGTATGTGTTGAACCAGCCTTGCATCCCAGACATGAAGCCAACTTGATCACGGTGGATAAGCTTTTTGATGTGCTGCTGGATTTGGTTTGCCAGTATTTTATTGAGGATTTTCTCATCGATGTTCATCAGGGATATTAGCCTGAAGTTTTCTTTTTTTGTTGTGTCTCTGCCAGGCTTTGATATCAGGATGATGCTGGCCTCATAAAAATGAGGTAGGGAAGAGTCTCTCCTTTTCAATTGTTTGGAATAGTTTTAGAAGGAATTGTGTCAGCTCCTGTTTGTATTTCTGGTGGAAATCAGCTATGAATCCATCTTGTCCTGGGCTTTTTTTTTGATGGGTAGGCTATTAATTACTGTCTCAATTTCAGAGCTTGTTATTTGTCTATTCAGGGATTCAACTTCTTCCTGGTTTAGCTTTGGTAGGGTGTATACATCCTGGAATTTATCCATTTCTTCTAGATGTTCTAGTTCATTTGCGTGGAGGTGTTTATGGTATTCTCTGATGGTAGTTTGTATTTCCGTGGGGTCAGTGGTTTTATCTCCTTTATCATTTTTTATTGTGTCGATTTGATTCTTCTCTCTCTTCTTTATTAGTCTGGCTAGAGGCCTATCTATTTTGTTAATTTTTTTCAAAAAACCAGCTCCTGGGTTCGTTGATTTTTTTTGGAGGGTTTTTCGTGTCTCTATCTCCTTCAATTCTTCTCTGATCTTAGTTATTTCTTGTCTTCTGCTAGCTTTTGGATTAGCTTGCTCTTGCCTCTCTAGCTCTTTTAATTGTGATGTTAGGGTGTCAATTTCAGATCTTTCCAGCTTTCTGATGTGGGCATTTAGTGCTATAAATTTCCCTCTTAACACTGCGTTAGCTCTGTCCCAGAGATTCTGGTATGTTATCTCTTTGCTCTCATTGGTTTCAAAGAACTTCTTGATTTCTGCCTTAATTTCATTATTTACCCAGGAGCTGTTTAGGAGCAGGTTGTTCAATTTCCATGTAATTGTGTGGTTTTGAGTAATTTTCTTCTTCTTTTTTTTTTTTAATTTTTATTTTTTGTTGAGACAGAGTCTCACTCTGTCACCCAGGCTGGAGTGCAGTGGCACAATCTTGGCTCACTGCAAGCTCTGCCTTCTGGGTTCACGCCATTCTCTTGCCTCAGCCTCCTGAGTAGCTGGGACTACAGGTGCCTGCCACCATGCCTGGCTAATTGTTTGTATTTTTTTTAGTAGAGACAGGGTTTCACCGTGATGGCCAGGATGGTCTTGATCTCCTGACCTCATGATCCGCCAGCCTCGGCCTCCCAAAGTGCTGGGATTACAGGTGTGAGCCACCATGCCCAGACTTGAGTAATTTTCTTAATCCTGAGTTTTGATTAATTTGATTGCATTGTGTTCTAAGAGACTGTTTATTATGATTTCAGTTCTTTTACATTTGCTGAGGAGTGTTTTACTTCCAATTATGTTGTTGATTTTAGAATAAGTGCCATGTGGCACTGAGAAGAACGTATATTCTGTTGATTGGGGGTAGAGGGTTCTACAGACGTCTACTAGGTCCACTTGATCCAGAGCTGAGTTAAAGTCCTGAATAAGCTTGTTAATTTTTTGTCTCATTGAATGGTCTAATACTGACAGTGGGATGTTAAAGTCTCCCACTATTATTGTGTGGGAGTCTAAGTCTCCTTGTAGGTCTCTAAGAACTTGTTTTATGAATCTGGGTGCTCCCGTATTGGGTGCATATATATTTAGAATAGTTAACTCTTCTTGTTGAATTGTTCCCTTTACCGTTATGAAATGCTCTTCATTGTCTTTTTGATCTTTGTTGGTTTAAAGTCTGTTTTGTCAGAGACTAGGATTGCCACCCCTGCTTTTTTTTTTTTCTTTCCATTTGCTTGGTAAATCCCTTTATTTTGAGCCTGTGTGTGTCTTTGCATGTAAGATGGGTCTCCTGAGTACACATTACACTGGTGGGTCTTGACCCCTTATCCAATTTGCCAGTCTGTGTCTTTTAATTGGGCATTTAGCCCATTTACATTTAAGGTTAATATTGTTATGTGTGAATTTGATCCTGTCATCATGATGCTATTTTACATACTAGTTGATGCAGTTTCTTCATAGTGTCATTGGTCTTTATATTTTGGTGCATTTTTGCAGTGGCTGGTACCAGTTTTTCCTTTCCATATTTAGTGCTTCTTTCAGGATCTCTTGTAGGGCAGGCCTGGTGTAACAAAATCCCTCGGCATTTGCTTGTCTGTAAAGGGTTTTTTATCTCCTTGGTTTATGAAGCTTAGTTTGGCTGGATATGAAATTCTGGGTTGAAAATTCTTTCTTTTAAGAATGTTGAATATTGTCCCCCAATCTCTTTTGGCTTGTAGAGTTTCTTCTGAGAGGTCCGCTGGTAGTCTGATGGGCTTCCCTTTGTAGGTGACCTGGCCTTTCTCTCTGGCTGTCCTTAACAGTTTTTCCTTCATTTCGAAGTTGGGGAATCTGATGATTATGTATCTTGGGGTTGATCTTCTCATGGAGTATCTTAATGGTGTTCTCTGTATTTCCTGAATTTGTATGTTGGCCTGTCTTGCTAGTTGGGGAAGTTCTCCCGGATACGATTCTGAAGTGTGTTTTCCAGTTTGTTTCGATTGTCCCCATCTCCTTCTTGTATTTCAATCAATCGTAGGTTCGGTCTTTTTATGAAGCCTTTTCTTAAAGGCTTTCTTCATTTCTTTTCGTTCTTTTTTCTCTATTCTTGTCTGCCTGTCTTATTTCAGTAAGGTGGTCTTCAATCTCTGATATCCTTTCTTCTGCTTGGTCAATTTCGCTGTTGATACTTGTGTATGCTTCACGAAGTTCTCGTGCTGTGTTTTTCAGTTCCATCAGGTCATTTATGTTCCTCTCTAAACTGGTTATTCTAGTTAGCAATTCCTCTAACATTTTGTCAAGGTTCTTAGTTTCTTTGCATTGGGTTAGAACATGCCCCTTTAGCTCAGCATAGTTTTTTATTACTCGTCTTCTGAAGCCTTCTTCTGTCAATTTGTCCATCTGATCTTCCATCCAGTTCTGCGTCCTTGATGGAGAGAGGTTGCAATTATTTGGAGGAGAAGAGGCACTCTGACCTTTTGGGTTTTCAGCATTTTTTTCATTTATTCTTTCTCATCTTTGTGAGTTTGTCTAGTTTCAGTCTTTGAGGCTGCTGACCCTTGGATGGGATTTTTGTGGGGGACTTTTTGTTGTTGCTGTTGATGCTGTAGTTGTTGCTTCCTGCTTGTTTGTTATTCTTTCAATAGTCAGGTCTCTCTTTTGTAGGGCTGCTGCAGTTTGCTGGGGGTTCACTTCAGGCCCTACTCATCTGAGTCACTCTTGTGCTTGGATATGCCACTTAAGGAGGCTGGAGAACAGCAAAGATGGGTGCCTGCTCCTTCCTCTGGGACCTCTGACCTCAAGGAGCACCAACCTGATGCCAGTAGGATCGCTCCTATATAGGGTGTCTGACAACCCCGGTTGGAGGGTCTCACCCAGTTGGGTGGCACAGGGAGCAGGACCCATTTAATGAAGTATTTTGTCCCTTGATGGAGGGGGTGTGCTTTGCTAGAGGCAAACCTACTCATCTGGGCTGCCTGGATTCCTCACAACTATCAGGAGGAGAGGCTAAGTCAGCTGGTCTGCAGAGACTGTGGCCACCCCTCCCACTAGAGGCTCAGGCCCAGGGAGATCTGAATATTGTCCCTGAGCCTCTGGTGGGAATTATTGGAGTTTCTGCAGAGAATCCCCTCCCAATGAGGAAGGATGGGTCAGGGTTAGGCCTGAAGAGGCGCTCTGGCCACAGACTGCCAGAGCCGGTGTGTTGTGCTGTGGGGACAAATCTTGGGACCAAGCTGTCCAGACTCCCTGGCTCCAGCAGGGGAAAAGCAGAGCCTGAAGCTATAGAAATGGGTGCTGCCCTTCCCCACCCCCAGGGAATTTAGTGTGTTAGGCAGTTGTGAGTCCCAGTGCTGGCTGCTGCCTCTCCCCGAAGGAGCTTAAACAACTTAGACAGTAGTCAGCCACAGCTGGTGCTGGTTGCCCCTCCCACTGGGAGTTTGGTAGGCTTGAGCAGATTCCAGCTGAGAGGCTTTAAAAATTTGCACGCTCTGGGGTTGGGATGCTAGGCCCCAGTGGCATGGTTTCACAAGTGGGATCTTCCGTCTGTGGGTTGCACAGTTCCGTGGAAAAAGCACAGTTTCCCCAGCTGGGTAGTGTGCTCACTCACCGCCTTCCTTGGCTGGGGGTGGGGGGGTTCCCCTGCCCTGTGTGGCTCTCAGGTAGGCCATCCCATCATACTGTTCTTCCTTCTCTCCATGGGTCATGCCATGGAGAGAAATCTAGTCAATTTTGATGAAAGAACCTGGATACCTTGGTTGCCGGTGAAGGATTCACAAACTTATTATGCTTTTTTTTTGTTTTTTTTTTCGGATGGGAGCCTCCAAACGCCACTGCTCCTAGTCGGCTGTCTTGTACCCGCCCCCAAATAATAATTTTCTAATCAAAGATAGATCTCATCTTGTAGGAAGCTTTATGCAGGGTTAAAGACAGGGTTTGTTTTCCTCCAAATTTTATGGTTTTTTTTTGGGGGGGGGAAAAGTGAGAGGAAATACTATGTAAAATGAAATAATTTTGAGGAAAGGGTAGAAGAGTGTAGCCCTCTTTGAACCCCACCCCCCCCCACAAAAAAACTCTCAAAATAAGCTTGTAATTCTTGCCTTCTAGAAAGTCTTGGATTCTGTAGCTAGGAAACATCCCTCAGCTGTGAGTTTAAATCAAATTCTGATTCAATTCAGGAAACCAGATGAGAGACAGAAACTGAAGAAGACCCTTCAACTTCAAGGGTCAATCCCACTGCGAATCACCTGGGAGAAAAGCCTTGCCTGGAATATCCAAACCCATGGATCTTCAGAGTCAGATATCTGTTTACAGCCTGATAGTATAAGAGAGGAACCAACTCCTAAAATGGAAAATACCCCAAACATTTGCAAAGCTCATTATTGACACTGCCTATTTAACTTTGTATATGTCAGTGATAGTATTATTGTTCACATGAACTCACCTGAGAAGTTTTATGAACACCCCAAGGATCAAAGGCCATCACAACAATTCAAATTAGTTGGCATATTTTGCAGTCCAACTTTGTCTTAGGCACCATGCTGGGCTGGGGCTAATTTTGTCTTTGCCTCAAAGAGATGAACAACCCAGTGGGGGATGAAGGTGAATATGTAACTAGAAACAAGTAATCATAATGCAGATAGGATGTTGAAATAAGAGCTGAAATTGTATAAATTTTATTTCCTTTTGTTTGTGTATATGTGTTCTAAGTATAATTTCAGAACCCAAATCAGGGTACACAAATGCAATTATTTGGAGGAGAAGAGGTACTCTTCTATATACTATCTATATACCCACTTTGGTTGGAAGAGGCAAGTTAAAAAATAAAATATTATTGGTATTTCTAAGGACATAGCTTAGGTTTATGGGCACTACTGAACAAACTATTTTAAATTGAGACCATCTGATAGATTTATTATAAATAAAACAGAGATGCATAAAGCAGCTGTAGGAAAATTTAGTCAACGAAATTCTTTCATAGAGCATTGCATTAATTTGGAAGAAATGTCTTGATATCTCGTTTGGGGTGGAGTTTGAGACTCTAAGGGAATGTTTAAGTAACAGATTTTAAGTTTCTAGGGAGAAACCTAAAGAGGAAAGAGAGGAGACAGTAAGTTAGGTGGCGTTATGAAGGAGAGAAAGAGACTCCTCACTGGCAGCAGAACTTCAAAGAAGAGAGAATCTGGAACTTTGAAGATGACTAATGGGTGTACATGATTCCTCCTTAGAATCCTCCAGAAAACACAGTAGGGACTTAGAAAATGCTTGATGCTTTGCTGTGGGAATCGGCTACAATACGCCCAGGGTGACCTGGGGGAAGGACAGTGGTGTGCAGTAGGACCAGGAGGTGAAACGTGACAGTAAGCCCTTGGAATCTAGAAAGATCGGAAGGACATGATGATGGGGTTTTGATGAAATACCACTTGATTCTCAAGAGCTGAGGCAAGCCTGGCTGACCTCTGAGCTAGGGGTGAAAACATGCATGCTATGCTTGGGAGGGAAAAGGAAGAGTTTGAGTCCACCTGAGCTGGAGCATTCCCTCTTCATGGGGGGAAATACATGCTAAGTATTCAAATTTATCCTCTAGAGTTCTCACTGTGGACAGGACGCAGTTGGCTGATGGATTCCATGACACATGAGCTTTTCCTTGTTCTTGAAAATCTTCACATAGCGGTGTCCCAGGAGCAGGGTTCTTAATTTAAGTACATAAATTTTTTTTTTTTTTGAAGCAGAGTCTTGCTTTCTCTCCCAGACTGGTGTGCAGTGGACATGGGCATGAACATGGCTCACTGCAGCCTCAACCTCCTGGACTCAAGTGATTCTCCTCCTGCCTCAGCCTCTCAAGTAGCTGGGACTATAGGTGCATGCCACCACACCCGGCTAACATTTTTATTTTTTGAGGAGACAAGGTTTTGCCATGTTGCCCAGGCTGGTCTTGAACTCTGGGGCTCAAGTGATCCTCCTGCCTTGGCCTCCTAAAGTGCTAGGATTATAGGCATAAGCCACTGCACACAGCCAAGTATATAGCTTTTTAAAGCAGGCATGCCTTTAAATGCAGCCATTCTACCCCTTAGAATTTATTTTCAGAAAACAACTGAGAATGCTCAAAATCTCAGCCATATGGTTATTCATCACTGTACTGTTTGTAAAATGAAAATGTTAGAAATAATCTAAATGACTAACAATGAGAGAACGGTTAAACAAATTATGACACCTGCATAAAATATAATATTGCATGGTCATTGAAAACCGTAATGTAGGGCTGTATTTATTGACACGGGGAAATGCCCACAATATAATATTACAGAAAAAATAACCACTCAAAATGCTAGAGGTATGGTCCCATTTGGAGTAAAAATGTAGTATATATAAATTGTTCTCCATAGAGAAAGGCTGAGAAAGAGACACACAGCAAGGTAAATGGTGATTACTTCAGGCTGGTGAGATTGGGGTGATATTTTACTTTATTCTTCATCATTTCCTGCATCATCTAAATGGTTTGTGCAATATGTATCTATTAAAATAATCACATGAATTCATAAAGCTATTTCCACGTCAGGACCAAACATCAAAACAAAAGCTTATGTATCACATAATACTGTTTTTTGTTAGATGTAAAAAAGTATGTATTTATATACATGGAAAGATGTGGGAAATAACACTCATCAGGTGTTAAGAGTTGTTACCTTTGAGTGGGTGGGATTATGGATGGTTTATAATTTATTATTTTGGCTTACTTGTATTTTGAAAATGTTCTACCATGGAAAAGTTGTGCTTATTTAACGGGCTGGGGGCAGGAAACCGACAGTGGAGGATTCCTCTCCGGGCTTCTCGTGTGGATTGGCCAGTCCTCTCTCGGATCTGCCACCTCCAAGATTCTCAAAGGAAGAAGGATGACATTGGAAAGTTCTAGGTTGAGCCCAGTTATCAAACCCAGATTCAGCCATAGGAACAGAAGGGGAAGGAAATGAGTATTTGAGCCCGAGGGCCTGGGTTTGAATCCTGACTCTGTCACTTTTTAGTTGCATGACTTAGGGCAAGTTATTTAACCCCTCTGTGCCTCAGTTTTCTCATCTGTAAAATGGGCATGATAATAGTTTCCCCTTCAGAGAGGCTAAGAGAAGATTTAACCAGCTCTGTCTATATTCTCCCAGGTTAAGTTACTTGCCCAAGGTCAGATAGCAGAGCCGAATGGATTCCAAAGGCTCCAAGTTCAATTCCCCTCTCTTCTCAGAAATGAGCCTTTTGTTTTTGTTTTAGTTTTAGTAGAGATAACTGAACCATTTATATGAAATCTTTGGAATATACAACACCATTCTTAATCCCTGTGTCATACCTTGGATATAATTTTTGTATTGTGTAAGGTTTTTATTTTCTTTTTTATATTTTTTAAATTATTATTTTATTTTTTATTTTTATATTTTAATAGTTTTGGGGAAACAGGTGGTGTTTGGTTATGTAAATAAGTTCTTTAGTGGTTATTTCAGAAATGAGCCTTTTGAACTGGAGTCCAGCAGTCATTTGTGGCCATATTTCCATTGCAAAAACCAGATTCCATAGAGGCATGAAGGAAATAATGGGGAAAACTGTCTCCCAGTGGCATTTAGCCGACCGTACGCATCTGGTCTTGAATGCCTCCATGCACCTCCAACCCTCTGATCCCTCTCACTCTTCTTATGCTTTGTGGCTTTGAGAAGTCCGGATGAGTTCTCTTACATTGGTGTGAATTTGGCCAAAAATAAAAAAAAAAAAGAAGAGAAATTTAAAAAGCAAAGAAAAGCACAAAAGATGCTGTTTGGGAGGAGATGTATGTTCTGAAGGGCCTGGTCCAGTCATGGCACCGAGGCTGCAGTGAGAAATAGTAAAGCTGGCACTTCTGCAAGAAGCTGGCCACTGTCAGCCCGGCTGGTAGCATGGAGATGGAACCATGACATCTGCCACAGTGTGTTCAAAGCACTTTCTCTCCAGCCCTCCCTGGACACCCAGCAATTCCTCACTCATCCCTAGGGTTGCATCTCCTCAGGAGGACAATGGAAGGAGCTTGAGGGATGACAAAGGATGGGTTTTATTTCCACTCTAATATTCTAGATTAAAATCTAGAAATGAGTGAGAACTGGCTCAAGTGGACCTAGAATCAGTGGATGACCCTGAATCCACACAGTGCTCTGCGTGGCCTTTCAAACCTTAGCTGTGGGTCGTGTCATTCCACCTTCCAAGGGTGAAAAATCTCCATGCTGCCTGCAAGAAGATGGCGGGGTGAGAGTTAACAGGGAGAAGAACAGGCTCCCTGGGGACAAACCTGACTGCACTTCCTGCCGCTGGGACCTGTGCTAGTTGTGGTTAAAAGCTTGGAGTCTGGGGTGATCCCAGGGTTGGAACCCTTGCTCCACCGCTCATCCCCGAAGATCCATCTAAGCTTCAGAGTCCTCATCAGTAAAACGAGGGTGATAGTAACAGCACAGTACTTCACGCAGCTGCAGCAAAGCGGGAATGGGCTATTGCAGGTAAGGCCACTTCACGGTCCCAAGCACTCAAAAAACAAGCACTGTTATTATTCAGTTAACTTCCCTGTGCCTCATTTGCCTTATCTTTAAAATGGCTGTAATAACGCTGCCTTCATGAAGGTGTCCTAAGGGCTCAATGAGACAATAACCGTTGCAGATGACTCATCAACACTAAATTTCTCTTCTATTAGCCAGGCTTATCTCAAGAAATTGCTCCCAACTGTGGGCGGTAGTCTGGAACTAACCTTGTGAAAGCCTCTGGCACACAGTAGGTATTTAATTTAAAAAGTAACAGCAAGTTCTTGGCTGTGTCTGCGCAGGCCAGATAAATGATAGAGCTTTCTGGAAACAGGTAAACTAGTTATTTCATGCAAAACAAAGAAGCAAATGTCCATGATTCTTTCCTCAACAACAGCGTGCAGGACCCTAAATTATCCAAAGAATCCTGCTGAATCTCTGGTTTCTGTCTTCTTAAGTTAAACCCAAATCAACCCAGCACAGGAAGAAACAGCCACCCCAAGGGTGAGTCTTTGGGTAGCTGCGATACAGTGGTTCAGGGTCATACACGCCCCAGAACCAGCTGGGGGTTGTGTGTGACATTTATAGCAGCTCAATCATGGAACTCAAAGATAATTCCCCAAGGCACCCCCAGACCTAGATCTGGAGAAAGCCACCTTGGCTGCACCTGTGCTATAGCAGGTGGATGTGGGCTGGCTGCAGCTCAGCTTCCTTCCTGGGGCCCTCCCAGCTCTACCAGGGAGCTGCATGCCAAGGCCAGGGGCAGTAACTTTGCTTCAGTGTGAGGCAGCCCGACATGCTTGTTACAAGCATTTACTGATCTCCTGTTGTTCCCAGGCACTGAGCAGGGCCCTAGAAAGAATACAAATGATGATAACTAACTTTATTGTATTCTGTGTACCAGGCTCTGTGCTAAATACTTTCTTTTTTAAAAAATAATTTTTTAAAAATAGACACGGGGTCTTGCCGTGTTGCCAGGCTGGTCTCAAACTCCTGGGATCAAGTCACCTGCCTGGCTTAGCCTCCCAATGTGCTGGGACTACAGGCATGAGCCACCATACCCGACCACTAGACACTTTTCAAAGGGTAGCCTCTTTCATTACCACCATCATCCTTGGTGATGGTCTGGACTGAGCAAGCTCTAGTTCACAGATGGAGAACTAAGCCAAACAAATGCCCCCATCCCCACACCTCCCCTAGAGCCTGGGGACCAGCCTCCATGATCAAGGTGAAGTTTGTGAGCATGACATTCAAGGCCTTCTCTTCCAGCTTCATTTGCATGTTCATGGGTGCTGTGTCTACGGGAACACTTGGCAGTTTCCACAAGCCCTTGACTGTCTCCCACTCTGCCTTTGTGCATTAGCTCTCCCTGTCTGGAATGTTCTTCCCCTGAATTCCTACTTGTCTTACATTAAGAGTTAGTATGTGAGGGCATCTTGTACAGCCCAGGCACTTTATCCACAAAACAACCCTGTGATTTAAGCATTTTGATACCCATTTTACGGAATAGGAAAGTGAGGTACTGAAAAGGGAAGCAACTAACAACAGGGTCACAGAGCCAGGAAGAGGCAGAGCTGGGATTTGAACTCACAGAAGTTGGACTTTGGAGGTCATAGTCTTTTCTACACCACAACGTACTTCTCCTTGGCTCAGGAATCTCCTTCTCTGAGAAGCCCTCCCCGACCTCTCCTGCTGGGTTAAATACAGGAATGTGCCAGAGCCTGCCCTTACTGGCCTACAAGAGCCAATTATTAAATTGTCAGGAATTTTGCAAGCTGGTTGTTAAATACAGCAATTATTAAAGATTAAATTATAAAAACTTATAATTAAGTAAATTGTATTAAAAACACAGCTCGTAAATACTCAAAACTCATCACTTCCTAATTATTTTATTAGATTTTACTATTATCTAATGCTCTTAAGATTATTTACCTCCATCACAGCTGTACAATGGAAATTGTATATAATAGTATGCTACTGTGCCTCTCTCAATGACATCTCATTGGTAACTTTGAAATTGGCCACGATTGGAGTATTTATACCATGGAAATTGGCAAATGCTGGAAATCAGAGCTTAGTTTATTGTTGTGTTGATTATCTAGACTTTAAAAAATGATGAAAAAAAGTATTAGCAATGCAGATTAAACTTCAAGTGTGTCCTGTCTGTAGTTATTACATTGTGAAAATCTCCCCAAAATTGAAGAACTAGTCTTCCAGTACAGTCACGCATTGCTTAATGATGGGAAATGATGGGAGTACATTCTGAGAAATGCATTCATTGGGTGAGTCTGTCGTTGTGAGAGCATTGTAGAGTGTACTTACACAAGCCTAGAGGGGACAGCCGACTATACGTCTAGACTATATGGCCTATTGATCCTAGGCTATAACCCTGTAAAGCGTGTTACTGTCCGGAATACTGCAGGCAATCATAATACAATGGTGAGTATTTGTGCATCGAACATAGCTAAACATAGAAAAGATAGAGTAATAACATGGCATTATCATCTTACGGGACCTCTGCCATATATGCAGTCCAACTGAAACATTGTTAGGCAACACATGACTGTCTTTGAAAACTGTTACCCAATTTAGCGAAGAAATTCCTCGCGTCATTGATGAACAAGTGGGGTTCCAACAGAGTCTTTGTTCTTTTACTTTTATCTTGTGAATGCAAATGAAAATATAGTGTCAGAACTACACTCAGAGAGCTAGTGGTTAAGCACTCAACCACAGACCACTGGCCAGGTGCTCCCCGCCGTGGCTACCAGACCCACTGTTTCTCTCCAACTCCTCAGTCTCCTCTGGAGAACAGGGTTGAATCTCTTTCTTTTTTGTATCCCCAGTTCTTGGAGTAGGCACTCAATCATGGTTGAATAAACAAACAAATGCATGAGTGCCCGGATAGATAAAGAACTAACCCTATCTCCAGCCATCCTTCCCAGGAAAGACTTTCTTAAAATATTCATTTATGCGAGTTTTAGTCCTTTATTGCATGCTGCTGACTGTCTGCCATGCACCAGTTGAGTTAATAAGAACTCCGATGGCTTGGGCCCATCACTTAAAGAACACTAGAAGGGATAGCTTAAAAACATTCTAGACGCAAGGGTTCATTCTCATGTCCATGTTCAAAACAGCACCCAAATCCATCTATTACTGAAGGAAACACAAAGTCATTAACCCCACAATCCTCCCTCAACCCCAAAGGCAACAGAGGACTCTCAGGAGGAGCTGGTGGAGCTCCGTAGAGTGATGTGGTCATGTCCAGGGCTGAGGAGCTATAGTCCATAGAGAAACGTGGTGGTGTTTTTGATTTTCCACAAACGCCTTTAAACGTAATCTCATTCCTGATGACAAGACGCAGGCAGTTTTCCTGTAAGAATAGCTAATTTCTAGTGTCCAAACCATGACCGAGTACTTGGGAGTGCCACCCTAGATCTGCTAAGGCAGAAAGGAGAAAGAATGGCTCATAATAATTTACAGCAGGCTGGGCGCGGTGGCTCATGTCTGTAATCCCAGCACTTTGGGAGACGGAGGCGGGCAGATCATTTGAGGTCAGGAGTTTGAGACCAGCCTGGCCAACATGGTGAAACCTCATCTCTACTAAAAATAGAAAAATTAGCCAGGCGTGGTGGTGGGTGCCTGTAATCCCAGCTACTCAGGAGGCTGAGGGAGGAGAATCGCTTGAACCTGGGAGGAGGAGGTTGCAGTGAGCCAAGATCGCACCACTGGACTCCAGCCCTCCAGCCTGGGTAACGGAATTAGACTCCATCTCAAAAGAAAAAAAAAAAAAACCACCAAAAACCAAACAAACAAAAGACTTACAACACAGGCTTAGAGGATCAGAAACAGCCACCAACATTCCTGATGTTTCTTTCGACAGAGGACCCCTGTAAACCCTCACTTTCCTCTTCCCCTTCCTGGATGCACACAACTGGAACTTCAAGGCCATCTTAGCAGATAAACAACGTAACATGTATCCCACTATATGATTAATACAAAGATAGGTGGTCTTAAACTTACTAACGAATAATTAGTCACCAAATGAATTAGAGCAAAGAGCAACCATGAGCACGTTAAGTCACCTGTCAAAGCTGGTTGTGTTTATGTATTGGAGGTGGGCCCTTTCCCAGGGCCAACCAGGTATGATATCGGGTGCAGCAGCCTCAGAACCTCTTCGAACATATGTTTCTTTCCCTTAAAAAGAAGAGAAGAACAGGGGAAATTCAATTGCTTCAACTTGAAAGTCAGTGCTAAGGGAGGCATTAGGAAAATCTTTCTTGTGGCTCAGCGCCCTGATTACCACAATTAAAGTCCAAGGTGTGGTGCCATTTGCTCAGCATGCTCTGGCACATGAAAGAAAATGATTCAGGCAAGGAAAATAATTACACATTAATTTGTGTTTGGCAACTGTGTTTTATTCCCTTGGCCCACAAAGCAAAGATAAAAGGTGATATTGTTGAAAGTGTTTTATCTGCCTTCAATGGGTTGCCATGGGCTGCACTGAGACGAGCTTTTTGGGTCGGGCATTTTCCTGACATGGTGGGCCGGCCTTTTATGCTCCGTTGCTGTGGCCAGCCAGGAAAGGTGTAGTGACAGCTAATAAGCTGTTTACTGCCCTGGCCCCTTTGTGTTTGCGGGGTTCCCATGGATCTGGCCAAGTGGAGAGGAACAGTGACCCTCTAGGGTAAAAGTTCCAGTCTCCATCCAAGGAGCACTCATCCTGCATCATGGTACCGCAAAGAGGCCACCTAGCAAGGGACATGAACCCAACCACCTCTGGAGACAAGCAGAGGATGTCCAGGAGCCAAGCTGCACAGGCAGGCAGGGTTGTGAACAGCTGGCTGTGCCAGGAAGGAATACAGGCCCCACGTGGCCAAACCGCCTGGTATCTTGGAAAGAAAAATAAGGAAATCTGTATTTGGAAAAGTACAGTCTCAAATTTTGAATGTGGGCTTCATTAAAAATATAAGAAAGCATGTCTGTGGGCCACAGCTGGCTTATTGGCCACCAGTTTGAACCTCTGCAGAATAGCACGGAGGT
Source organism: Homo sapiens (assembly GCF_000001405.40). Classification (NCBI taxonomy): domain Eukaryota; kingdom Metazoa; phylum Chordata; class Mammalia; order Primates; family Hominidae; genus Homo; species Homo sapiens. Next base: position 174,426,792 of record NC_000005.10, on the reverse strand, counting down.
TAAGCGCTAGCTTCTAAAGTCAGACAGACCAAGGTTCTAAGCTCAGTTCCATCCCTCCCAGCTGGGTGACTGTGGACAAGTTATTTAATCTCTCTAAGCCTGGGTTTCCTGTTTGTAGAATAGAGACAATAACAATTATACCTCCCTCCAAGAGTTATTGTAGGGATTAAATGAGATAATGCAGGCAAGTTCTTTGCACAATCCCTGGCAAATAGTGAGCTGAATAAATGTCAGTGATTATAGCTATTTATAATTGAACCCCTGGGTGAAGCATCATGGGAGGATAAAAGAATAATCATTGCCCCAGGCTTTTTGTTGAATATGCAGTTTGTGACACAAAAGCTGCTCTATAGATAACGACATAGCCACTAAATATGTGAGTGAGTGAGTGAGTGAGTGAGTGAGCGAGTGAGTGAGTGAGTGAATTAATGTTCCATCTTCTCTTTCTGGCATCCTTCTCTTTCTGGCATCCGTTGTTGTGTTTGTGCCAATGACTTAGTCTCCTTGGACCTCCATGTATTCATCTTTAAAATGGATAGGATGTGTCTACCTCGGCAGCTCAGATGGATGCTTTACTGCCTCCTGACACTATCTGTCAAGGGCTCTTAGCAAAGATTAGAACCGTCCCCTGGGGACGTTATCCCTGGCTCTGGGAGGTGGCAGACTTAGCACTGGGATTGTTCTTCATTGGAGGAGGATTGTTCCTTCCATTGCCCCCACCCCGCCTCCACTCTCTTCCCTTCCCCAGTCTGATTTTTGCCCCAGGAGGCTGACCTGGATGGAAAACAGGCTCCCCAGTCAGTGGGATTTGGTCATCGAGGAGCCAAGCTGGAGGCTGAGGGAGAGAGGGCAGGGAGTGAGTGACGGACACTTCTCCAGCCTCCTGCCTCACCCTGCAGGCAGTGTCCTTCTACTGAAGGTCACAGCTCTTCTCCTGGGAGCCCTCTCTACAGACCTCCCTCCTTGCAGGTTCCAGGAGCTGCAGCCTCTCCTAATCCCCTAAGGTCTAGGGGTAGTAGCTACACAAGGTCCTGACCCACACATTTGCTTTTCCTCCTCTTGCCCACACCTTTGATTCTCACGGATCTTCAGGGGCTCAGCTGTTTCCTGCCATGACCCTGATGGATGCAACAGGATATGCTCTTCACCACCCAAAGTGTGAAAAATGAGTTCTCTAATAAAGAAGGCTCCAAGTGCCCTAGTAGAGAACAGAAGCTCGGGGATCAGACAGGCTGGAGCTCATATCCCTGTTAGCCATTTACTGGCTCTGTGAACCTGGACAAGTCCTGTCATGACTCCAGGCCCACTTCCTGATCTGCAGAGCGAGATCCCGCCCTGTCACCCAGTGAGGCTGTGGGGCTGAGATGGGCCATCGATGGCCCTGGCTTGGTGCCAGCTGGTCAGGCTGCTCAGGGCCACTCCTTCACTTCTTGTTCTACCTCTCTTTTCTTTTTTAAAACTCCTTTCTTCCTTTTTAGAGGCAAGACTGTTTTTTTGGCCTTTTTACTTTTGTTAGACTGTGCCTAATACAAATTGCTCCCACTGGCAGGGTGCCTACCAGATATCCTGTGCTCAGGGGATCAGGAGGACATTCTTTCCGACCTCCCAACAATCACCAAGTGTTATTATGGTGGAAGCACTGTATAGCACGAAATCAGGGTGTAAGGAAGAAAAGGATGGTTAAAATTATCCTTGTAAATCTTTTTTAAAAGATTCATCTGCAGATTTTGATATATCCGATTTTGGATGTATACACTGCACCACGGGTCTACACAGATACAATGCATGCAGCAATGCACAGTGTATTAAGAACTATATATACAAAGCACAACTTTACAGTGAATTCAATTAAAGAGGAGTGGAAGCACATGTAGCTCTCATTGTAGGCATCAAAGGCATCTAAGGTACAAGCTACACTGATGTTACAGATAAAGACATTGAGGCTCAGAGAGGTAAAGCAATTTGTCTAAGGACACACAGCTAATAAGCGACAGAGTGAATATTCAAAGCCAGGTGTGTCTGGCTCCAAAATTTATGTTCTTTCCCCTATGGCATAACGTCTGAATTTCAGTTAGAACAAACAGAGAAACAGAAACTCAAAGACAGCATCCCTAAGATGACTTCCAGATTATTATATGGGAAATGGCTCCAACTACTGGCCCTGCTGTCTTGTTCACTCCCGGTTTCTTGGCTGTGTGGGGCTCCAGCCTCTGGCATGGTGAGACCCAGGACCCTGTGCCAGGCCGGGGAGCAGGTGGGGGTACTCTCTGCTGACACCCCCTGACGACCCAGTGGAGGCAGCAAAGGACAGAGGCCTTCACTGCTTGGCAAGCCAGGTTGAGATTTTTTTTTTTTGTTGGCCACCGATGAATGGTGGTAATTGTTGGGAGATTAATTTAAGATTCTCAGATGAAAGATATTACAAAAGTGCCAGGCCCAGAAAGAGGAGGAGGGAGCTGAAGCCCTGGCTGAGCCTGTCGCTCTCCCTCTGGCTCCAGTGCTGACTCAGGCCCTGACCTTGGGCAAGTCATTTAACCTCTTTATGCTGATTTTCCTCATCTGTATAATCAGCTAATGATGGTTCCTCTTCCAGACCACTTTGATTCTCAGATGAAAGCATCCATAAAAGTGCACAGGATTGCTATTAATTGGGCCATTATTATTTTTATTATTAAATAGATTAAGTCCACTAAATTTTAACTATGTTTTGACTTCCCCTGACAGGCAGGATGAGCAGTTAACTATCAGATGACGGGCCTCTCTGAAGTCACCGTGTGTAGAGAAGCCCAGCAGACAGGCGCTTCCTTCAGGGAGGCCACTCGCTTGGGCAGAAGAAGTCTGTGCTGGGCCTGCTCAGCAACTTCTGTTTCCAGCCTTAAATATCAATGTATCTCATTAACTGTAAGCGATGCTTGCAGCAATTAGAAAGAACGGAGATGGAAGTGCCTATGCTGTACGCCTCGGCTGTGTGATTTTATAGGCAAACTCTGGCAACCCTTTGCAAGTCGGCTTCTGCAGTCGAATAATGGGACCGGCATTTTCCCACCCCCTCCCAGGCAAGGCTCAGAGGAGACAGGGCTGAGCAGGTGTTCATGCTATGTCAGACTGAGCGTGACAGCTGTTGGTCTCCAAAATAGCCCGCTGTTCCGAGACAAGAAATCAGTGTTGGAGTGTGACCCTGGAGCTCTGATCCCGTTTCTACACCTTCCAGGTGCTGCTGGAAGACACAGGTAATATCTAGCTTAGAAGGATTTGGAGAAATCCTTGAGCCGGTGCTCAACACAATGCATGTACTCAGCACACTGTGACCACTGTTAGTGTCAGAAAGCAAGCCCCGGGGAAACAGCAAACAAAATGAGGTTCCCCCTTTATTTAGGAGGCGATAGACATCTTTCTGGATTTGTGAGACATATGTATTATAAACATATACAAGTAGCTTGATCTTTCTTTTTACATAGCTACCAAAATGACATCAGTAATGCACAGTTAGTGAGAAAAGACCAATAAGCTCAAAGGAGAAACTGCATCACCCATAGCCCTGCCATCCAGGGTGCCTACTGGGAGGCCTTTGGCAGGGGTTGTGTCTCCCACTTTCTGACACTTTTGTCCCACACAGCTCTAGGTAGCTAATGTTACAGATCTTAAGGTCAAAAAGAAGACACTTGATGGCAAAGAGCCCTAGATTCTAAGGAAAGCGACTTGAGTTCAAGTCTCCCTGTGGTACTAAATAGCAGTGCAATGCTTTCTGCTTTGGTGCTAAATTTTCTCCTTTACATTGTGAATTCATTTGAGTGGATTAATTGAGTTTCCAGAAGTATGGAATATGGACATATTTTAATTTTTTTTACATACTATGCCTTTATTAGGCACAGCCAAATTGAAGCACAGGCATATATTTTTACAAAATCTGTACCCAGCAAATCAGACCTTTGATTTCATAAATGTGTACTGAAATACATTCATCTAAATAAAAAAGCTAGTTGACTCAAGGCAAATTGTAAGTAACAGTGAGATGGCATTCAGACAAGGCAAACAAGCTCGGCGTGGCTGGGGATGCCTGAGAGTTGGGAAATGTGGGACCAAATGGTCTCTAAATTATTTCCAGCTCTAAGATTCTTTGGAGGGACTAGTGGAGTCAGTCACAGGGCCTCTCCCAGGCCTGTGCTCCCCCATCTCTGACAACGCTCCATCGCAACCCCAAGTTTTTCACTGGATGGCATTTTGTCTAAAAGTTCTCTCTGTGCCATTGCTGAGAACTGTCCTCATACCACACAGTGGCAGAGCTCACACTTGGAGGAAGAATGAATGAATATGGTCTGGGAAGACTTTTTCAACTCATTCAGATCCTGTGTGCATTTATTGAGCACCCATTGTGTGCCAGTTGCCATGGTGAGTACTCTTGCATGAACTGTCACTTTTAATTCTTATGGCAACTTTGCAAAATTTTACCCACAGCTTTGTCTCCAAGGGGGCCTTTGGTTGGTCACTTAGCCAGTGGGACTCTTTGTCTTTGGTAAAATGGGATTAATGAAGTCTTTCCTGTGCACTTCATGGGACTAGCATGAGGATCAAAGGAGACTGTGTGTGTGAAGTTTCCTGAAAAATATGAAGTTCTGGCCGGGTGCGGTAGCTCACGCCTGTAATCCCAGCACTTTGGGAGACCTCGGATGGATCACAAGGTCAGGAGTTCAAGACCAGCCTGGCCAAGATGGTGAAACTCCGTCTCTACCAAAAATACAAAAATTAGCCAGGTGCGGTGGCAGGCACCTGTAATCCCAGCTACTCTGGAGGCTGAGGCAGGAGAATCACTTGAACCTGGGGGGGCAGAGGTTGCAGTGAGCCAAGACCATGCCACTGCACTCCAGCCCGGGTGACAGAGTGAGACTCCAGCTCAAAAAAAGAAAAAAGAACTTCTACCCAAAGGGACAGGAAAAAAGACACCAGAAAACCTCTCCTGTTCTGTCCTTTTTCTTTGCTGATGCTCACACTCTACGGTTAGATTATTGTGAGGACTGAAGATGTCATTTCAGTTGTCAGAGCTCTCCTTGCTCCCCGTGCAAACTCCAATTTGTCACAACCCCTCTCAGATTTCATTGGTGATCCCTGGCTTCTTCTACGATCAGTAAGTGGTTACATTCTAAGCTCTTGGGCCTGATAAACCTGACCTTGGGTTCCACCTCTGCAACTTAGGTGTGTCTGTGGGCTGGTCGTTCGACCCCTCTGCATCCCACACTCCTCACCTCCTGTGGGAATGGCTGCCCTGTGGTCTGCTGGGAAGATGAAATGTGCCGAAATTTATAAAGCGGTGGGCACAGTGCATGGCTCATAGCATGTGGTAAATGCATGAAGTTATTATTAATAACTACTCTGTAAAATATGAGGATTATTATACCACTTAAGAGATAAAGAAACTGAGGCTCAGAGAGGTAAAACTGCTTGTTCAAAGCTGTACAACTAGTAAATAGCAGAGTGGAGATTTGAGCCCATTTCTCACTCAGTTCATGCTGCTTGTTTTCACCCCCTCCCTGGGAAGGGATAAGGTGTTTCTATGAGAGAGAGAGAGGTGCCTTTGATCTGGATCACATATAATCATCTCTTTCTTCTGTTTGTATGGTGCCTTCCACTTTCAATAGCCTTTTCATTCATTCTCTCATAAAATGTGGCTGATGTGGTCACCACCAAGCCTGGATTATGCTTTGGACTCCATCTCTGGCATCTTAATTCTGCTTAAAATGTCCTTAAGTTCCATAATTTGCAGATAAAAAATGAGGATGCCTCATTTGACCCATCACTTATGCACCACCTGACAACAGCTATTACAAAATATCTGGAATTAAATTGTCCCAGAAAACTTGTTTATTTGGTTTCTGCACAGAAATATTTCATCTGCTTATAAATCATGCTGTCCCCACCGAACTCACTGCTGTCAGTGCACAGCTGGGTGCAGGAATAGAAAGGACAGGAAGTGAGGGCTGAGCTCTGTTGAGTTCCATATGCATGGTGGTTAAGAGCATGTGCCTTGGCTGCCTTCAGGAAGACTTGTGTTCAAATCCTGCATCCCCTCTTCTCAGCTGATGTGATCCACTCAGCCCTTCTGAGCCTGAGTTTCTTTCTTTCTTTGTTTTTTTTTTTTTGGCAGAATCTCTATCTGTGGCCCAGGCTGGAGTGCAGTGGTGCAATCTCAGCTCAGGGCAACCTCTGCCATCCAGGATCAAGCAATTCTCCTGCCTCAGCCTCTCGAGTAGCTGGGATTACAAGCACGCAACACCACACCCAGCTAATTTTTGTATTTTTTAGTAGAGACAGAGTTTCACCATGTTGGCCAGGCTGGTCTCGAACTCCTGACCTCAGGTAATCCGCCTGCCTCGGCCTCCCAAAGCGTTGGGATTACAGGTGTGAGCCACCGCACCAGGCCCCGAGTTTCTTTATTTGTAAAATCATCTCTGTCTTTGAGGGCTTTGATGAAATGAGAAAACCCATAGACTGTAAATCATTGAGCTCAGCACAATTCCTGGCCCATTTAAGTGCTCAATAAATAGTAACAATGATCATTTGACCTTCACTTCCAGTGGGAAGACCAGGCTCCTTTGATGATACCCATCCTGAGATCAAGTAAAATCATGTCTGCCGCTATTTCCTGGGCGCTCGGAATTTTCTTGATCAGTACACGAGTCCCAGCTGTGGGGATGGCCTGCAATCAGGCCTCGGCATAGATGCCTGCAGAATTTGTAACCAGCAATTATTACCGTATTTTCTTCTTTTCGAGGTCCACTTTGTCTTTTTTCCTTTTTTTTAACTTGAGTGAAATCAGAGCAGGTTGTAAAATCTATGGGTACACTTAGCATAGTGGTAAATCTCTTGATTTCCTTTTGTTCCAGAAAAGCTGTCGAACCATCAGTGGCAACGCAGAGTGAGAGAAAATGCGAAACTTCCGTTTCTTGCATTGCTTCCAACCCTGGGTCTGTTCTGTGTGATTGTGATTGCAGGAGCTCAACTCAGGCTTGTTCTGTGAAGCCGGAACCCTTGGTGATGGAGCCTCCGGGGAATGAGCTGGTGCTGTGGCGCCCTCTGGTGTCCACGTGGCTTCCGCCAGGACTTGCAAGAGGCTGCGCAGAAGGCGCAAAGGAAGATTTTTAAAAACATCTGTCCAACTTTCCTTCCTCCTGCAAAAAGAATGCTGCAGGTAGTGTGAGAGGTCTCATGCCTGTCTCATGCGCAATAGTATGAGTGATAAGATCGGCCTTTCATGAGAAGATAACGCAGCAAGCATAACCCAAATGGTGGGTCCCGGCCAGGGGGATCTCTTCTCAGAACAGGTCTACGAAAGCCCAGGTTTGCTTTAGCTGTTTCTTTGCTAAAGCCAAACCCAGCTCTGCTTTCTCGAACAACCTGAGCCCGAAGGTCTTTACTCTACTCTGCTCTGTGTCTGCCAAGGACAAGAAAGAAGGAGAAAGGATGCTGGGTCCGGAGAACGACTCCTTAGGAACGAGAAGAGAGAGGGACTAACATATACTTCCAGGACCCTGGTCCTGCCTCTGTGACCCGTCCTGCACTTTGATCTCCTGGCGCTCCTCAGACTGGGCGGCTCCAGCTGTTTGACTCTGCAACTGACATCGGTCATACGCGCTCTGCTTTCACTCGGAGGCCGGGATCTAGTCCCCAGCACTGGTCGGACCCCATTTCCCTTTTCTTTCTCTTTCTTTGTTTCTTTCTTTCTTTCTTTTTCTTTCTTTCTTCTCGTTCTTTCTTTCCTTCTTTCCTTCTTTCTTTTTCTTTCTCTTTCTTTCTTTTCTCTTTCTCTCTCTCTCTTTCTTCCTTCCTTCCCTTCTTCCCTTCCTTCCCTTCTTCACTTCCTTCCCTTCCTTTCCTTCCCTCCCTTCCCTTCCTTTCCTTCCCTCTCCTTCCCTTCCTTTCCCTTTCTTTCCCTCCCCTCCCCCTTCCCTCTCCCCCTCCCCTCTCCCCCTGCCCTCCCTCCCTCTCTCCCTCCCTCCTTTCTTTCTTTCTCTCTCTCTCTCTTTCTTTCTTTTTCTTTCTTTCTTTCTTCTCCTTCCTTCCTTCCTTCCTTCCTCTTTCTTTCTCTCTTTCTCTCTTTCTTTCTTACAGAGTTTTGCTCTTGTTGCCCAGGCTGGAGCGCAATGGCGCAATCTCGGCTCACCACATCCTCTGCCTCCTGGGTTCAAGTGATTCTCCTGCCTCAGCCTCCTTAGTAGCTGGGATTACAGGCATGCGCCACCACGCCCAGCTGATTTTGTATTTTTAGTAGAGACAGGGTTTCTCCTTGTTGGTCAGGCTGGTCTCAAACTCCCGACCTCAGGGGATCCACCCACCTCGGCCTCCCAAAGTGCTGGGATTATGGGCATGAGCCACTGTGCCCGGCCGGACTCCCATTTCTGAATTTGCTTGTCAGGTCTCATAACAGATCACTGGAAGGAAGAAGCATAGCCTGATCACCCAGCCTGATTGAGGATGAAATGGAAATCTAGGGGTCAGAAGAAAATGGGAAAGGAACCATCAGCCTCAGTCATTTCAACAGAGCCAACCCACAGACCATGACCAAGCAAATCTTGCCATCGTGATCATGACCAGTTAGCATTTAGAATGTATCGCTGTATGCTTTGATGATTTTGATGCTGCCTTTTTGGATTTACCCTATAAGAAAGACTCCCTGAACTCCAACACTATCTCCAGCATTATTCACATTTTCAGGCAGTGTGGTCCCCCAGCTAACAGCATTAGCACCAGCTCAGAGCTTGCTAGAAATGCAAATGCTTAGACCTACTGAGTCAGGAATTTGGGGCACGGGCCCAGCAATCTGTGTTTTACAAAACCTCCCAGGTAAGCGATATATGCTAGGACCCTTACAAGGGAAAACAGAGGGGATCCAGTATGTGCTGTGTACCTTCCTTGGCGTTTTCTTGTATATGATTATATAGGTGGGGTCAGTTTGAGTGGTTGGTGATCTGAGATGATGCTGAGCTTCAAAGAGGAAGACCTATTGGACAGCTTTCCATGTATTTGCAGATGAAGTGCCACCATTTTGTTTGAAATGAGTTTATGTATAATACATATACATTATATTTAAACAAGAATACGTGTTACTAAGTAAAGTATAAAAACCAAACATACTCCTACCATGTGATCCAGCAATTGTATTCCTTAGTATCTATCCCCAAAGAATTGACGACATCGCTGGATGTGATGGCTCATGCCTGTAATCTCAGCACTTTGGGTGGCTGACGGGGGTGGATCATGAGGTCAGGAGATCAAGACCATCCTGGCTAACACGGTGAAACCCCTCTCTACTAAAAATACAAAAAATTAGCCGGGCGTGGTGGCGGGTGCCTGTAGTCCCAGCTACTTGAGAGGCTGAGGCAGAAGAATTGCTTGTACCTGGGAGGCGGAGCTTGCAGTGAGCTGAGATCGCACCACTGCACTCCAGCCTGGGTGACAGAGCGATATGCCATCTCAAAAAAAAAAAAAAAAAAAAAAGAATTGAAGACATATCCACACCAACATCTGCACATGGATATTTATAGTAGCTTTATTCATAATTGCCAAAATTGGGAAGCAACCATGACGCCCTTTAGTAGACAAGTGAACAAACTGTGGTACATCCAGATAATGGAATAGTATTCAGCACTAAAAATAAATGAGCTATTAAAGCCATGAAAGACAGGGAGGAAACTCAAATGTATATTCTAAGTGAAAGAAGTCAGTCTAAAATGGCTACCTATTGTCTGATTCCAAGTATATGATATTCTGGAAAAGGCAAAATTACGGGGATAGTAAAAAGATCAGAAGTTGTCATGGCTTGGGTGGGGGAAAGGATAAATGGGAGCTCAGAGGATTTGGGGGCCATAAAATTCCTCTCTATGACAGTGTAATGGTGAATACATGCATACATTTGTCCATACCCATAGAATGTACAACACCAAGAGTGAACTCTAGCGGAAACTATAGAGTTTGGATGACAATGATATTTCAACGTAGGTTTATCCATTTTCACTAATATACCTCTCTGGTGCAGGATGTAGTTAATGGGGGAAGCTGTGCATGTGTGGGGTAAGGGGTATATGAGAAACCTCTGTGTCTTCCTCTTAATTTTGTTGCGAACATTAAACTACTCTAAAAAAATTAAGTAGGCCAGGTACTTAAAAAACTAAATACATGCCTGTAATTTCAGCACTTTAGGAGGCCAAGGTGGGTGGATCGCTTGAGCTCAGAAGTTGGAGATCAGCCTGGGCAACAGGACGCGCAGCATTTTCTCCCCAATTCCTCCTTTTTCACCAGGTTTGCTGACTTCAGAGGATTGCCTTTGTGTAATTTCGGCACAGTGGGAAGTGACAGAGTATCAACAGTCATACTTCTAGAATGAGAGCGAACCTTGGCGCTACTTTCCTGCTGGGAACATCAGTGGCTCCTCTCTGCCTGGAGGAGAGGTCTGTGCTCCTTTGTCTGGCTTTCAAAGTCTGCATAATTTGCAGACCTTCACCCTTAACCTTCCTGTCCATCTTGATTACTGCATTCTCCTTCACAGGTTTCTCTGCTCAAGTCCAGCCCAGCTACTCACCATCTCCTAAAAGCTTTGCCTCTGTTCTGTGCCTCTCCACTCTGCCTCAATTCATGGTTCCCTTCCCGACTTAGTGAGCTCTTCTATGTCCGCCTAGGGCCCAGCTGAAAAGCCAATACCTCTATGAGATCTTCCTAATCCCCAGGGCAGAGTTAAGCCTGTCTTCCTCCCCATTCAAGTCATCAGACTTGCATACACCAACATTTCAGTAAGAACATGTTGGAGTGTAATTATTTATCTGTATCTCTGTCTCTTCTACCAGACTGTGTTTTGCTCCTCAATGACTCAGTTCTACTATTCTCCATGATCAGTACCTGGCATATAATGAGCGCTCAATAAGTTTTCTGAATGGATGAATGAATAGATGAGCCAAAAGTAAGGAAATAACTCAGGCTAGGTTTTATGGCAGGGTTTACCAACAGAGCAAATCATCTGCCACCGCCATCACCAGTCCCAAAGTTAGTTGCACATCAGAGGTCCCAGCGGGAGACAGGCCATCCCAATGGTGCTCACATCACCACTGCCATCTGCAACCCTCAAAGAGGGGGCCTGCCTATTTCCCCACTTTGAGAATCATTGTGAGTTATGAGAGATGTTACTGATGGGACTGTGTTGGCCTATGAATGGTGTGAGAACAGAAAAAATAGTTGAAGATCATTGTTTTCAGGGTTTTCTTTAGAGAAAAAAAGGCATTACACTACAAAAGATACATAGGTACCTAATATTCATCAGAAACTTACTCGCAACAAGATCCTGATGCCAGTTAGTATATTTCTAGTACTAGAACCCCTCCTGGGCTCTTTTCTCACTCAGCAGTTTATCAGTGGAGCAAGTTGTCCACCACCACCACCACCACCAGCAGCCCCAAAGTTAGCTGCACATTCAAGGATATCTGCTCTCAAGAACGCAGAATTAGCCAAAATGTGAAGGGTACATCAATCCAACAAAAATAAAACTTTTGTCTTGAGGGCGTTATATCTCTTTGGGGCTTGTTGAATTTTCCATTTTTTTTTCTGAAAGCAATATGAATAGTTTCTTTTTTTAGTTTTCATCTTGTTTACATAGGTGGTTGATGGCAAACCCAGAAGATTGACTTAATTTATGGAAATGATTCACATTTGTAGTTAGGTTTTCCATAAAGTGAAAAGCTGATCAGTTTTCATCTGTAAAAAGGAGCAGAAGTCTTCACCAGTCTGTAAAAGCTCAAGTGCCAGCCACCTTTTTATATTTTCCAGGAGTCAATGAAAATCCACAGAGGATTCAGAGACAATTCAAATCAGTGACACATAAACAGGCACCCTTTACTATGTACTGACTTTGTGCCAAGAACTTTAAAATCATGATCTTATTTAATTCTCATGGCAACCCTGTGGGCTAGGTATTTCAGTCCTTGCTTTATAGACATGGAAACTAAAGCTCAAAGAGGGTAAGTCACTTCCCTAAGGCCACAGAGTTATGCCCCAGCTCCAGCCAGTCCGTGTCACATCGTCCAATTCTCCCACAGAAACTGAGTATCCTGATTTTTATGGAAGGATACTAAAATGTTGGTAATCAATTAACAAACAATTTAAAACTCTGAGCAGGCATACAGGACCCATCTGGTCTGTGGGCCCTGGTGGGACCAGCTGTGGTCCTTGCTGTGACTATTTCTCTGTTCAGCCTCTCCCTCTCCCCAGTCCTGCTTCCTTCCCTCCTTGACAGTGCTGATGTTGAGAGCATGTCCCAGTAACTTCCTGCACTGCATTCCCCATCCCCGAGTCTATTTCTGTCTAAGAACCTAGTAGACATGGAAAGGAGGAACAGTCTGATTAAGTGAGCATTTTATCCCCAAAAAATTATACAAAGTTCTAAATGATTGAGTCTGAAGGAGTTTTCAGAATTAAACTAAATTTACTGCTCACTTCTTTGACCTCTTGTCCCCATTGTTATCCAGCAAAGTGGCAGCTCATGGGAAGGATTCAACCCATCATAGATAAAGAAGCTACGTATAGATGTGTGTATAGATTAGTAGCTCTGCCATCTCTGCTTATGAAACGGAATGAACCTGAAATGGCAGTGAATCATGGTGTGCTGGCAAATGTTTAACAACTGGCAATCTAAGAAAGGAAAAAAAAAAGTCCTAATTGATAGTGCTGCTTATTTCTGCGGTGTAAATACTCCCACCATGGCTGATTTCAAGCTACCTACGTGAGCTCACTGAATGCTGGTTGGGAAGAGACATACCCGTCAGCTCTTGCAGGCAGGTATGAGCAACTTCAGCACACTGGCCGTGAACTTCTTTTCTCCTTAGCAGGACATTAATTTTACTTATTTTACAAACTCCGATCAAGTCAAAGATAGTAGTGTCATAATTCCAAAGGTCAAGCTTGTCTGTGTTTTGTTTGGCTTTTTAACATTTATTTTAGTTTTGGGAGTACATGTGCTTACCAGTCAGCAGTGATGTAAGCACTTGGCTGAGTAATGCAATTCAATTCAACAGACATTTCTTCAGCACCAGCTGCATTCAGGATGGTGCGTTAGTTCCTGTGAGATGCTCAAAGAACAAAGGACGAGGCTCTGACATGATGCTGCGTCAAAACTACACAGAGATTCTGGAGAGTAAGCTCTTGCCCTAGGGAACAGCTGGACAAGACCATGGGTTTTTATGTCCTTTTCTCCTGGGACCCACATTCCAGAGGCAATAACATCTATTGTTCCTGGGTTCTGATCCTCAATCTATTGCTTTGTCATCTTTCACTAGTGATAACCCAGTCTGGGTGTAGATAGATAGATAGATAAATAGATAGATAGATAATGTCCAGCTTTTCTATTTACTCTTAGTGGGAGGGTTGCTCTAAGACAAGCTATTCCATCATAGCTAGAACAGAAGATGCAAACCCTGATTTTTCAATGCTGGCAAAGAATCTAATTTTTTTTTTTTTTTTTGAGAAAGAATCTAATTTTTAAAATATGTTGTGTGATCCAACACTTAAAAGCCAAATAAAACATATCTTTAGGCCACAGCCAGTTTTGGCCCACAGGCTGCCAACCTGTGACCTCTGGTGTATTGGAATGCAAGCGAGTAAGAGTTCTGCTTCAATCGGGAGGCCTTGACTCTTATGATTTATGTTTGTAGTGTGTAGAGTCCAGCTTTGAAGAGGACTGGACTCTCTTTGGTCAGCAACCAGAGTATAGACATCTGAATCCACCTTCCCCCCGGCTTTCCCCCAAATTGGTTTCTTATTCCTGGGGACCCAAAAGAGAAAAGTGATTGCATGAGATCAATGAAATAAGTACTGGGCCTGGAGTCAGATTGGACCTAGGTTCTAATCCTGATTCTGCCACTTATTAGTTACGTGACTTTGCATAAGCCACTTAACTTGCTTTGGGTGTAAGTTTCTTGAAATGTTGTTAAAATTCCCTTCATAGGATTCAAATTGTTGACATAATTTAATAATAATGAGACTGTCCTGGGTATGTGGCAGATACCTAACACATATCATGCTAGAGCCAGGTCCCACTTCCCAGGGAATCCTCTTTTCTTTGGCCTCTCTTTCTCTTGCCCCTGTTCAGACCTGCAGGTCCTTTGATCCATTGTGTCTCCAACCCCAGATCCTTTGGTCTTTGAAACAGGAGACGAAGAGGCAGCTCCTGTCTGCTCCCCACACTTAGTCACTGTAATATATCCACCAGAGGAGTCAGGAGCTCCAGCCCATAGGCCATCAGAGCAGCATAACTCCACCCTGGGCTGGTGTGATTTATTTCTGGGAAGGCTGGGGCTTGAAGAGAGGGGAGGTTTAAGAATTAACTCCTCATAAAACTTAAACAAGTAAAGAAGAGAAAGCAATAGAGTCATCTGGTGTCACTTTAGGCTCATCAGCTTTCCAACTTTCCCCAACTTTGGAGAAAAGAAGACATACTGAATTGTTAATTAATGGGGCCTTCTAGATGTTACGCGTGCAAGATAATATGGGTATCACACTGCCTCCAATCACACAATGCTGGCCATATATTTTGCTGTTGTAGTTGTTTTAAACAAACAGAAAACTGTGAGGTCAGTGATAAAGCATTGAGAAACGCCCCATGCCGTTTCTTTTGGGGTTCAGCCGTTTCTGAAATCAAAGAACTGCAAGATGATTTAGAAACATCTTCAGCCAAACCCAAACTGTTGACTGATTTTGGGAAAAACCCTGAAAGCAAATATTCTACATGCCATAAGACTAAGAAGAGCTGAAGAAGCCAGCCAGAATCTGTAGGCCTTAAGAATAAATATTGGGCAGAGATGGAGAAAGGAGAAAGTATGGTGAAGAACAATTAATGTGGATAATTCAAAGACATTGGACAATCCAGAGGTCCTCATTTGACCTGTGTTGCTATAGTCTAATGTTCTAGATTTAATTTATATGGTGTTTAAAGGCAAGAATAAAAGACCAAAGAAAGGAGAGGCCTTTTTGAAGTGTCTCTGTTAATTTTATTAACCTGAAGAAGAAATTATTAATTTGGTAGAAGGTGAACCTATGTTCACCAGCCAGGTAAGGTTAAAAACTCATTGAATGCTCACAAAAGCCCCGGGAGGTCATTGTTTCTTATCTGATCTGGTGCCAGCAATGCCAGAATTCAAACCCGCCTCTCTCCTGTGCTCCAACCCCAGTCCCTCCCTGCCTGGCTGGAAGAAAACGCTTGTTCAAAAAGGCACTCAATGTGACCGTGTCTAGATCCAAAAGCTCACTTGTAGCTGTGTGTGCAAATTCTCTTTGAGCTTTCATCGGGGAGAATTATATAATAATATCATATGATTTTGCAAGAAGTTCACCAGGGCTATTTCAGAGGCTGTCAGCCAAGACACTGTTCAGACAGTGAGGCGTCAGAGCTGCCACTACAAAGTGGATGTTAATTACCTAAAACAATGGGTGTAATAGGCAAAGAAAAAAAAAAAAACAAGACCTGCTCCCTCAGCCCAAACCACTCATCTATTACGTGCCAACTGCACAGTTATTTAGCCTGGAGGAGTTGTAATCAGCTGGTTTGCAAATTAATAAGATCTTTAAAAAAAACAAAAACAAAAACAAACAAAAAAAAAACAGAGGCTACAAGAGGAAAAGAATGGTGGAAAACTTTTTATCTCTGATTCTTGAGGAATATATTTATTCTGCAATTACCTCATGACCTGCCCCGAATTCATTTACTATGTGTCATGCACATTCTGCCTGAATGGCGAAGTGGGGGCACAGCACAGATCCAGCAAGCGAGATGGGCAGTGAGAGATGACCAACGAGAACAGCAGATTGGCCTGTTTATATCTCGAATGTGAATCGCTCGTCTGGTTTGAGTTTGCAAATGTTAATTCCCATACTTCATTCTGCCAGAGTCATTAAAACATACCCAGGTGAATCAAATGCGAAATCACGCTGGTTCTTAAAAAGCCAGAAACCAGGCATGACTCAGTCCTAGTAACAATGGATAATGCCTAACCTAGGACACTGTAATTAGCTCTTTAATCCTGTTGACCTTTAATAACAAGACAGACATAATGAATGGTTAGCTGGTTTTGTTTCATGGAGGATGTTTTCTCTCCCAATAAAGAAACACTTTTTTGCTTCTTTTTTTTCTGTTTTTCCTATTGGCAAAGGAAGTTTCAAGATGAAAGAGGATTCAGCCAGCTAGAGGACTGGTGTTATAGCATACTTAGCCAATCAATGGAGTCACTCCAAATCCTCTTAATTCCAACTTAAGGGCTTCCCACACACAGGTTACAACTATGAAAACTACTATAATATATAAACTGTAGTAACAGCCATTAATTTAGCACTTACTATGCTTTAGCTAAGCAAATTATTTTAATCACCATGTCAACTTTCCAAAACGGCTATTATCAGTCCCGTATTACAGATGAGGAATTTGGTGCCCACATAGGTTAGAAAGTTTGCTCAGGACACAAGCAAGGGGGATTTGAATCCAGACAATTTGTCTCCAAAGTCTTTTGCATGATGTCTCCTGACCACAGGAGTCTCTTGTAAAAGATTAAGGCCAGGTCTATGCAAGGGGCCAAGGAGTCACTATCAAGTTATCTAAGCTTATTTTGCTGTAATCAGCCTACCCAGTGAGGGTCAGACAGGCAGAAAGAGTAAACATCAGCCTAGAGAATACAGCTTTAGCTGCCCTAACTACAAAGTCTCCAGTTTTCCAAAGAATATGACCCCTATTTACTGGCTAACCCCTGACAATCCATCAGTAGAACTTCATTAACTTAGCTTATAGCTTTGAACTTTGGCAAAATTAAAATGCCAATGCATGGACCATCTACAATATATGTCACAGGTATGAACGGAATATGGATGGGAAGAGGCAAAGTGAACTTTAGGAAGGAAGCACCAGAAATAAGGAAAGGGCTGGAAACAGGAAGGTGGGGGACACTTCACTGGCCGCTTGATCATTTGACCAAGGGTCAGGAGTGTGCAGAGAGGGAGAACCCACTGACGCCAAGTCAAAGGTCAGCATGTTGGACTGGACCGGGGGATGGGAAGGATGCTGGTAACGTTTATGTGTAAGCTTCATGAGGGCAGGCTTCTGTCTGTTTTGCTTAATGCTGTAACTCCAGCAACTAAAACAGTACCTGGCACATGGTGGATACTCAAAAATGTGTCGAATGAATGAATAAGTGAGGGAATGAATGAATGTGTTCTCCTCTCTTGTCTCAAGGAGACCACGCCACTTCATAAAAAATAGCAAGGGTCATTGACTGTCAAGTTGAAGACATCTCATGGCTCTCTCTTAGAATAAAAGAGTCTTCCCAGAATGGCTTTGGCAGGCTTTCTGCTGCATCTCATGAGCCTCAGCTCATCTCATGGGTCACACCACCTTTCCTTATTCCATCTCTGGTAGGGGAAGTAGAATTATTCTTGGATCTACAGCATCACCCTCAATGGTCGGGGAGGAATCAGCCCTCCCTGATTTATGTGGCCACATGGGGCAGCAGAGCTACTTGGACAGAATTGAGATTTTGTTAGGAAGAAAGAAAGGGGAACTGGGGGAACCGGATGCTGAGAGGTCAACCAACAGCAAAAGATTGTTAGTGTCTGGCATAGGGTGAGTATGCAATGACTATTTAAGGAAATAAAGGAAGGGTCAGTAAAAGTTTAGAGCCCATCCCAGCACTTTGGGAGGCCAAGGCGGTTGGATTACTTGAAGTTAGGAGTTCGAGACCAGCCTGGCCAGCATGGTGAAACCCCGTCTCCAGTAAAAACACAAAAATTAGCCAAGTGCGGTATCGGGCACCTGTAATCCCAGCTACTCTGGAGGCTGAGGCAGGAGAATCTCTTGAACCCAGGGACCAGAAGTTGCAGTGAACTGAGATCACACCACTGCACTCCAGCCTGGGTGACAAGAGTGAAACTATGTAAAAAAAAAAAAAAAAAAAAGTTTAGAGCTCAGTGTAGACAAAATTCTGACACATCAGTTAAAGGTGATCTTGTCCCTATGTCTCAAGCAATGCTGGAATAGTGTAGGTTTTCAAGTCAATGACTGATTAGGTGGCTAACTGGGGAGGTAGGTACTGTTTCAATAATGTGACAAGGTCACAGGACTTGTACATTATTTTTTGTTTTGTTTTGTTTTGTTTGCTTGTTTTCGAGATGGAGTCTCGCCCTGTTTCCCAGGCTGGAGTGCAGTGGCACGATCTCGGCTCACTGCCACCTCCACATCCCAGGTTCAAGCAATCCTCCTGCCTCAGCCTCCTGAGTAGCTGGGACTACAGGTGTGCGCCACCATGCCCAGCTAGTTTTTGTATTTTTAGTAGAAACAGGGTTCCATCATATTGGCCAGGCTGGTCTCGAATTCCTGACCTCAGGCAATCCACCTACCTCACCCCCACCAAATGCCTCTGGATTGGGCCTATCAGGTTTAGAGATGCAAATTCAAAAAGATCAAATGACATACCCAAGACCCCACTCTCACGTGGCTACTCTCAGCATTGTATTTCCTATATCCTTTAGTATGAGAAATAGTTTAAAAAATTTTAATATAATCATAAGCATGCTTATAATATTACTTTTATAAGTGTTGTGGGATAAAAAAATTTACATTAACAGTTGACATCAGAGTTCCTCCTAAAAAGTAACCTGCATTCAAAGGGAAAATACATTTAATTACAAGCAAAAGACAAAGCATCACACAAAAATTACTGATTGTTTTGCATTAGACATAAACAGAAATTTGGGAGATATGGGAAAAGGGGAGAGAGGGGATTATTAGAAATGGAGGTGAAATATTTAAGAACAGATGTGTCGAGCATTCATTTTTAAGATATGGTGTGTGCTTAGATGAGACCGCTGTTCTCTGTCCTCCAAACCTTCAGCAAAATTGTATATACATACAGAGGTCTTATGTAATTTTTTTAAATAAAAAAGAGGATGAATTTGAAGACCTGGGACAAAGAGATTCTGAACAGGAAAAGCATGTACCTTTTTAGCTGCACACTGATCAAGCATGTCAGATGTTGTCCTTAATTAATTATGTTTTTAGGTCTTTGGCTCTACATGGTAAAGAGAGGAAGAAGGGGTTGCCTGTGGAACATCCTGAAGGATCAGAAGAAGAAGGAGGTGACATGAGATCATAGCTCACAAGTGGGGACCAGGTGAAGAGGTAGTTAATCAAACAGCCATAGAAATTCAAGGCTAAGCAAGGAGAGGGGACCAAGATATTTGCCCTTCACTAAATTTTCTCATCACACTATTTCGAGAATACAAATGAAAACATAATCTTTACTACTAAAGGTTTAACATATCTGGCCGGGCATGGTGGCTCGTGCCCGCAATACCAGCACTTTAGGAGGCCAAGGTGGGCAGATCACGAGGTCAGGAGATAGAGATCATCCTGCCTAACATGGTGAAACCGTGTCTCTACTAAAAATACGAAATATTAGCCGGGCGTGGTGGTGGGCACCTGTAATCCCAGCTACTTGGGAGGCTGAGGCAGGAGAATGGCGTGAACCCAGGAGGCAGAGCTTGCAGTGAGCTGAGATTGAGCCACTGCACTCCAGCCTAGGTGACAAAGCGAGAATCTGTCTCCAAACAAAAAAAAAGATTTAAAGTATCTGCATATTGTATATACTATTAACAGGATTTTTAAAAATGAGAAGTTGGGGGAAATACTTGTAACATACATAGCAGAGAGTTAATATGTTTAACATATAAAAAGCTTTTTTAGGTCAATAAGAAAGTGAATGCCCTATCAGAGAAACTGGCAAAAGACATGAATGGGAACTCACCAACGAAGACCTATTTATACAGATTAAGGGTATCATTAGATACTATTCCCCAAAACACACTGAAAATACATAAAGAAAGAAAGTTGGACAGGCAAGAAGAAATCAACAAAAATACCAGGGTAGAGGAGATCGTTAATCAAACTTCCTTCTCTTTGAGACTCAAGCAAGCATCAAATACACAATGGAAAAACTGGATGAAGCAATTGTTTAGCTCAGTTTAATGGGTATGTATCAAACTTAGTACCTACAAAGAATCCACATTCTTTCCAAGTTTCTTTGGGACAGTTTAAGAAAATGACCATTCTCTAGACAGAAAATCTCAAAGAAATCTCTTTCAAAATGAGAAAATTTGTAGAACACATCCGTTGACCACAATAATGGATATTTAAAACAAAATAATACTCAAATAACAATAAGAATACATTTATGGGAAATTAAAAACATTAAGCAACTCTTGAAAATAGAGGAAATTAAAAGTGTAACTATGGACCATTAAGACAATAACAATGAAAATACATCTTAAGAGATGTGGTCAAAATTGAACTCAAAGGAAGCAAATAGCCTTGAATTCTTCAATGAATGAACATAAATGAGCAGAACATCCCACCAAAAAACAACTTGAAAAGAAAATAATAAATTAAACCTTAAAAAAGAAGGCATTACTAAAAACATAAGTATCAATTAATCAATTAGATACAAAAGAAATAAATACCCAGGAGAATTGATAAAACTGAGAACTGGATGTTTCAAAGACCAAACAAAGAGACAAAGTTCTAGAAATTCTAATTCATTTTAAAAATAAATGCATGCCTTTAATATAATTAAAATACTTTGTGGTATAGTAGTAAATAATCAGATCAATGGAATATAATACAAGGTCCAGAAACAGAGCTAATTATAATACATTTAATGATTTTAAAAAAGCTTAAATAAGCATAGAAATAAGATATTGGAAAATAATTAATTTAAAAGCCCCATGTTTTGCTACCTCAGACCTCACAATGAATAAATTTCAAGTTGATTAAAGTTCTAAATATATAAAATATACCCATAATCTGGAAGGATGTATGAGTGAATTATCAATACTCGTTAGAGTAGGGCTTTCTGGACAAGACCACAAAACAGAAACCTAAAGAAAAAGATTGCAGAAATTGGCTATATATTTAAGGATATTTATTTATTCAATAAACAAATAATGTCTCCTATGTCCAAACACTGTAAGAGGCACTTAGCGAATGGCTATGAACAAAACCCACAAAGATTGAAGCTCTCAGGTGAAGGAGACAGAAGAAAAGCAGTAGTAATAGTTAATTCGTAAGTAAGCACTACCATTTGTTAGATGAAGTGTACAGCTCATAGAAAGCGATAAGAATAAATAGACCCATAGCATGGTGAGAAGATTGAGGATGCAGAGAATGAGTTGCAATTTTATATAATCTAGTCAGTGTAGGTCTCACAGAGAAGATGACAGCGGTGACAGCCTTGAAGAGATGGAGGGAGCCACACGGCTGTCTCAGAGAAGCGTGTTCTGGGCAGGAGGAGCAGCCCATGCAAGGCCCCTGAAGTGGGGACATGCCTGGGCCACACCAGGAATAGCAAAGGGGACCTGTGACTGGAGATCGGCTGGCCAAGGATAGACACCAGGCGATAAGGCCAGAGAGGTGATGGGGCAGAAAAAAACATGGCAGGATCATTGACTTTAGTCCCAGAGAGATGGGAGCCACCGAACCGACAAGGGGCAAGGATCTGTTTTGTCTGAATCGGGTCACTCTGTGGCTACGTCCAGAATAGACTGCAGGAGGTCAAGGGCAGAGTCAGGGAGATCAAGCAGGGGCTATTGCAGCCACCCAGGCAAGACCCAATGGCAGCGTGTATCAGGGGGAGCAGTGCATGTGGTTGGAGACACAGTCTCCAACACAGTCTGAAGGCAGAGCCAGCTGGATTTCCTGTGAGGTTGGATGGGGAGTGAGAGGGAAAGCTCACTCCCTCACACTGTGCTCAGGGTGTTTGCCTGAGCAGCTCCTGGGAAGATGGGCAAGGCTGTGGGTGGAGCGGGTGTATAGGCAGAAGACCAGGATTCAGTTTTGGACACATTGAGCTTGAAGTGTCCCTTAGACACCAGGCCGAGGAGTCAAGGAGTGGCTAAGTGAAGGAGTGTGGAGTTCAAGAGGAGGGTCTGGGCAGCAGGTAGAGATCTGGGCAGGTTCAGAGCATGTCTTAGTCAAGCTGCCATAACGAAATACCACAGACTGGGGGGCTGAAACTACAGAAATTCATTTTTTCACAGTTCTGGAGGCTGGAAGACAGATCCGGTACCAGTGTCACTGGGTCCTTGGGAGAACTCTCTTCCTGGCTTGCAGATGGCCACCACCTTGCTGTGTCCTCTCATGGTGGAGACACACAGAGAGACAGATTTTTCTCTCATCCTTTTTTTTTTTTTTTTTTTTTTTCATAAGGATACCAGCCTTTAGAGTCTGGCCTCACCCCTATGAAGTCATTTCACCTTAATTACCTTATAAAGACCTTATCTCCTAACACAGCCATATTAGAGGTTAGGGCTGGAACATATGGATTTGAGGGGGCACCATTCAGTTCATAGCAGTGTACAAATGGCATTTAAACCTATAAGACTGGATGAGATGACCAAGGGAGGATGTGAGAGTCAATGAGAAGGGAAAAGGGGCCAGACACGGTGGTTCACGCCTGTAATCCCAGCACTTTGGGAGGCTGAGGCGGGTGGATCACAAGGTCAGCAGATCGAGACCATCCTGGATAACATGGTGAAACCTTGCCTCTACTAAAAATACAAAAAAATTTGTCGGGTGTGGTGGCATGCACCTGTAGTCCCAACAAAAAAATTTGTCGGGTGTGGTGGCATGCACCTGTAATCCCAGCTACTTGGGAGACTGAGGCAGGAGAATCACCTGAACCCAGGAGGTGGAGGTTGCAGTGAGCCGAGATCGCGCCATTGCACTCTAGTCTGGCCGATGACAGAGCAAGACTCCGTCTCAAAAAAAAAAAAAGGGAAAAGGAACCACAAAAGCATCATACAAAGCTAACTGATTACAAAGCAAATGATGCTGGGAAATATTTGCCACGTGGAAGGAACAAAGGATTAATACGCTTGTGGCACACAGGATGCCTTGAAATGAATGACACCCCAAGGAAAACTAGACAAAGGACATGAGCAGGTAACTCACAGGAAACTCAAACGGCCATTAGACATACTAGGCACTACTTTACCTCCTAAATCATCAGACACATGCAAACCAAAAGAATCATGAAATATTATTTTTATCAATCAGATCCTTTAGAATTAAAGAAGGATGACTGGTTTGTGGCTTTTAGAAAAAGAGGCATTTCATGAATAGGTAATGAGAAGATAAATAAGTAGATCTCTACCAGAAGGCAGTGGGCCTAAGACATAAAGCTTTAAAAATATGTCAATTGCAAGACACATTTATGGGATCAGAAGTCAAAGATAGGCTGGGCGCAGTGGCTCACACCTGTAATAGGATTACACTTTGGGAGGCCAAGCCAGGTGGATCACCTGAAATCAGGAGTTCCAGACCAGCCTGGCCAATATGGTGAAACCCCATCTCTATTAAAAATACAAAAATTAGCCAGGCATGGTAACGGGTGCCTGTAATCCCAGCTACTCGGGAGGCTGAGGCAGGAGAATCGTTTGAATCGGGAGGTGGAGGTTGCAGTGAGTCAAGATCGTACCACTGCACTCAAGCCTGGGCAGCAGAGCAAGACTCTGTCTCAAAAAAGGAAAAAAAAAAAAAGAAAAGAAAAAAAGAAAAAGAAGTCAAGGGTAATTTGGGGAAGAGGAAGGTGTTAGTGGTGGGGGAGACATTGGGGTGGTATCTGTGGGAGACTTGGCGGGGTATCTCGGGTGGGCATGGGAGCATGGGACGTGTCGAGGGTGAGCTTGAGGAGGTTTCTAGGATGGGCATAGATGTCTATGGTGGACTTGGATAGGTTTCTAGGGTGGACTTAGGGAGTTTTCTAGGGTGGGCATGGGGAGATGTCTAAGGTGGGCTTCAGGAGGCATCTAGGGTGCTAATAATCTTCCACTTGCCGGACTAGGTAATGGTACATGAAGGTGTTCACTTTGTGAAAATTTATTGAGATACGTTTCTCCTCCATGCAATTTACACCTCAATATAAAATTTAAAAAATAAAAACACCTTTCATTTGACGCAGAAATCCTCCTCCTTCAGTGGGCATAGGAAGCAGCAATTGAGCTGGCACCGAGCACAGCATTGAGAGCTACGCTTCAGCCCCAAGCAGGTGTGTCCACATTCCTATGCTCCAGGGATACAAAGACAACCTGGGCTGCCTTTTTGTCACCACTATCAGCTCCCAAATGCCAGGTACCAGCAACAGCCAGAACAGCCACAGGCTCTTTCTCTTTGGACTATTGGAATTCAACTCCATGTGAGCACTTTTTATTCAAAGAGCTTAAGGTGAAGGGGGAACCAGATTTCCCATTAGATGAGAAGCACATGTGTTGCTGTTGCTGGTGGTTTTCAACAGTGCTGTTGCACAAATAGAACTACCCAGAGGAGACACCTAATGGCAGTGGTTGAAATTTTCCTCTTTGTATACAGAGATTTTTTCAAGGACAGGGGAACAGCTGCAAAGCTAATATTGTCAGATAATATTTAATTCATCCGGACATCCTCCTCAAAGTGATGATGCTAAGGTTATCATCCCCATTTTACAGATGATGTTGTTGAGTCTTAGGCCAAGTCACTTGTCCTGAGCTTTCATACCTGGCGGTCTTGGTGCTGAGGCAGGGCAAGGGGTATTGACTTTAGAGCTTGCTTTCCTCTGTCAGCCCCAGCCATCTCTAACTGAATCGTCTTATAAATTCAGAGTCAGGTTTCACCAGGGAAGCCTATGAAACATGAGCCACATTTTTACAAGCAATGGGCTTAACAAGTAGAAAATCAGTTTTATTGTTAAGGCAAAAAAAAAAAAAATAGGTGCTGATAAAGTGAAGACAGATTCCCTAGCCGGCTCTTTCTACTCCTTCAGATCTTGGGTTAAATGTCACTTCCCCAGAGAATTTTCACTAATCTCCTCCCCATTCGTCTCTCAGCACACCTTGTTTTCTTTCACACCTTCATCACGAGGGATAGGTGACTCTGTTCTGTGTTGTCATACTCCACGGGTATAAGGATAATTTTATCACTGCTGTCTCCCAGGGCTTGAAGCAGCATCTGACAAATAGTAGGTGCTCAGTAATACTAACAGGACAACTCAGTGGTCATTTGATTCCCAGTCTCCACCATTTACCTATGGTTAAGAGAAAGGAGAGAGAAATTCTAGTTTTAAATTCTCTAAGAAAAATCCAATCATTCTGTTTGCCCTGGAAAATGGATTTCTGAATCTGGTCCCTAGGCAAGCAGCTACATAGTCACTGGGCCAAGAGAGCAAGGGCTTTGGGAATCAGAAAACCCAAGTCGAGTCTCAGTTTTACCTCTTAATAGCTGCATAGGCTAGGGTACATTTCCAAATCTCTCTCAGGGTTTGCTTCTTCATAGGCAGGTGCTCATATAGTCTCTCATCTATATTGAAACACTTCTGAGAGGGAAAGGGAGATCGATTGATAACGCTACTGTACATCAGAGCTGTCCCAGGCTGGGGAGGCCAGGATGCACCCTACCCCTACTATGTATGAAGACTGCTGCTGGTTCACAGAAATAATGTGAGGAACTGAGCACACAGCAGGGGCCCAGGAAGTGGCGGCTTTCTTCTCACAATTCTCTGATGGCTGGACTTTGGGGAGCAAGGATCTAGAGCAGTGGTTATTCACCTTCACTGCTGAAACGGTTTGGGTCTGTGTCCCCACCCAAATCTCATGTCAAATTGTAATCCTCAGTGTTGGAGGTGGGGCCTGGTGGGAGGTGATTGGATCACGGAGGCAGAGTTCTCATGAATGGTTTATCACAATTCCCCCACTTGGCACTGTATAGTGAGTGAGTTCTTATGAGATCTGTTTGTTTAAAGTGTGGTGTGGCACCTCCCCAGCCCTTCCACCTGCTCCGGCCATGTAAGGTGTGCCTGCTTCCCCTTTGCCTTCTTCCATGACTGTAAGTTTCCTGAGACCTCCCCAGAGGCAGGCGCCACTATGCTTCCTGCACAGCCTGCAGAAATATGAGCCAAGTAAACTTCTTTTCTTATAAATTATCCAGTCTCAGGTATTTCTTTATAGCAGTGTGGACTATTACAGCTGTCCACTGGAATCACCCAGAAGCTTATGAATCACAGATGCTGATGGAATTGGTCTGGGGTGCCGCCTGGGCATTAAGAGTTTTCAAACTTCCCATGTGATTGCAATGAGCAGCCAAGCATGAACTCCACCCCAGTGCAAGCAATTCCAATTCCCTGCTCTCCTCAACCACTCTACTGTCTCTCTTTCTATTATAGTAAAACATAAATAACACAGACATAACGTAGAACTTACCATCTTAACCTTTTTAAGTTTATAGCTTGGGGTCATTAAGTATCTTTACGTTGTTCTGCAGCCATCACCACCATCCAGCTCCAGAATTTCTTCATCTTCCCCAACTGAAACTCGGTACCCATTAAACACTAACTCCCCTTTTTCTTCACTCTCCAGGCCCTGGCAACCACCATTCTGCTTTCTGTCTACATGAACTTGCCTACACTAGGACCTCCTATAGGAAGAATCATACAATATTTGTCGTTTTGTGTCTGGCTTATTTCACTAAGCATATGTCCTTGAGCTTTCTCCATGTCGTAGTGTAGGTCAGGACTTTCTTCTGTTTTAATGCTGGAGAATATTCCACTGGATGTGTATACCACATTTTGTGAATCCATTCATCTGATCATGGACATTTGGTTGTTCCCACCTTTTGGCTATTGTGAATACTGCTGCTATAAACATGGGTGTGCAAATATCTCTTTGAGATTCTACTTTCATCCTTTTGGATACATACTACCCAGGAGTGGAATTTCCAGGTCATCGCCCTTCTCTTTTTAATCACTCTCTTCCCCACCAGCCAACATATTTTTATTTAAGACAAGTCATTTACTCTAACTGAAATCATCCTGAGTCCACATGAAGACTGGGCTGAAGAGAACTTACACAAAAGAAAGGAATAATATGTAAGTTAATGGCTTCTCAGCAGAGCAAAAATCAGTCACAGATTTGCAAAGTCCCTGAACCTGGTATATTCTGTGCCTGTAGTGAAGATTTTTGCTGATAAAGCACAGGTGTGTCAATGCCGAACAGCCCAGGCTCATTTTAGATGGATTCTGACATGAGATGATGGTTTCCTGTCTGAGCTCATGGCTTGGATGTCTCCAAGCTGTTGCTCCTGCTGAGCCCAGCCCTCCTGATGCTTGGGGGTTGTGACAGATCAGGGAGGAAATGACTTTGACTTTGTCTTCTTCATGACATAAACAATAAACTGCGGACTTCTCAGGAAGCCTCCTGGGACCCTCTCTGCCTCTTGACCATACATGGCTCTCCCAGATGTCAGGAGGATCTTCCTTCTCTGTTTACAGGAACAGTCCATCCCATCAGAGACTGAAAGGCTGTGGCAATGACAGCAAAAATGACACCACATTCTTCTAGTTCAATGCCAGTGTTTGCACCCGAGAGGGATGTAATTCACTGAACACAGAAATTGAGCTCATTCCTGCACTAGGCAATGATGATAATCAAATATGGTAAAAATTAGTCAACTTGTACGATGGAAGCCGTGATTAAGCTGATTTCAAATTTTCTGTAACAGAGATGGTCAGTCTTGAAATGCAAGAGGAGAGCACCAGGACGTGAGAGCAGGTCCAGGCGACAGCTGCTCCTAAATGGAGATTTTCTTGTATTATTGTTTTACAGATTTCCACCTGCATCTCTTAAACAGTCATGTCCTCATTACAATTTTTCCTGGGCACCAGCCATGGGACAGGCTCTGTACTAGGAGGCTGGTTAGTTCCATTGTTCAGTGCATGGGCTTGGTTTGGGTCATCATGCCTGTGAGTTCTCAGCAGGCACCTCCTTCTTCAAAGCCTTGACAGGGATGTCAGTAGGCAGAGAATAAGAGTCCGTGCAATGTTAGCTACAACCATGGCAATACTAATGCCAAATCAATGTGAGCTCTGACTCCCAGCAGCCTGTAAAGTCAATAAACCATCTCCACTTGGAAGATGGACAAATGGGGGCTCAGGAACATTAAGTAATGTGCTGTATTAGATTCCTACTGCTGCTATAACAAATGATCACAAACAGTGGCATAAAAGCAACACACATTTATTCATTTGAAGTTCTATAGTTCTGAAATGGGGTTCACTTGGCCAAAATCGAGGTGTCAGCTGGGCTCTAAGGCTCTATGGGAGAACCTGTTTCCTTGCCTTTTCAAGCTTCTGGGGCAACCTCATTCCTTGGCTCTTTCTCCCTGCCCCCTCATTTTGTGTTTTTTCCCCTGCTTTCCTCATCATGTTCCCTTCTTCCTTTTCTGTAATTGAATCTCCCTCCTGCTCACTTTATAAGGGCACTTGTGATTACATTTAGGGCCCACCCTGACAATCCAAGGCAATCTCTTCATCTCAAGATCTTCAACTTAATCACATCTGCAAAGTCCCTTTTGCCATTTAAGGTAACATTCACAAGTTCCAGGGATTGGGATGTGGACATCTTGGGGGTCATTATTCAGCCTATAACAGTAGCTGAAGCTACACAGCCAGTGAGTGACAGAAGTAGGACTCACCTTCAATTGTCTGATTACAAAATTCGTGCTTTTCGTCTTTCAAAAAAGTTGTAATTACATAAGAGATAGAAATATTTCCCTTTTAAAATGCACAACGTTATACGTAAAGCTAAAGCCTTCTTTGACACCCGCCCCTCAGTGCAATCTTGGCTTCTTCCCATCTGCAAAGATGTGTTTGCTCCACTGGTTATCACTTTGAAAGATTGCTTGTCAGAACTTTTTTTACTCATTTATATACGAAGTTATCTACTTATAATATATTTACAGCATTTTTATTGTGTGTGTCTAGCGTGTGTTATTCTGCTATTCACTCTTTCTACAGCTTGTTTTGTCTTCTAACGATATATCTTGGACACCTATCCATATGGATGCTAGAGAAGTCCCTCATCCTTTTTAATAGCTGTGTGTTATTCCATTTTACAACTGTACTCGTTTTTAACACCCCATCTCCCATTGTTCTCAGTTTTCCACTGTACATTCTTACGTATGCCTCTGGGGCCACACATGGGGATGCATCTCTAGGGTGGATATGGAGAAGTGGAATTAGTGGATGATAGATTTTAAATTGTGTTAGATGCTGTAAAATTGCCTTCGAAATGAAACACAGGCTTTTCCTGCTACATTTGCTTTCCTAACAAGAGAAGAAAAGTGTCCTGGGAAAACTTTATCATGCTCAGACCTAGATACCCGAGCTCCCTCAACAGATAAACTTCAGAAGGAGCTCCCTCACTTACTGGTGAAGTCCTGCCCTTGTCATTCATTCCAGGACAGTCTGGTCTGGTGCAACTCAGTGGGAATGGGTGCTCAAGGCGTTTGCTTCAATTAATCATCAAACCCTTTTGTTGGTAAATCGTACTACTGGAAATGGTGTTGGCATGAAGCCAGGAGCCTGGAGTTCTAGGATCCCCTCCAGTTAGGGTGATCAGGTATCTTGTATGGATGGGGCATGTCCTATATTTAGTGAATTTATCCTGTATTGACTTTGTCAGGGTTCCCTAAATGCTCTATACTCGGCTTCCTACAATAAGTTAGAAAAATTCAGTAGTTAGAGCTACCTTTCAAATGTAACTGAGTGTCCTGTATTTTTATTTGCTCAATCTGGCTACTAGATATTCCATCAGATTTTTTTTTTTTTTTAATCTGGGAGGCCGATTAACCTGGAGGTGTCAAAGAAGCCTGGGTTCAGATCCCAGCTGGATTAGTTTGCTAAAGTTGTTGTAACAAATATCTCAGACTGGGTGGCTTAAACAGCAGAAATTATCTCACAGTTTTTAGCGGGAGGTTTTAATCCTAATCCTACCCTCCGCTCTCACCCCCTGCCACCACCAAGAGTGGATGTTGGCTCCTCTTGAAAATCCCTCTTAAAGATTTGGCACCCTGGACCTGTATCCTTCAAGGCCCTGGTCAGTTACAGTCACGTTTAGGTGGAGTCTACACATGCCAGGCCCCTCCTTCACCTCCATGGCTGGTTGTGTTTTTTCCATCCTGTTACTTGCCTGGCTCCTGACCCACTAGATACTCAGACTCAGGGATTCAGCTTTGCAGGGACACCAATCCCCACTGTGCTATGGGGGTGGGTGGAGGGGCCTCCATGGCGGAAGAAGCAGCCCGTTAGTTCCTCCTCATCCTGTCTGCATCCCCTGCACCAGGACCTGAGCTCCCCAAAGACTGGGATGCTATCTCATTCATCTCTGTAATATCCTAGAGTGACTTAATTGGAGTCTCCTAATTTTAAAATTACATTCTACTTTATTCTAGAATAGAATAGAAAGTCTATTCTACTTTTCCTGCCATATGTAGCCTAAGATGTTTTATAACCACATTTTAAAAACAAGTAAATAGGCTGGGCATTGTGGCTCACACCTGTAATCCTAGCACTTTGGGAGGCTGAGGTGGGAGGATTGCTTGAGGCTAGGAGTTCAAGGCCAGCCTGATCAAAAAAAGAGACCCCATCTCCACAAAAAATAAAAATAGAGCAAACTAGTAAATATATTATGTAATACAATTGCATCGTTCTGTTTTTGCTTACATTCTTACTGTAAAATCAAATGACAGAGATTAAAGAAAGAGAAGATGAAAGCTCCCTGGCTTATAAAACATTTAAAAAATTACTTACTTTTTTATTTAATTGACAAATAAAATAGTATGTAGTTATGATGTATGACATGTTTTAAAATTTGTTCACCTTGTGAAATGGCTAAATTGAGCTAATTAACATTTGCCTTATCTCACAAATTTATCTTTTTTTTTTTTTTTGAGACAGAGTCTTGCTGTCACCCAGGTTGGAGAGTGCAGTGGCGTGATCTTGGCTCGCTGCAACCTCTGCTTCCCGGGTTCAAGCAATTCTCCTGCTTCAGACTCCAGAGTAGCTGGGATTACAGGCAACTGCCACCATGCCTGGCTAAATTTGTAACAAATTTATCATTTTTTATGATGAGTACACTTACAATCTATTCTCTTAGTGATTTTTAAGAACACAATGCCTTGTTAAGAACTGCAGTCACCATGGTGTACCATGAATCTCTTAAGCTTATTCCCTCCTGTCTAACTGAAATGTTGTGTCTTTTGACCCAAATGCCCCCAACCCCCAGACCCTAGAAACCACCATTCTACCCTCTGCTTCAATGAGTTTAACTTTTTAAGATTCCACATATAAGCAAGAAAGGACAATAAGGAGAAACAAACTAAACCCAAAGTCTTTTGATTTAAAGAAATTCATCTTTCCCCCCATGGTCAGTCTCAGAGAAGATCAAAACATCCAGGGTACAAGAATTATATCAGCATATTAAGAACACATGCAAAAACAGGGTCAAGGTTGGAAAAGACGATGCCCTCCCCAAGTGTCATCTTCTGCCCAGCCCTCCCCACCCTCCCAGTATACTGGGATCTCCATGCACAGTGGCCAGAGCTCTTTATCTAAATAATCACTACCATTTCTAAGCAGCACGATTGTTACCGGGGAGACAATGAGACACTATACTTGACTTAGTCCTAGAAAATCCAGAGGTACGGATCCTGTTACTATCTATTTTTTCTTAAAAAAAGAAATGACACTCATCAGATGGGCACAAATAACAAAGCCAGGCAAAATCTATTGTTGGCGTGAAGCAATAAAACTCATTTACAGCACATGCTTACCAGGCGATATGGGGGAACATGGTCATCTTGGCAATTCTTCTGCTAGTGATAACTGAGCAAAAGCCTGAAAGCTGGTCAT
Source organism: Homo sapiens (assembly GCF_000001405.40). Classification (NCBI taxonomy): domain Eukaryota; kingdom Metazoa; phylum Chordata; class Mammalia; order Primates; family Hominidae; genus Homo; species Homo sapiens. Next base: position 174,395,014 of record NC_000005.10, on the reverse strand, counting down.
TAGGCGAATTGGTAAATCAACTGCGTCATGATTACGCAGCAGATTATTGCTCGGGAATGACCACTAATGAACTAGAGCTACCTGTATCTCAAAAACCATGTTGACTGTGAAAAGTAAGCTGCAGAAAGATGTAAATATTAGGATGCTGTTATATCAAGTTTAAACACATGCACAACTCAAAGCTGTACAGTTTTGGAGACCTATCTTTTCATGGTAAGCATGCAACAGTGTCACCACCTTCAGAGAAGGTGGAAATCCAATCAAGTAGGGGTAGCCAGGGAGAGCCAACCATATGTGTAGTGGTTGATGTCTCTAAAAGTACATCAGAAGGAATCAAGCAAAAGTCCGGGTTTCACAGTGGTAGGTGGTGACTAATGAATGCTTCGTATATTATTGGCTACCCTATAATGTCTGCTTCAAATACTTCAAAACAATAAAACAAGAAACGCTAATTCATCACCTACTGGATGTCAGGCTATGTTATATGTGTCACTCACCTTTAATTAAAGTATCCCGTGAAGGAATTATCTGTATCTCTGTTTTACAGGTGAGCAAACAGGTTTCCAGGCATTCGCATTCCACGATTTGCCAAGGCCAACAACACACTGGTAAGGATGGAGCCAGGTCTCCAGGCTGAGTTTGTTCAATTTAAAAATGCATGTTCTTTCTACTACAGCCACAGCCTCTAAAGACAAACTGTTTTCATGAGTCTGTCTCCCATGACTAAGCTGTCCTCCTACTCCCTCTTCATATCTCTCCTCCCATCTATCCCTGCCTCCTGGTACCAGACCCTGTCTTCTGCCCTCACCCTCATCCCTTGCCTGGCGTCAGTGGCCTCAGCCTAGCCTCAGAGCAGTTAGGAGTCTCTGGTTTAAGGTAAAAAGTCTACTGTATCTGGGTTGTTTCTAGATCCCATCTGGGCAGGTTCTCCACCCTATGACACTGGGTGCTTGTGGGCTTTGGCTGAAGCACATGGGCTAGTGGGAAGGCCATTGATCCTGCTCTGCCCTGATCACTGATTCTCACTTTTTTTTCCCTAAAATCCTCTTGAGAGTCAGACAACAAGATCCTCTGTCCTTGTCTGTCTCTCTGTCTGTCTGTTGGCCACAGTCCTTGTTCAGACCACAGCCTCGCTCACTGGGCTACAGCCTCATCAATCTTGCCTCCAGTTCCACCATCTTCAGCCTGAACCCCACACTGGTACTGATAGCCAGAATGATCATTCAGCCATTCAACAAACATCACTGAAGAACTGTTGGGCACCAGAGTTTCAGAGGTTGAGAAAATATATGCCTTTGAAAAACTTAAAGTGTAAGAAATCTCAAATATATCTTGGAAAAAAATGGACACTTCTTTGCTTAGAAATGCTCAGTGACTTCATAAGCCCATTCACCAGACAATCAGAGGGAGGTCCTTGGAAATAGGCATTAGATAAGCTCTCCAGAGGAATCAAACACTAATGTTTGAGAACCCTGGCCTAAGAGGGTAAAGCCCAAGGCTCTTAGATTGGATTTGATGGTGTTAATAATCTGCCTTCTATCAACCCTTCCATTTTCCTCTTCATCCTCTCCCCTCCCAGGAGTCCTTGGTTTTGACTACATTTACCTGTAGATCACTTGTTTGGATCACCCCAGATCTAACCTGTAGTAATATTTCATAATAAATATGTCATCACTCGAAGAGCACAATGATTTAAAGAAGACGTGCAAAGATACATATATATGTATACACACATATTTAACATATATTATTCTTCTCATCTGCAGTTCAACCCAACAGTTGTTTTCCACTGAAATATACAAACGATTGAGGACATTGACAACATAGTGCCTTTCTAGAAAGATGGCCATGACATCGCTGTGATCACTGCTTACATTCCACGCTACCTGATTTGCATCATGTAGATGTCGCTGCTGTGACATTGATAGCCTGTGACTCCCCAGCCTTGTGAATCATGTCAGCGCACATAATGTGCATGAATGAAATGGAGTGTTTTTAGGATGGAATGCCACTAAAATCATCCTGGGTTAATCCTGTCATCTGGCGGTTTCCAGTGTCTGGACATCTGGATGAATGATCTGCTTGAGAGCCCCCCAAATAGAGTGGAGGCAGGGATCAGCTCTCTCACACCTCTGAGCTGCTGTACGTGCTCATCCTTCTCCCTAAAATGCTTGCCCTCTGTGTTCTCCTGGCTGCCTTCTGTGCTTTATTGAAGCTGTCTCCTCAGCATGGCAGTCCTTGCTCTCCCTTCCCTCCTTTTTCCTCCCAAAGCACATTAGAGCTTCCTTTTTTGTCATCTGAATTACAGCCTGTGGGGGGACACTGCATTCATTCTTACCCTGGACTCCGCTAGCTCCAGTGTCGTGTGCTCACATGGGAACTCTAGTCCCTGCATAGGATCCTGAAACATTTTGGGGTGTTCTATTTCCCTAGACCCTTGGTGAGTTCTCCTTTATAGTTTCACAGGTCCCTCTAACACTCTCCATACATGCAAATATTTTTCCCTCCTCCTTTGAGAAAAAGATGGCAACAAACACAGATAGAATGATTAATGATTATTCTAAAGTAAGCCATAGCACAGTATGTGTGCATATTTTCCAGAAAGCTAAATTCACTTGTCTGCAATAACATAAAATATGATGCTTGTAAAGTTGAAATAAATATTAGGTGTGATACTTGTAAAGCATGAGCAGTGTGTGTTTAAAATCATGCAGCTAACCCAAATGTTCATCAGCTGATGAGTGGAAAAATGTAGCGGATCCATACAATAGAATATTATTCAACCGTAAAAAGGAATGAAGTACTGATTCATTCTACAACTTGGATGAAATTTGAACATTATGCTGAGTGAAAGAAGCCAGACACAAAGGACACATATCATATGATTCCATTTATATGGAATGTCTAGAATAGGCAAATCTATAGAGACAGAAAGAAGATTAGTGGTTGCCAGGGGTTGGGGGAAGTGACTGTTTAATAGGTATAGGGTTTCTTTTGGAGTAATGAAAATATTTTCAAATTAGATGGTGAAGTTGGTTGTACAGCTTTATGAATATACTAAAAAACACTGAATTGTACATTTTAAAAGGGTGAATTTTATGGTATGTGAATTATATCTCAATTTTTAAAATTATGCGGTTACTAAATTGCTGCTAAAGAATAGAGAGGCAGTTGCTCATTGAGCCTGCCTAAAACGTGGTAATGGCCCAAAGATTGGGTGTCATTGATGCCAATCATGTCTGTCCCAGGAGAGGTTACAAGAAGGTACAGAACACCCTCCTTCCTTGAAGCAACCTCCTGGTTGTGGGGAATACCTTCGGGTCTCAGGTTCAACACCCCCACCCCACCCTACCAAGTAGAAAGATTTCATATAAGCCCAGAAATATGAAAAAGAAGAAATCTCAAAAGCAAAGCAATAACATTAGACTTGCCATGTATGTTTCATTTGCCCAGGATAGTCTCATTTTACATCTATAATCCCAGGGAAGTTGTTAATGTTGCCCTCTTCCATTCTTTAAATTATAGGCTTGGGTGGGAAATTATTTGGTCACCCTAATAGAACCTGTAGGGGAAATAGCTCTGTGTTATGCTGTGCCATATTGAATACAAAATAAAAGGCAGCAGAGCAAGTCGTTGACCATCTTCCATGTCTCGTTGTGTTCTGGAGCGTCCATCTCAGCGGTTGTACTGTAAGAACCAAAGCCTCAAAAGGGAGCTCCCTTCATTCTGGCAAAATGCTCGAGTCTAGTCTCTAAGGAGGACTTACCTGCGCCGGCAAGTTCATGCGGCTTCTCTTTGCACTGAATGCTGCCTCTGGGATGAAGGCTACTTCACTTGGTCCTGAAAGATCTGCGCTGGGGTGAAAACTCTGTCCTGTTGCAGTGACAACTCCCATCACCTCCACCAGCCACTGTTGCTCCTGGCCATCATGGCATCACAGTGGCGCAGTTACCTTCTGCCACAGAGGCCTTCTGGAGCTCTGAAGTGCTGTGGGGTGTAGGGTGAGGATTCTCTCCATTCCTATGCTCTTCCACGGTTACTGGCTTGGGGCTTGGGGCTGGCTCAGTTAGTCACTGCCACTGACTTGCCAGAACAAGGAAGACCCTCTTCCCCTCAAGCCCTGTACTGGGATCTGGTTTCTTGCTCCAGGCTTCTTCCTCCCAGCCTATAGAGAATCCTCCCTTGGGGGTCCACTGACCCCTTCTGAAATGTGGCATCCATTGTTCCCCTGGGACACCACCTTCTTCAGAGACATCTGTGTAGGTCTGAATGCATTGTGGACATATCGTTCAGGCTTTAGGTTTTATCCTAGGAGAAGTGGGGTGGACGATGGGAGAGAAGAGGAAAGACGCAGAGAGAACCATTTCCAAACTGGTACTTCAAGGAGAAGATCATTGGTTAATTCTTTAGCAGATATGCTTGCTTCTTATCTCTGGCTCCACCAGGAGCCCTGGAATATATTTGTATTTTGCATAGTATTATGTGTTTATGCATCTGTTTTCTCCCCTTAACCACGAGCCCCTTGAGATCAGGGACCATTCCTCACTGTATCTACCTCCTGGCAGAGGGTCTGGCATATAGAGATGCTAATGAATACTTGTCAAATGGATGCATTAATTGAAATTCAGTTACTTATCACAATCTTCCCTGCCAAACATGTACAGCTCTGGATTTACTAATGAATAAGAAAACCGACTTCATTATCAGTGGAAGTTCTGCTAAACTGTCAAAAGAGAGAAGAGTTGTGTTTTATAATTAATTTTAGTTCACAGAAATCAGCAAATGTCTTCTACAAACTTTGATTAAATCAGAGAAGAACCCAGAATGTGGTCTGCCTGCTTTAAAGGAGTGAGCTCTAAATCTTACTCATGGGTTGAAATAATGAGATACAGAGTTTAGTTCAATTTATTGCTGAACACCAAAATTTGACCAAAGACCATGACTGGCATGTGATATATTTCTTTTCTTTTGCTTGACCTGAAGATGCCTAGAGAGAATGCTAAAGGGTAGTAAAGAATGTCAGCTGACCACTGACAGCCAACTAGAAAAAACTGCAGCATGCACATTTTCCCTCTTCCAGAAGAAAACATTATTTGTTTAGTTTTGCTTTATTTTGATTTTTTTTGGGTGGGAAGCTGGCTAGTATGCATATAAAGAGGGGGTACAATGCATGTATTAGACTCCTATTATTTTTGCCTCCCAGTGTTCCCGCTGCCTGTGAATAGTGCTTTTCTTTTTTTAGGAATCATTTCTCCCTCTTCTCCAAAGATGGGGCTCCATCAGTAAAGCCATATTCTCCCAGGAGCCTGCTCTTTGACTGTCTAGGGGTGAGCCCTCAGACATGAGCTATATCAATTAGAGCCCTCTCCCAGGGTTAGAAACAGTCAAGGAAATTGTGAGTGTGAGGCTTGAGGGAGATTGAAAGTCATATTTATTGCCACATGAAGGAAAACCAATTAAGTCAAATTGATTAAGGTTTGCACAGTATATCTGTTTCAATCCTTTTGTTTTTAATCTACCTGTTTCAAATTTAAAGTGAGTCTCCTATAATTTTTTATCGGGTTATAATTTTTTATCCACTCTTTCAATCTCTGTCCATTGACTGGATATTTACACCATTTACATTGAAGGTAATTATTGATATGCCAGCATTCAACTCTGTCATTTTATTATTTGTTTTCTATTTGTTTCTTCTGTTTTTCATTCCTCCATTTCTCTTTTCTTGCCTTCCTGCAGGTTACTTAAATATATTTTAGGATTCCATCTTGACTTATTTTTAGTGTTTTGGGGTAATTTCGTATGATTTTCATAGTTGTTTCTCTAGGTGTAACAACATACATATATGACAACAGTCTAATGTTGTCAATATTCTGCCACTGTAGGTGAAGTGTGAGAATTTTGCTTTCATTCTGATTTTGGAGAGGGAAGGATTGGATAGTGACCATATACAGACCTTTACCTTCCCTAGTTTTAAATATTATTTTCTTGGATATCAGATAGTATTATAATTTTTGTTTTAATCTTCAAACATAATTTATAAACTGCATGAGGAAAGGATAGCTTATCATATATGCCCATTTCTCAAACTCTTTCCATTGTTTCTTCCTCCATCCTGTTGTCCTTAGTCCTGATGCTCTGAGAGTCCTCCTTTAATCTTCTCTTTTCTGTTTGAACAATTTCTTTTACACAATCTTTGAGTTAGAGAAAATTATTTTAGTATTCTCTCCTCCCAGAATATTTTATTTCTCCTTTATTCCTTGAGAGTTGTTTCAGGATATAGAATTTGTGGTTGATAATTTTTTTCTTTCAGTACTTGAAAAATATTGTGCTGCTTCCTTCTGGCCTCTGGTTTTAGATGAGAAATCCATTATCATTCAAACTGGTGTGTCCCTATCAAAGATGTCATTTCTCTCTGGTGACTTTCCAAATTTTTTCATTTTTCTTTTTAATTTTCAGAAGTCTAATTAAGATGTATCCTGGTGTAGATTTATTTTGGTTTAAAAATCTTTATTTTGGAATTTACTCAGCTTCTTGGATCTGGAGGTTTGTATCTTTCCATGGGTTTGGGGAGTTTTCAGCCATAATTTATTTGAAGGCTTTTTAACTCCACTTTTTTTTCCTTTTGGACTGTGACAATATAAATGTTGGCTATTTCATTATTGTCCGACAAGTCCTGAGGCTTTGTTCATTTTTTTAAATGTATTTTCTTCCTGTTGCTTGAATTGGGTGAATTCTACTGTTCTGTTCTCAAGTTTACCGATTCTGTCCTCTGTCATCTCTACTCTAATATTGAGCCTATCCAGCATGTGTTTATTTCTGCTATTATATTTTCCCATTCTATAATTTCCATTTGGTTCTTTGGTTCTTTTTCTTTTCTTCTTTTTCCTTTTTTTTTTTTTTTTGTGGTGGAGTTTTGCTCTTGTCACCCAGGCTGGAGTGCAGTGGCGCGATCTCTGCTCACTGCAACCTCCATCTCCCGGGTTCGAGTGATTATCCTGCCTCAGCCTCCCGAGTAGCTGGGACTACAGGTGCATGCCACCATGCCCAGCTAATTTTTGTATTTTTAGTAGAGACAGGATTTTGCCATGTTGGCCAGGCTGGTCTCAAACTCCTGACCTGAAGTGATCCGCCCACCTCAGCCTCCCAAAGTACTAGAATTACAGGCATGAGACACAGCACTCAGCCCATTTGATTCTTTTTTATAGTTTCTATTTCATTGCTGAGGTTTTCTGTTTTGTTTTGTTTTTTATGTGTTTCAAGATTTTGTGATTGTTAAAGCATTTTTATGACAACTAGTTTAAAATTCTTATCAGATTTATCAGATATTTTCAACATCTTGGTATTGGCCGCAGTCTTTCCTCATTCAACTTGTTATTTTGTGTGGTTCTTAGTATGACAGCTGATTTTTTATTTTTTACTGTAGCCTGGACATTTTGTTTATTATGCTAAGAGGCTCCAGGTTAGACTTAAATATTTTATTTTAGCATGTAGGTCTTAGCCTACTTTTATGGGCTGTGGTTCAAATGGCAATTTAATTCTTAGAGCATTTGCAGTATTATTTTTATCTTCTTTGTTTATCTGGTGCCAGGAAAGCTCTCACTGGTTCCTGCCAGGGCTGCCCGAGGGGACACAAAGAGTTTCCCCAGGCTGGGCCACTTGTGTGCTTCTTGGTGGGTAAGGCATGTGGTGGGATCACCCTATGGCTGCCTCCTCGCTGCCCCGGTGCTTCTTGGCAGGGAAGGAAAATCTTGGACCTACCAGGTCAAAGAGCCTTCCTGGGCCAGGATAACTGCTATAGTGGGGTCTCTCCTGTCAGCTCTTCCCACCTTCCTCAGTATCTGTCAGTGGAAAAGGGGTGTCCCAGGCCTGGTGGGGAAGGGGAGTGCCTCCTTTGGCCACTGTGTCTGGCAGAACTCCCAGTCAGTGTCCCTGCTGGAGGTGTCAAGCTCTCCTGAGGTCTTCAAAGGGAGACTCTATTAAATCCAGGGTGGGAATGAACCTAGCTGACTGCTTTCTACTGCTGGGTTAGAGGTTGGGAAACGTCGGGTCTGGGTGCTCTCTTTCTCTGTTAAGTGGAGGGACACAAAATACCCTGTTGCTGTGCTATTCTTGGGGTTCCCAACTAGCTTGTCTTTCTTTTTTTTAACAGCATTTCAGAGTTCTCTTTTGATTATTATTCAGAGTTCTCCAGAGAAACACAACCAACAGGGTGTGTGTGTGTGTGTGTGTGTGTGTGTGTCTGTGTGTGTGTATACAGAGAGAGAGAGACTTATTTTAAGGAATTTACTCATGCAGTTGTGTAGGCTTTGTGAGTCCAAAATCTAATGGGGTAGGCTGGTAGGCTGGAGATTCAGGGAAGTGTTGCAGTTCAAACCAAAAACAATTTGCTGGCAGAATTACTTCTTGCTCAGATATCTTAGTCTTTGTCCTCTTAAGGCCTTAAACCAAGTGGACGAGGCCCATCCATCCCAAGGAGGGTAATCAGCTTTACTCATAGTTCAAGCATTTAAATGTTAATCTCATCCAAAAACCAACCTCACAGGAATATCTAGAATAATGTTTGACCAAATATCTGGGCACCATGGTCAGCCAAGTTGACACAAAAAATTAACCGAGTCATCTCTTGTTCCATTTCCAGGATTCATCCTTGTGCTTAGCAGGAAGGAGTACGGGAAAACATGTCTACACTCTGTTGACTTGACTGGAAGATCAAAAAAATAGGAAGGCCGATTTGTAGTAAGAGAATGAAGCTGACCCACAGAGAAAAACAGGAATGAGACCCCAAGAGAAAATGGGTTTGTGTCCTGAGTCCATCTGTCCCCTTCCCTTACTGAAACTTGGTCTTCCAAGCCCTTTGTTGTTTCATTAGTTTGACTGGAGTCTTTTTTTTTTTAGATGGAGTTTTGCTCTTGTTGCCCAGGCTGGAGAGCAATGGTGCGATCTTGGCTCACCGCAACCTCTGCCTCCTGGGTTTAAGCAATTCTCCTGCCTCAGCCTCCCAAGTAGCTGAGATTACATGTGCCCGCCACCATGCCCAACTAGTTTTTTTGTATTAGATGGGGTTTCACCATGTTGGCCAGGCTGCTCTCGAACTCCTGACCTCAGGCGATCCGCCCACCTCGGCCTCCCACAGTGCTGGGATTACAGGCATGAGCCACCACGCCTGGCCTGACTGGAGTTTTTGTCTCTCACAACAACTCAAGAGCCTGGGAAGTTTGATTAACAAGACATCGATGGCTGGACTAAAAGCTCAGCTATCTCAGCAGCAGTTATTCTCCTCTGACATGACATCTTCTTCTCTGTCCTGGGATGAGGATAGATCTGGAGAACAAGCCCTTGGCTGGGCCAGTAGGAGTGGATTCCTAGCAACCAGATTGGATTAGGGTCTCTCTCAAAGGAAGAGCAGGAATTATGTCTGAGGAGTGGGGAAGACCCGTCATGGAGAGACGTTATTAGGATCCTGTCTGATGGCTAAATTGGGGACAGGGTCAGGAGACAAGGATCAAGAACACGCTGAGGTGTCGCCTCATAACGGCAATGCAGAGAGTTTCACATTCCTTAGGCATGGTGGCTTATGGATAAAAAAACATCTATCCAGACTATTACTATTCCAAGTTTATTGATGGATTCATAATATCCTCATTGCCCCAATCTGCAGCTCCTATTTCTATGAGGCCTCCCTGAATGCACCATAAGAATTTTAAAATATCTTCAACTTTGAACCCAGGGCTATTGGATTTCCCATGACTCCAAAGCCGAGTGCTTTGCCCAGGAGAAAACATCCATGAGAAAATATTCCCAGACCAGTTGGGTCCTTATAACCAGACTAGCTTTCTCGATGAGGTGAAAAACCAGTCAGAATTGGAGCCCTTCAGACTGTGCCTGACAATTTAACCTTTACGTTTCAGCATAAAACACCAAAGGGAAAAGGGGAAAGTGGGAGAAACAGATGTCTTTCTCAAAAAAAAAAAAAAACAAAAAAAAAACCATGAAAAAAGAGAGAAAGAAAAAACACACCACTCTAACCTCAACTTTATTTGCATTTTATCCATTTTATATATTTCATTTTATAAAAACAGTCAAGCCCCAACCACAAGATTTCATAGATAAGAGGAAAAAGCCGGACTGTGCTTAATTCAATATTTTAGAGAAATGCTCTTATGGGCAGTCAGCAAGCGGCGTCCCAGCCAGACCAAGTCTGCTGACGACTCTGAAAAATGTGACTGATTCACACTGGGGACACCACATCTCATAACACACCGTGTGTGCAAGAGGCTGTAATTACGAAATGTTTGCATTAAGGAACGTGGGTGCCTAAATACAGATGTTCCTCGTTGACATTAATTGGACGTGACGTGGCTTTGGCCTGCTTTATAACAGTTGCCGGAACAGGCAGCCCGCTTCGGCGTGCGTTCTCTGAAGGCCTCTGTTTCATATCGCCTTGATTAGAAGGGGGAGTGGGAGCGGGAGAGGACTGTGCATTAACAGTGGGCCCTCTTCTGTCCCAGGACTTGGTGAAAAATGCCTCTCAATTGAAGGGGCACTGTTCTCAGCGGCTGACTGTGCATTTTCATTCAGTTCTTTCTCTTTCTATTTAAAAGGGAAAGTTCTTCCTTGGTATACCCACCTCTGCAATGAAGATGGAGTGAAGGTGCCATTTGTTCTCCTGCTACTTCTTATTGTGTCCAAGATGTGCTGTCTGCCTACAAACATCCACAAAGAAAGCCCTTCTCTTGCCTTCTCTGAAGCTCCAGGCTCTCTACCCACTGACCTCCCTTCCACCACAGACACTCAGAGCCTTCAAATGAAAAAGGCCATTTCTCTACAAGAGTCAGTAATTGACACACACACATGAATTGGGTACCTACTTTGCCTGAATTCAACTACAAATAGAAATGTAAACAAACAGGTGCAGACTTTCTGTGGCTGATGTGTACATTTCTGTTGCCTTATGGATCTATTTTCCAAAACAGAGCAGTAATTGATGGTGTTATTGCTGTCGTTTTATGATTGCTGTTGTTGTTTTAAGATTGCTAAATTTCTGTAAAGACATGAATCAGGTGACCAGTTGCATCAGGGTTTTATAAACCACTGGGTGAATAGCAGACAAAACTCATGCTCATCGGTGAGCTGTAACCATCTTTGATGAGATAAGCACAGAAATTGAGAGTAGAATTTGTTTTTTTCTATAAATGTTTACAGTTATTTGACATTTCTACACCATTTAAGCTCATGACCAGTGGACTTATCTGGCTGAATAGGGTATAATAATATAGGAGCTTGTAGGAGCTTGTTTCATGTAATTTAGAAAGAAAGCAATGAGGCATTGGTTGAAAATCTGTGCCCCAGGCAATGTTCAGAGAGCTTTGCAGATGGAGGTAGTGAGGGCAGGGGTTAACAGGGTGGGCCCTGGAGTCACGCTGCCTGGGGTCACCCAGTTTACCTATGGGACATGTGATCCAGGCAATCTGACCCTCAATTTCCTCATCTGTAAAAAGGACTCTAATAGTTTGGAGGAGGATGTAAATGAGGTGATGCATATACAGCCTTCACTGCAGTGCTTGCTGTAAAGAAAATTAGTACTTAATAAAGCTGTCATTGACATGCAAACTTCATTCCACAGAATATTGTGAAATAGCCTTAGAGGTGTGAATCTATCTGTCATCCTCTGTATGAATGTAGGTATGAATGCATCTATCTCTCAAGCCTCAAGGCTATTCTGTCAAAATAAAAAATCATCACCTATTTATTTATTTAAAACCAATAGGCCATTAGATTAAAATGAGATTATATTCAACATAACATGAAGACACACTTTTACAAAGCAAACGAATCGAGACTTTAATGGCATAAAAGAGAGACACAAAGGTCACAGTGACGGCAGTAACAACACAAGCTAGGCTATGAGGAGAGATGAGCTCAGGCCTTCCTGGGTTTGGCGGCTTTTTTTCTGAGCCTAGAGATCTGCCTTTTGAATCCTCCAGCATTTCTGCCTCCCTTACAGGTTTGCCCTTTGACCCTTCTCTTCCACTTATCTACCCTTGGGTAACAAACCACCCCAAACTTAATGATATACAACACCAACAATCATTTCTTTTGCTCATAATATGCAAATTTGGGCAGGGCTCAGTAGAGCCAGCTCTTTTCTGCTCCCCAGGATGTCAGCCAGGATGAGTCAGAGACTGGGGGCTGAGGTCACACGCAGACTCACGCACTCACTTCCTGGTCTGGTGGTGGCGACCGGTCTGCCTCTGTGGCTGCTTAAACTTTCTCACACCATGGGTTCCAACAGCAAGCACTGCAAGAGAACAAGACAGGGCCGGGCACGGTGGCTCGCGCCTGTAATCCCAGCACTTTGGGAGGCCGAGGCTGGCGGATCACGAGGTCAGGAGATTGAGACCATCCTGGCTAACACGGTGAAACCCCGTCTCTACTAAAAATGCAAAAAAATTAGCCGGGCGTGGCTGGGCGCGGTGGCTCACGCCTGTAATCCCACCACTTTGGGAAGCCGAGGAGGGTGGATCACGAGGTCAGGAGATGGAGACCATCCTGGCTAACAGAGTGAAACCCCGTGTCTACTAAAAAAATACAAAAAATTAGCCTGGCCTGGTGGCGGGCGCCTGTAGTCCCAGCTACTCAGGAGGCTGAGGCAGGAGAATGGCGTGAACACGGAAGGCGGAGCTTGCAGTGAGCCGAGATAGCGCCACTGCACTCCAGCCTGGGCGACAGAGCAAGACTCCGTCTTAAAGAAAAAAAAAAAAAAAAAAGAGAACAAGACAGAAGTGTATCACATTTTTATACCTAGCCTTGAAAGCTACATAGTGTTCCACCCACATGTTCTGTTGGTTGAGAAAGTGACAAGCCCATCTAAGCTCAAGAGGAAGGAACATAGACCCCCACCTATCAATGACAGGACTGACAACGGCACTTGCCAAAACAGCCTGTGGGATGGGCTTGTTTGGGAAGGAATTCTTCTTCTTTTTAAATTTTAAATCCCAAAGCTTTGGACCTGGAGTTGCATATTTTTGCATTTATATCCTTCCCCAAATGCATTTTTTTCAATATGAATTTATTGGAAATCCTTACCGTCAAGATGGTTATAGTCTAGCGGGAGAAACACACGAGTAAACAGATGACAAAAGAAAAAAAAAGCTGAATATCAAGTATTTTGTTAGAGGAAATTAGAGAAGGCCCCACCTAAGCCCAGCTGGGAAGTCAGAAAGTCTCCAGGAAGAGGGGTCTCTGAGTTGAGTAATCAAGCATAAGGAGAGGGAAACTGTAATGATGAATTTTATGTATCAATTTGGCAAGGCAATGGTATTCAGATATTTGATCAAACACCAATCTAGATGCTCCTGCAGGTGTTTTTTAGATGAGATTATCATTTAAATCAGTACACTTTGAGTAAAGCAGATTATCCTCCGTAATGTTCGTAGACTTCATCCAATCTTGAAGACCTTAAGAAAAAAAAAAATGAGGTCCCCAAGAAAGAAGGAATTTTTCAGCCTGCCTTCAGACTCAAGATACAGCATCAACTCTTCCCTGAGTCTACAGCCTGCCAAACTGCCCTGCAAATTTGGGAATTACCAGTGCCAACAATCATGAGTCAAATCCTTAAAATGAATTTCTCCTCTCCCCCTCTTTCTTCTTTCTGTCTTTGTCTCTTTCTCTGCACATGTGCACGTGAACACATGTGCATACACACACACACACACACACACACACACACCCCTACTGAAGAACCCTGGCTAACACCGGAGCTAGACATAGAGGAGAAAGGAAAGCAAGGGTCATTCTAGAATGAAAAACCCCCACAAAACCAGCATGAGCAAAAGCACAGGAGGGAGACATACATGAGAACTGTGGGAGTGTGCACTGCAGTTTCTGTAAAGGTTCTTAATGAGTGCCTAACTGTCAGATTCAGATATGACAGAAGAATCACTAAGCTAGGCTACTTTGGAATCAACTTATTATCACAGCTCCTTGTAGAAAGTAGGGGCAGGTATTCAGAAACATCAATCCTATCCCAGTGAGTTCTAGTTTTATCTGTTTCAGGGATTTCCAATACTACTATCTTAAGTGCTCCTTCTGATGCCATTAGGCTAATTCAAAGGAGTCAGTAACTTTTCTTGATCATTTTTCAACCCCCACACCCCCGGCCAAAAACTAAATTAGTAAATAACATCTATGGACCTATCATGCAGACGACATTGTGCTAGTCTTTATTTAGGAAGAAAAAGAAAAATAAAGCAAATCCCTGCCCCTAAATTGGTCACAGCCCAGAAAATTCAAAACAAAACAAAACAAACCAACAACTGGTAAGTTTTGGCACTCTATTGTTAATGATCAGTTATCTCACACTAAACACATTTTTTCTTACTCTGTTTCATTATCATCACCATCACCAAACAATTACTGAATGTCAGATGGATGGAGGCATGGATGGATGGAAGAATGGATGGATAGATGGGTGACTGTATAGACGAGTGAGTGGATGGATAGATGGATGGATGGATGGATGGATGGATGGATGGATGGATGGATGGATGGATAAATGAGTGGATAGACAGATGGACGGATGGATGAGTGGATGGATGGAAATACCTCTAAAGGAAGAAGATGCTGGAAGCTCTGTTTTTTAAGGACAAGACAAGCCCAGAACACCTTCAGTGCCACAGAGAAACAGTCAATATAGTGTCTCCAGTATTGTTTCTAACACCCTCAGGAGTAGATATTATCATTCTTATTTTACAAATGGAGGTACATCTGTTGAAGCAGTTAGAATCCCCTAGTCAATACTCTAGTTAGTTGCAATGCAGTTAGGAAAGTGCTGCAGTGTGGGTATATGCAAAATTTTATAGCATATGGTAAGGTGAAATTACCTGCTTTTGAGAACAAAAAATTTTAAACCATTTTCTACCAAATTGGAGGCATAATTGGGCACTGAAGAAGCTGGTGTGTTAGAGATGGTATTTAAAATGTGCCTGGAAGAGGGAATGGGATTTCTCCTGAGAGTGAGTAACGGAAGGGCATTGTAGGCAGAGGGTGTCCCAGGGTGTGCACAGGCTTTGGGTGTGAAAGTGCATGGCATGTTCAAACAATGACAAGTTTCCTTACAGTACTGGTAAACCCACGTAAGAGAGGAGGAAAACGAGTTAGGAAAAGAGGTTGAGACTAAGTGATGCAGAGTCACGAATGGTAAGACCTACCTGAGGGTAATGAGAAGGCAGTGAAAAGTTAAAAAAATAAAATGAGGACGTAAGTGAGATAGGCTCTATGTCTCAGTAAGATAACAATAGCACCCAAGGTAGCATAGATTATAGTAGGAAGAAACTGGAGACAAGAAGCTCAAGTCACTGAGAGTTATTTAAAGAAATTGAATTATCTTAATTCAGCATTTACTTTTGCCAGTATATATATCTACAAGACAGAAAATGATTTACAATTCGGTTAAATTCAGGAGTGGGTGGAAATGGTCGATTCGATATTTTTAATCAACCAAAAAAAGTTTGGCATAAAGTTAGCCAGGCTTTTTGATTTGTGGGTGGTTAAACTTAACCCTCTTTGAGTCAGTATTTTATTGACTCTTTGGCAAAGCACTATTTTATATTTTTGAGAAAAATCCACTTCACAACTTTCACATGAAATTGGAGGACTTGCTGTCCATCAAATAGTTCTTAGTAACTTGAATTTCAATACTTTTATGTAAAGGAATCAAAAACATTTAAATCAAATTTTCTTTCAAGCAGACATCAACTTCAAAGTGATGGGAAAAGTAGATTGACAAAATGTGTTAAGGAGTTTGGTGGGATAACATTATTTTGGAGAAAAATTATTTTAAAAGGTACATAGTGAAAGCAAAATAAAAGAATTCACCTACGTTCCAATCCAAATGCCAAGAAATCCAATCCTGAATCCACCACCTCTCCTCAAGTTTCAATATAATTTGAATCCCAAATGTAATTCTAATGATTTTGACCAGGTGGAACCAATTTTTCTCACCTATTCTCTGCTGTGGGTTAGCAACCAAGTGAAAGCCCACGTTTTGAGACTCACTCTGTGGCAGGCATCCTCCCACACAGCCCCCAATGATCTCTTTCTCCTGGTATTCCCACCCTTGAATGCCCCATAGTGCTATGGTTAGTCTGTGTGACCACTGCAAGTGGCAAAGGTGATGGCATGTCACTTCAGAGACTAGGTCATAAAAGACTGTGGCTTCCGTCTTGGGGACTGGCTTTCTGTCTCTGAGACTGCTTACTCTGGGGGAAGCATGCATGCCTATGGAGAGGCCTGGGGGGCAAGGCACCCAGCAGCGAGTGAGGAAGACCCAGTGAAGAATGGTATTGCCTGAAATAAATCATGTGAGTGAACTTGAAAGCAAATTCCACGCCTCAGTTGAGTCTTCAGATGACTACAGCCCAGACTGACAGCTTCACTGCAACCTCATGAGAGACCCTGAGCCACTCCAGGTTCCTGACCCTTGAACACTGGGAGATAATAACTGTTTGTTATTTTAAGCTGCTAAATTTTGAGGTAACATGTTATACAGCAATTGCTAACTGTTATACCCTCTGCTATGAGAGTTTTCTTTTTTTTTTTTAACATTATAGTATGGTTTGATTTTCTTTAGAGCTATTTTAATTTGCCTTCAGACCTAACCCTCCTTTGTGTAAGTTGAATGGAATGTGAGACTGCCTACCAGTGACTCAGTTTAAATATATATATATATATATATATATATATATATGTATCCCAGGTGTGTTCCAGCCCTAAACCAATGGGCTTTGTTTCTCCTCTTTCTGAACTGAAAGATTATCTCATTAACTCTTCTTCCTGCCTTCGAATAGATGTGTATTTAAGGCTGTAAATTTCCCTCTAGGTGTTTCAGTAATAATGTTTTCATTATCTGCTATAAATATTTGGTAGTTTTCATTATAATTTCTTCTTCGACTAATTATATACAGTGGGTTTTTTTTTAGTTTCTAAATGTGTGTTGTTTGTGTATATGTGTAAGTCTATATATATATTATATGCACATACCACACATATAATTTTTTCTGCTTTTTGCTTTGAATTTTATCACACTGCAGTTAGAGAGCATTATCTCTATGATATCGATTCTTCAGTATTTGTTAAGGCTTCTAATAGGCTTGATATCTACTAAATAAATATTTGCAAATATTTCATGTGAGTGTGAAATACATACATATTATATTTATTGAATATAAGGCCCTAAATATGTCAAATATATGTCAAATCCCATCAAGCTTGTGAATGTGCATATTAGTCAAATTTTTTATATCATTTATATATTCTTAATTTTTTCTGTCTTGATCTCTCCACTTATGAGAGGTACATTAAAATATCCTAAAGGAGATTGTAAACTAGTCAATTCCTAATTGAATTTCTAATGTTTTTTTCCCATTGTGCAACTATATATTCATTTATTTAAATTTGACCATGTAAACAATAATTACTGAAAGACACATAGGTAAACATATTTAGCACAAGCCTAGACAAGATTGAGATTTATTATAGGGAAAAAACAAACTAAGCACACACACAAAGCCTTCCAAAATCTTCTCGAGTGTGTATGTGGCATTCCAATTTCCTAAGTCTCCTTGTTCATACAAGTCAGTTTCTTTACCTGCTTCTCATCCCAGCCCCGACCTCATAGAAGTAAATGTTAATTAACTTGAATTGAATAATCATTAAATATTTGGAACAACAATCCAGGGGCCTAGAAAGATAATAGGTAATCACTTATTATTAGCATTATTAATAGTGAATTTTACACAAACCGAGGGGAAAAGTGAGTCAATGAAACACCTCATTCCCCAGGTACTCCAACTTCCTGTGACTGTATCAAATGCCAATGATCTGTTTAACAAAATAATTCCAGGTCCTAGACATTGATCACTCACTTCTAGCAAGTTTCTATATGCAAATTCTAGTCTAATAATAAATCATTTCATTTTTACTTAAAATATGACTATTGTTATTATCATAATTATTTTGTTATTATGGCTACTCTTACTATCGTACGCGGGAGTAAGAAGTTTCACTTCCTGAACACACTTCTTTATTTCTAAAATTTCTTCTAGCTCTAGGTTAGTCAAGCTCCTCATGTCCTTTATTTGTCTTCACAACTATGAAGTAAGCTCCACGAGGCAGGGCCTTGGTCTTCATTTTCTATTGTGATATTCCTAGCACCTAGAGTTGTGTGTGTTAAAGACACTGAACCCATGTCTAGTAAAGATGTTGAATGAATGAAGATTTAAACTTGTATCTTACCTGGGCCACCTGTGCCAAATTTTAAAGGCTATACCCATGGCAGTTGTTCTGACAGTTCTTGGTAAGGGATTGTGGCCCAGCACAAATTTACAGATGTCCCCTGTCTGACTGCCAGCTGCCATGAGAGTCAGCTCCAGAGCTGGTAGGGCAAGGACAAGGGAAAACAGAAAGAGTTGATCCCAGTAAAGAAAGTGAAGCTCTAATTATCTTGAAATAAGTTGTCAAACAGAGAAGGGATGGTGATTATCCTCAAATAAGGGACCTCCTCTCCAGGCCTCTAATTTGCAGGGCCTATAGCATAATCTGATTTCTTCAGGGTCCTTGAAAAGATGCTTTGTTCACCTGGAGTGACACAACGCCAAGGGAAGAATGCAAAGGAATGGACTAAGAGGCCATTACACATCAAAGAACTGAAGCAGGGGAGGAAAACTGGGTGAGACTGGAATGAACCACAGAGCGTCATTCCCCCTGGAGCGCTAGAGTCCTCACAACCTGGTTGTCTGTGTAGGGATGGCTCTCTCTGCCCTGGAACCCCCCTGGGTGGCTTCCTCATTCATTTAGTACACATACTATACACCTGGCCTGGTGCTGGCTTCTCTAGGCTGGTTCACAAAGTCCAGTGACGTGGGAACATAGAAAGACTGATTTGAAAAAATTAATTTCAACTCCTCAGTCAACAGGAATTCCTTAAGCACACAAAGTAATTATAAAGAGCCTGAAATCTAGACTCAGACAAAGTGAGTATCCTCCAATCCTGCCTCTCTTAGCCTGTGACCCTGGAAATAGAATTACCTCTCTATGCCTCCGTTTTCTCAATTTCAATACAGGGAGAATGACAGAACCCATCTCACAGTGGTGTTGTGAGGATTTAAGGGTTGGTGCATGGAAACCCCTTAGCACAGTGTCTGGCACAGAGTAGTAAATGGTAGGCATCAGGCTGATGTTATTCAGCCAACTGTCCTGGTGCAGATACCAGCTCTGTCTTTTCCTGACTCTAAGGGGTCCACACGGGAGGGAAGTAGAGGAAAAGGGGTTCCCAACTCCTCCTGCAGAAATAATTTTCATGGGACCTGGGGACTCCTTGTTCCTATTCAGTGAAGAGTTTTGGGGCTTCCACCACCTGGAGGCCAAGTAATATGCAAAATTCAGAGGGTTTAGCTTAATGATATGAAGATCTGCTGGCCAGCGACACAGGATTAGGATGAAGAATCAAGGGTTTGAAGACAGGCTGACATAAGTTCTAATCCCAGCTCAGCACTTCACCATCTCTGCTACCTTGGGCAAGACAATGTGGCTCTTTGAGCTCAATTTCCCCATCTGTAGAACGTGGATGATAAATATATATCTCTTTGTTTGACAAAAATTGAACAAGGTAATGGTTGCAAAATACCAAACATAGTTTCTGAAACAGAATAAGGCATTGATTAGCATAGGTTTCTTACCATAAAATATAAATGGATACCAACTTAAATCCAAACCAAGGCTCGTTTGACAAGAAATGGGAGTGTATGAGCTCTCTAGTCAACAAGAAGACCAGTATTTTACTTGCCGCTTAAATCCCAAGTGCCCCAGCACGTGGTAGGAGCTTAGTAAATATTTTCCCAGTTAACGATTGGCCGTCCCAGTGACTCATGCCTATCCATCTCTTTCCCGGGCCTCAGTTTCCCTATCTTGCAGTGAGATGGTGACCTCTATGAGGACTCTTCAGTTCTGAGTGATTAGCAGCAATTTGGCTGGTCTGTAAGTGGGTGGGTGCCACATCACTAGGGTGGGCCGGTGATAGCATTCCACAGTAAAGAGCTCCCTCTTACAGCTCTGAGCTACTAAACAGAGAGCAATTCATGTTCTCCTGGAACCCAGATCTTAATGCTGATAATAACTGGATTCTACATGAAGCCTTCTAGACCTAAATTCTTTATGGAGGACTCTAGGGGAAATGGATGTGATAAACCCCAGCAGAGAATGAGGTGGGCATGTGAGGATCTGTCAGAATTTTGCAAAATGCAAATCGGACTGTCAGTGTCTCAGCTCCCAAATCAAGTTACAACAGCTTTGACACCCCCTTTCTAGTTTTCATTTCCCCAGTTCCCTCACTACAGTTGTGACATTCGAATCCTGCAGCAACTGCCATGAAGCTTATTTTAAAAACTCAGCAGCAGAGAGCCTTTCCCAAAGACAAATGACGATGGCCTTTCGTTTCTACTTCTCAGTGCATGCTTAGTGCCACACATCCAAAATGCATGCAGGGCCTATGCAGGGCCTGTGCTCTGTCACTCCAAGTCCTCTGGGAAGTTCAACGCTAAGTCAGACCGAGGCTGGCCCATGGGATTCATGAAGCACCTGGCGAGGGCTTAGCATTCTTGAGTATTAGTGACACGATAGGTGGGGAAACAAGTCTAACCCCTGACATTCTAGAAAGCGTTGTGTATGGTAGAAAGCAGACGAGGAATGTTGGAGATAAACACAGATTCCATCCTGGCTCCTAATACAAACTCTTCCCACCTTCTCTCCTCCTTCAATCCATTCTCCTTGTGGCACCCAAAGCAAGGCTTCTAATTCATTCTTTAGTGTAAAACTCTCCAGTGGCCCTACTTGCCTTCAGGATCAAGTATGTATTCCTTAGCCTGGCCCATAGGGCACTGCGTCATCTCCCGCACCCACACCCCTCCCTCCACCCCACTCTCCAACCTTTTCTCTGGACACCCCTGACTCTCTTTCGGCTTCCCAGCCTCTCATATCAGTGTGACCACTTTATGTTGCCTGTCCTCTGCACGCCTGCCTCTCATCACATGTTACTATGCTTACATTATTTTGAGGGGGATGAAGTCTCACTCTGTCACCAGGCTGGAGTGCAGTGGTGCGATCTCAGCTCACTGCAACCTCTGCCTCCTAGGTTCAAGCGATTCTCCGGCCTCAGCCTCCCAAGTGGCTGGGACTACAGGTGCACACCACCACACCCAGCTAATTTTTGTATTTTTAGTAGAGACGGGATTTCACCATGTTGGCCAAGATGGTCTTGACCTCTTGACCTCATGATCCACCCACCTCGGCCTCCCAAAGTGCTGGGATTACAGGCATGAGCCACCATGCCCGGCCTACTATGCTTACTTTTTAAATCACCTGCCTTCTCCACCGGACAAGAAGCTCCTTAAAGGCCAAGGAATTGGTCTTACTCATTGTCCAAGCCTCAGCACTAAGTATATTCACACTGTTGTGCAACCATTGCCACTATGTATCTCTAGAACTTTCATCTTCCCCAATTGAAACTCTATATTCATTAAACAACAACCCTTCATTCTCTGCCCCTGGAAACCACTATTCTACTTTCTCTATGAATTTCAATGCTCTAGGCGTCTCATGTACATGAAGTCATAAAGTGTGTTTATCCTTTGGCGCCTGGCTCATTTCACTTAGTATAATGTCCTCAAGGTTTGCCCATCTTGTAGTGTGTGTAAAAACTGAGTTCATTTTTAAGGCTGAATAATATTCCATTGTATATTTAGACCCCATTTTGTGGACTGTTTATACATTGAAGGACACTCGGGTAGTCTCCATGTTTTGGCTATTGCAAATAATGTTGCTATGGACATCGGTATACAAATATCTGTTCAAGACCCTGCTTTCAGTGCTTTTGGGTATGTACCCGGAAATTGAATTACCAGATCGTTGTTAAGTCTAGGTTTTAATTTTCTGAGGAACTGTCATTCATACTATTTCTACAGTGGCTGCTCCATGTTACCTTCCCACCAACAATACACAAGAGTTCCAATTGCTCCACAGCTTGGCCAACCCCTTTGTTGTTTTCTGTTTTTTTAACTAACCATCTTAATGATGTTTCCCAAGTTTTAAAGCATTCAAGCTGTCCTCAAAACCACTGTCTGCATTCATCCAGTGAGTACTCATTTAGTGAACAGGCACCGTTCTAGCTTCAGGGATGGAGTGGTGAGCGAAATCAATTTCTTCTGCCCAGGGAGCTGACATTCTCATTGGGAGAGAGAAAATAAACAAATCTAAACAACAAATAACACATCAGATGATGATAGGCTTTATGAACAACTAAAGCCAAGTGAGGCGACAGGCAAGGGGGTAGCATTTCGGATTTGTTTGTAGTGAAGGCCTGATTAGGAGAGACAGATTTTTAATTGCACTTGAGAACTGAAGAAACTGAGGCTCAGGCGGGGCACGTGACTTGTGAAGTTTGGGTAGCTGAAGTGGGAATGCAGCACCAGGTGTGCCTTTGAGACTACTGAGTGAGCTGCACACTTGTGATTGTGTGCTTACCTGTATGTGTGTTATTCTCCAATAAAAAGCATAAAAAACTACAGTGTGCTCAACTCCAGAACTTGCCATCCTTAAAGGACACCACACCATCCATCTTCTATAAGTTTGGGAGAGTCAAGGACATGTTGGGTCCAGTAGACAGATCTGAATGACGATGGTTAGGGATCACAAGATGACCCAGTGGGTGGATTTCTGAAAGGGAGTAGTGGGAGAGCTGTGGTGAGCTTGGATATTCCCTTCAATCCTCTGCTGGGCTGGGCCCGGGGTCCAGCTGCTCACCTTTTCGTTCTGGTGTGCAGTTGCTGAATCCCACAGCAAAGGAAATATTTTTCTCACAGGCCGCTCAAGAGACTGCAAATGGCAAAGAGGCTTTTCCCTCTCACCAATCCCACTCCCAGCCACTATTCCTGCACCAATATCACGGGACAGACCCAGGGGAGACACAGTTTCCTGAAGAGATGAATCACTGTAAGTGCTGTGAGGTTACCAATGGGGTCAAGGCAGTCACTCAGAAGTTGCAATAAAGTTTGGAATCTGAAATAAAGGCCTCCTCAGGCTCAGGAAATCGAACGGCTGCCCACAAAGGTGTCTGTAGACAAACTCTCTGCGGGTCACCAGCCTGTGTGTGCAACGACCAAATGACTCATTCTCTAAAGAGCACTTTTGGCTGCTGCAAATGATTACCAGCAGGTCCCCAAGGTTCACGTCATGCTGGAAGATTGACACCGCAACAGAGGCAGACTTCCCGATAAGATCTCGTGGTTGGGTCTGGCGCAGGCATAGGGACAAAATATTTAGGAGCCTTTCCTCATTGTAGAGCCAGCTAGAGTGTCAGACCCATTCATTCATTCATGAGGGCTTTGCAGTGTTGCAGAAGGCATGGTTCCCTTCCTCAGAGGGCTCACACCCTCCAGATTGGGAGGCCAACCTCTTCACAGCCCCCATAACAAGTGTTAACAGTGGAGGGAAGCATTTGGGCTGGGGACACTGAAGAGGGGCTTGAGCATATCTGGGGAGTGCATCAGAGCTGAGGTCTGGGGTAAGTTTGGAGGGAACACGGTGTGCAAAGTTACCATGACGTGAAACCTTGGTGCATTTCATAAGGAGGGTGGGGGAAGAATAGAGATAACAAGGCCCAGAACATGGAAAGCTGTAATGCCAAGCTACCAATGAGACATGAAAGCCTTCTGAGACTGGAAGTGACATGCTGAGATTTGTGGTGTAGATGATTGGCGTAAAGGGACACAGGGAGAAACTTGAGCAGGAAGACCAGTGAGGAAGCCCATTCAGGAGAAAGTAAAAGTATCATGGGAATAGAGGTGGAGCAAAGAGATCATGGCTTTGCAGAATTTTAATTGGCATGCCTTGAAAATGCCTGAGATGTGATCCTGAAGGGAGAGAGGAGTAAGGATACCCGAGAGCTGGCCATGCCACCATTGGAGCCAGCAAGAGGTGTGGGTTTGGAGGAAGGAGATGGAGGAGAGGATAAAGCACCTAAGTGTGGGCACCTGGATGGCTGGTAGGGCCTGTTACCAACAGCAGGATGATACCATATGTCATGGAGCCAGCCTTCAGGGTCCTGTGACACTGTGTGGGCACAAGAGGTAGCATATGCAGGAACCCAGCACATGTGCTGGAGATGACCAGATCATCACTGTACTGCAGTAAATGAGAAATTACAAGACCAAGTACAATTAATGAGGGATCTGATTTGTGTATGTGTGTTTCTTCTCTCGTGATCTGGAATGTGTTTTCACAGCCCAGAGAGAAGAGAACAATCTTAGTAAAACAGACTTGCTCATTTCCTTCTGCGTGGAGGGGGCATAGGTGGCTGTGACTGCCTGTTTACATGTCTGGCTCCCCTACTGCACTTTTTGCCAAGCAAGAAGAGTGTCTTGTTCACCCCCAAATCCTGAGCACATGACACTGTCCGCCTATAGTAGGCACACTGTTGAATGAATAGCTGAATGAGGGTGAAGCTGTCCAGTAGGGAGGTTGGGTGGATACGTGGGCCTACTCCAGACCTCGACAGAAAAATCTGCAGACAGTTATGAATGTGGAGTTGTCCACCTATAGGAGTCAGCACCCAGTATATGCTGGTTAAATCGAATGTACCCAAGTTTCTTCCTGCAGATGCCAGGCCGTGAGGGCTGGTGTTTCTCATGGCATCTGCCTTTTCCCCAGCATCTCCTCCTCTCCCTACAAAGCCATGCCTTCTCCTTATAATCTGCCAGCACTGGACATGATCTAAAGGCAAAATCTGCCTTGGGACAACAAATGATTTGTTATGTCTCTTGCTCCTCCCTAGAGAGGCAACACTGGGTGATAAAAAGAGCGTAGATATTAAAGTTGGGCAGATTTGGGCTGGAATCTGGCTCTGCTCCCACCAGCTAAGTCTTCGGGTCAGTGTATATACAACTCTGAGCCTCAGGTGAGCCTCCCCCTCCTTAAGAATGGGGATATGAATGGCCTCCCCCTCCTTAAGAATGGGGATATGAATGGGGATATGAATGGCTTTGCCATTAAGCATGCTGGGTCTGGAGTAGGTGGTCTTAGCTTGACTCTTAGAAGCTGGAGACCTCAGACAAATGATTCACATCTTTGGTGCCTTCATTAGTGGGAATGTTAATGGCACCGGCCCCATCATGCAGTGCCCAGTTCCTAGTCGACATCACCATATGTCAGCTATTATTGTTGTTAATTAAAATTATATATTCAGTGGCCGGATGCAGTGGCTCACGCCTGTAATCCCAGCAATTTGGGAGGCCGAGATGGGCAGATCACCTGAGGTCAGAAGCCTGGCCAACATGGTGAAACCCCGTCTCTACTAAAATACAAAAATTAGCTGGGCATTGTGGTGGGAGCTGTAATCCAAGCTACTCAGTAGGTTGAGGCAGGAGATCCCTTGAACCCGGGAGTCGGAGGTTGCAGTGAGCCGAGATCATGCTACTGTACTCCAGCCTGGGTGACAGAGGGAAAATCTGTCTCAAAAAAAGAGGAAAAAAACATTTATATATGCAAGTTCCATGGCACTTAGTAAGTGCTCAATAAATTGCAGAATTTCCCATTATTAATAATGTTGAATATTCTCTTTTCATACAATATAGTGCCCACTCCCTGTTCACCAGCACACCTAATCCTACATGAATGTATCTGTGCATGCCAAGGCTGTGGAAAATTCAGAAGCAAAAACACTGAGGAATGTGGAAGGCTGCTCAGGAGAGTGGAATATGCAGGAAACAGACCCAAAGAAAGCTAAGTTCCAATCCCAGTTCCACAACGTCCTACCTCCAAGATGCTTAACCTCTGACTTAAGGCATTTTGCCACTCTGAGCCTCAGTTTCTTCATCTATTAGATGGGGATAATAATTCTTATTTCATAAAGCAGTCATGAAGGTTATGAACTAACAGGATGGTGTCCATCCATTTCTCCAGTGACAAAGACTGAGACAGAGTCTTGGAGTGCAAGATGTAGATTGAGGATCAGTGCCAGGGAAAGGAAGGAGTGGCAGCAGGCTAGGCAGAGAGAGAAGACACCCTGCGCTCCAGGCCTGATAAAGCCTTGGCCAACAGAGCAGGGGGCTTCGGGTTGAGAATTGCCCATTAGGGGTGTCTTTATGCACCTGCCTTGCTCAGTCACCACACTGGAGTGTGGGCTGACCCAAAATGCTGTGGCTACTGATGATGAGGCTCTCTGCAGCTGAGGCTGACTCTAATGGAGCTGACAGAGGGAAAACATCTACAGATAGCAGACCTGCCTTGAAAGGCAATCTAGGTGGCTCCTCTCCTTGTCTACAACTGTAGGGAAGCCTTTTGCACAGGATAAATAATCAGTTACAATCAGTGACTCTTTTTATTTTTATTTTTTAGACAGAGTTCTGCTCTTGTTGCCCAGTCTGGAGTGCAATGGCACGATCTCAACTCACTGCAACCTCTGCCTCCCAGATTCAAGCAATTCTCCTGCCTCAGCCTCCTGAGTAGCTGGGATTACAGGCACCCACCACCATGCCCAGCTAATTTTTCTATTTTTTTAGTAGAGACGAGGTTTCCTCATGTTGTCTAGACTGGTCTCGAACTCCTGACCTCAGCTGATCCACCTGCCTCAGCCTCCCGAAGTGCTGGAATTACAGGTGTGAGCCACTGCATCCGGCCACAATCAGTGACTCTTACTCTGCCTCTGATTGTATTATTGGAGTATTAGCACCTGCTGGTACCAGATCACTACCTCAATGATCTGTTAGAGCCAAAAGAGCTATTAAAACTCTTGCCTCGGTTGGGCGCAGTGGCTCATGCCTGTAATCCCAATGCTTTTGGAGGCCAAGTTGAGCAGACCATTTGAGGCCAGGAGTTTGAGACCAACCTGGCCAACATGGTAAAACCCCCTCTTTACTAAAAATATAAAAAAATTAGCTGGGCGTGGTGGTGCATGCCTGTAATTGCAGCTACTCAGGAGGCTCAGGCAGGAGAATCACTTGAACCTGGGAGACGGAGGTTGCCTTGAGCTAAGATCGTGCCACCACACTCCAGCCTGGGTGACAGAGTGAAACTCCATTAAAAAAAAAAAAAGGCAACAAAAAGCCATCTTGCCTCTTTTTCTCCTACTGAGCTGCAACAGAAGGACTATTAGTGGTCTCAATACCCACGGCCAGGCCCTCTATGCAGCTGCTCACCTTCGAAGATGTGGTTTCACAGCCTGGCTGACATGGTGGAGAGACAGTGGTCCACCTCCTCCAAGTCTCTGTAGTTCTCTGATGGTTTCCATGGGCAAACTCCTCTTGGTAACAAGCAACCAAGAGTAAACTGTGGCATGGGGAGATGTGGAGTATTCCTTTCACCCTAATGTACACCAGCACACCACTATCCACCCACCATGCCACAAATCTAACAACATCAACCCCAAATGAACCAGTGCCCCCAACTGGAAAACACACTATGTTGAAATACCACAAACAGGCTCACCCAACCTATAATCTGCCAAACAGACCCTCTTTAGGGTTCATCAAAAATAACAACATTTTCTTTTTTTCAAATGATTTGGGTTTGAGAAAACCCCAAGCAAATTTTACCAAACTGTTTATATTATTTGGTTTATGCCCAATTTAAGGGAAATTTAATCCACATGTTTCTGATTTGCTTACCATTAGATCCTCAAAATATTACTGTTCAAGAAGCATTTCCTATTTCTAATGTTTTTTTTTCAAAGTCTATGCTTTTCAAATAACATAGAATCGCAATACTTAAATTTTGGAGGGGGGTAGTAGAACTGGGGTTATCCTATTAGAAAAATGAACATGCATGCAAAGCTCTGGATCTAAATCGAAGAGGTTTACAGACCGCCCCCAAGATAGGTGAAGATCTCATACTCTAGAAGCCAGCATTTGGAAAGCAACATCTGCCTTAGAAAACCATGGGGGAATATCACAGACAGAAGAGCCCCGGCATGAATATCCCATTGCTGATGAGGTGTGTTACCTAATGGCTAATAAGACCTCATATAGCTGTTACAAGGATTAAAAACAATAAGAGCTGTGAGGTGATCTATGATAATCAGCAACTATTGGGAACTTCCATCTTATAGCACAACATGGAGGACTCTTCAGTCTTGGGGATACCATCTCGTCACCTTTTATGGATCTGAGCCTTTTTCAGCCTCCTCAGTCTGGAAGCCAGTTCTCTGACTCACTACTGAAAATGCCTGATATTGTCAATCATGTATTTTTAAAATAATAGAATTTGGATTTTCTTGTTATCATGGTAGTATCTGTTCATTTTAGAAAAAAAATTACAAAGTGCAGAAACTATCCAACAGAAAATGAAAATCTTCCACCATTCTACCACCTAGGGAAACTGTTGTTACTTTGATATATTTACAATCAGTGATATAAATGCAAATAATATCCCCAAGTTTCCACATCAACATATATGTACAAATGAGGTCCCTGAACTCATATAAAGCTGGTTTTTGCCTCCATCTGCCAAGCTCCCTTTTCAATGTTTCCCCAAGTGATCTCAGGGAGCCCAGGGTGGGGGAGTCTCATGGGCACTCACAAGAGGGCCCTCCTGTTCTATGCCCACCACGCTGTCTCGTACTTAGAAAACATCTCTCAGCCTTGGTCGATGCTGTCTATGTCAGTGCTCACTACAACAATGGTGACATCTGAAGCTTGCTTTCTGATACCACTGAGGGAATGACAGTGATCCTGTGTCCTCAGAACCCCCACTTGACTCCGTACTACAAGAAGATGTGGAAAATGCTCCTAATCTCTACTCAACATCCCGGCATGCCCTCTGAGCCTGCAGCTATGCTGCTTGGGCCCTGGTCACACTGAGTCCTTGAGCACAGCTCCTTCAGTTTCTGCCTGAGGCCCCTTGTTATTGTTCAGGTAAGTGCCCACGGAGCTGGCTGGGGGGCCACAGGTACTTTGCTGTCCTCTCCACATCTCTTTCCCATATCTCTGTCAAATGTCCTCTTTGATATTTTCTTACCCCCATTAAGAAAAACTCATGCAATTAAGCACTTGCTTAAAGAGTTTCTCTAACATGCAAAGACGGGTCTAAATCCCAGAGGTTCAGGCTCAGCTGGGACACAGGCTATTTTTATAAAATTGGAATCCTATTTTATCTGTTCTCTAGCATTATGTGCAAGTCAGCCTGTAATCAAAGATTCTTCTAAAATATAATTTTTAAATTTGCCTGTAAGTATTATCACATATAATTTTTCTACCCTGATTTATTTAAGCAATACCATATTCTTGGACTTTTAGAGCCTTTTTTGGTGTTATAAAAAGGGTTGCAATAAATGTTTTTGCATATTCATGTTTCCATGCAGGTATTTAACAGAGTTCCAATGGTTCTTCCAGTTTTCTCTGTGACTGGAAAGACACAACCCCTCCCCAATGGTTGACTTTCTCATTCTTAATGGATTTTCTCCAAGCTCCCTTCCACTTCTCCAACTCTTAAACTGAAAAGCAGGTGTTTTTCAAACTCTTGGAACAGAAAGTCTTATTTAAGGAGGAAAGCCATGTCCTCAATGGAGTATCAAGGTCAAGCCTTTAGAATAAGGATTACAAACTGGCAGCCCCTGGGCTGAATCTGGCTCACAAATTGGTTTTGTTGGGTCTATACCACCCTTTCAGTATTGAACTTGAATCCTTTAGCCACATACTCTCCACTCATTTGCCCTGCCACCTCCACACCTCCATGTTTCACATTCAGCCTTTCCATTACAGGACCTGGCTGGCTCCCAGAGTCATGAGTTGACTTCCCTGCTTCATAGTTCAGTCAATTACTCTTGTCTTGCCCGCATAGGTTTCCAATTAATTAATCAATTAATCAAATGAATCAAATACTTATTGAGCCCCTTCTGTGTTGGCTTCTGTGCTTGGTGCTGAGGACATGACTATAAACAGCAGGTCTGTGCTTTCAGAGAATTTACTCACAGGTAGAAAAGACTGACAGTTAACACAGAGACAGACATACACCTCAACAAGCAGGAAAATGTTGGGTAATGGTAAGAGCCATGATGAAAATAAAGCTGGGTGACATGCTAGAGAGTCATGGGGAGGATAAGGTTAGGGAGGGGCTCTGAAGATGTGATGAGTAACCTGGAACATGAATGACAAGGAGCAGCCTGCTCGTGAAAACCTAGAGCAGCCATTCTCAAACTCTGGTGAATCACACACACTCGGAGTGCTAAGTAAAACCCAGATCTCAGGGTCCCACCTTCAGGGTTTCAGATTCAGTAGATTTGGGGTGAGACCTGAAAATTGCATTTCTAACAAGGTCCCAGGTGATGCTGATGCTGCTGGCCCAGGGACCATGCTTTGGGAGCAACCGGACTAGAGGAAGAGTGCTTTCAGTAGAGAAAACAACTGGTGCACAAGATCTGATAGATTTAAGTTTGGTGAGTTGAAGGAATAGATGGAAGAAACATGATGAGCAGGAGGAGGAGTAGGGGACTCAGAGCAGTGTGCAGGGGACAGATCTAAGAGGCCACTGGAGGTCAGGGTAAAGGGCTAGGTTTTGGACTAGTCTAAGTGATATGAAAAGTCTTCAGGGAGGTTTAAACAGTGAGTGCTGTGATCTGTAATATGAGGATAATAATAGTATCAACCTAATAGTTTGCTGTGAGGATTAAGAGAGTCAATATACATAAGGTGTTTACAACAATGCTTAAGAAATAGAGAGTACTCAGTAAATGTCAGATATCATCACTATCACTATCACTGTCAGCATCACCATCATCACCATTACCACCACCATCACCATCACCACCAATATCATCATCACCATCACCACCACCACCACCATCACCATCACCATCATCATCATCATCACCATCACCACCATCACCACCACCATCATCCTCATCATTACTGCCACCATCATCATTACCACCACTACCTCTTCTCTCTTACTAGTAATGCCTCAGGAACATCTTTGTACCTGTTTAATTGAGCATGTGGGCTGGTGTTTCTCTAAGGTACATGCCTGAAAGTGTAATTGGCAAACTTCAAAATGTGCCCAAATTTTATTTTCTACCTCTGACTGTTTTCCACAATCCCTGGCTGTTCTTACTTTAACAACACCTCAGACTCCAGTAGCACAAGGAGAATTCTGGAAGACAACAGCCTGGCTGACCTCCTCTCCTGCAAAGGATGGAAAGTCTTATTTCAAAGCTTCCATTGACAAAATGATGGGTATGTTGTGGGCTCCTGATAATGCCAGGTAGGCATTTTAGGTAAGATTGGGCTTGCTCTCAGGTTCTCCCCTGCTCTAATCCCTAAAAGCTTGGTTCTCTCACTTGTGCTCCCGATTATATTTTCATGAGTGTGTGACTTTAAATGAACTCTGAAGGCCATTTATACAAAATTCTGTCATTGGAGAATAAAATTAATTTGACATATTTGGCATTTTCTATTTCCTAAATATTTTTTTGCTCTCATAATGACAATCCTAAAAATATTTTTTTTTCTGATATAGTTTTTCTTTCTCTACAATCCCTCTGGAACTCAGGGTCATCACTCTTCCAGTCTGTCAGTTGGTTGTGATAATAATCGTTCACCTTCATTGAGCATGTACTCTGGGCCAGGCATGGTATTCAGTACTTTTTATGCATTCTCTCATCCACCCCCATTTTATAGAGAAGGAAACTGAAGCCCTAAGAAGTTAGGTAACTGGCCCTGGGTCTCAGGAAACTCCAGCAGGCTGCTTTTGAACCTTCACTCTTAGCCATTGTACCCTATCATCTTCTGGATGTAACACAAGATACATAAGAGTTATTATTTTATTTTATTTTATTTTGAAAAGCATTATTTCTTTTTATTTATTATTTTTAAAATGCATGGTATGTGTTATAATTCATATACCATACAATTCACACACTCAAAGTGTAGTATACAATTCAATTTCCTTTATTATATTCACAGAGTTGTGTACCCATTGCCACAATCAATTTAGAAACATTTTCATTACCTCAAAACAGAAACCGTACCCCTTGGCTGTCATACACCTTCATTTGCTCATCATCCTCTGCCCCTGGCAGCCACTAAACTTCTTTCTGTCTCTTTGGATTTGCCTATTGTGAACATTTTATAGAAATGGAATCAAATGCTGTGTGGTTCTTGGTGTCTGGCTTCTTTTACTGAGTATAATATCTTTGAGGTTCATCCATGTTGTAGCATGTATCAGCACTTCATTCCTTTTCATGGCTGAATAATATTCCATTGTATGGATATACCACATTGTGTTTCTCCATGTGTCTTGTTGATGCACTCTTGAGTTGTTCCCACATGTTGGTTATTATGAATAATGTTGCTGTAAACAGTGTACAAGTTTTTGTGTGCACATATGTTTTCAATTCTCTTGGCTATATAGGACTGGAATTGCGTGTCATATGGTCACTCTATGTTTAACTTTTTGAGACGCTGGCAGACTGTTTTCTAAAGTGGCTGTACCATTTTACATTCTTCCAAGCAGTGTTTGAGGATTCCAATTTCTCCACATTATCACCAACACTTCTTCTTATCTATCCTTTTATGATAGCCATATGAGTAGGTAGAGAGTGGTATTTCATTGCAGCTATAATTCACATTTCTCTGATGGCTAGTGATGCGGAGCATCATTTCACGTGCTTTTACACTATTAGTTTATCATATTTCTAGAAATGCCCATTCAGATCCTTTGACCATTTTTGGTTATTTGCCTTTTTAAATAATTGAATTATAATAGTTACTTATGCTCCAGATAAAAGTCCCTTATCAGATACATGATTGGCAAAAGTTTTCCCCCATTACATGGATTGTCTTTTCACTTTTTTGATGGTACCTGTGGAAGCACAAAAGTTTTCCATTATGATTCTGTTGTCCAGTTTATGTTTTCTTCTGCTGCTTGTGTGTTTGGTATCATCTCTATCTTCTCTCTCTCTCCCTCTGTCTCTCTCTCTCTCCTCTTTTCTTTTACGCACATTTTCCTCTTCCTGTTTTTATCTCCTGCTCATCCTTAGGAAGTCAGTATAAAATCTCCTCCTTTAGGCAAACTTCTGTGGTTTCCAAGACAGCTGGGATCCTGCTGGTGATCCCACAGCCTCCTGGCCTGCCCCTGTTGGATCTGATCGTTTACTCACCCCTCTCTCCTGGCAGACTTTGAGCTGGAAAGGACTGGGTCTTCTTTCCTGCTGAGTTAGTTCATCAGGCCGGGGACAGAGTAGCTCTCTATAATGTCAAAAGAAAGAAGGAAGGAAAGAAGACAGAGCACCCTGGGAGAGTGTGAGAGAGGACAGGACAGCATGTGCCTGGGACAAGGAAGGGGCCTCTGTGGCTGGACGGCAGGTTTTACGTAGAAGAAAAAGCCAGCAGGTCTGTATCTTTGTGGGAGATAAAGCTGGAGACATGAGTGGTGATTATGTCGTGAAGGCCTTGAATGCCCGCTTTCATGTCTATGGATTTCAGACCCAAAAGGAAGCAACTCACGTTTTGAGCTAGAATTTCATTTGCTTCTACGAAGTGGATGGGAAATCAAACAGGATGAGAAAAGGATGGAAATCAAGGCATTTTCTCTACCTTATTCCTAGAACTCCCCATTTAAAAAAAAAAATCTCTAGGTGCTGTGCAAAGAGTTCTGAACTTGGAATTAATTGATTCTGCACCCAGATCCAACAAACTTGCTGTGTGACCTTGTCCGGGTCACTTAATTTCTCTGGCTTCAATTTCTTCACTGCGGTGTTAATTAGTATGCCTTGGCTCTAAGCTAGCAATTAAAATGGAGTTATGTTGGAAGGCTTTCAGGGACCAACAAACTCAAGGGGCAGTTGTACAGCATGCTGGGACCATGGAAGGGATTCAGGGTCCCTCCTTCCAGAGGCTGGAAAGCAGACACTCAAGTGGGGCCTAAAAGCAGAACAACAGGCCCAAGAGCCTGTGCCAGCGTGGAGCCCCCCACCTTCCCCCTCCCCGCCATTCTATATCAGCCCTTTCATGTTTCTGTTTGGGATTCCACTTCCAGGAAGGGAGGGCTCACTTCACTGGCTTGGGAGTTGTCCTTGCCCCTTGACTAGGGCAGGATGGGCACCCCAAGTAGCCCCATCAGATTGTACCTAATGAAGAAGATGTAATTCCTCAAAAGGAGACCGAAGTGAAGGGAAATAGGTATTGTTGGTACCACAGAAAAATTTTTGTATTTTTTGTAGAGACAGGGTCTTCCTATGTTGCCCAGGCTGGTCTCAAACTCCCTAGTTCAAGTGATCCTCCTACCTTGGCCTCCCAAAGTGCTGGAATACCCATTATAGCTACAAAAATGAGCAGGGGCTGGCATTACCACCTTCAAAGTCCCTTCCACGTCTAACAATTTGTGATTCTATAATTCCAGGGGGAAAGTAAACATCTTTCCTTTTTTTTTTAAACTGAGAAAAGCCAATATTAGAATGAGTGGTCTCAAATTTTGAGGATTTTGCTAAGCACAATATCCTCACCCTCAAAGAAGCAAGGTGATAGCGAAGCCCACTCCTGTTATCAAAGGTTAGAAACACCATCAATTTCACCTATCTCAGGTCAACACGTTTTGAACATACAGGCCAACGTGTTCTGAGCATACGTTACGTATCAGCCACTGCATTAAGTAGTATTAAGTATTGCTGTACGTATTTTCTCATTGACTCTCCCAAATGACCTTGCATAGTAGGAGTTACGTATTTTACAGAAGAGGAACCTGAGGCTCAAAGCATGAAGAAACTTGCCTAAGGTCACAGAATGAGTAGGCGCTGGGACCAGATTTTGACCTGAGATGCATTTGTCTTCCAGCTGGGACTTGTGTCAAACTTATGAGCTTTCAATAGCCTCACATGAGAGTAGAAATCCTTAACTGATCCACATGGCCCTTTTTGACTCGATCATTGCCTCATCTTATATTGCAAGAGCCTTTACCCTCTGCCCTCAAATCGTACTGGCCTTCTCTGAGTTTATTAGACATGGCCTACCGGCTCCCATGACGAGCTTCGGCCTGTGTTGTTCTCTCTGCTGCAGACACTGTTCTCAAGTCTCTCCCTCTGGCTTCCTCTTCATATCTTAGCCAGATTACTTCCTTTCCTGATTTGCCAACTAGATCGACAGTTCACTTATAAGTTCTTACCATCATCTTTGCAGTGAGTGAATGTGTGTGTGTGTGTGTGTGTGTGTGTACAGAGAGAGAGAGAGAGATTATTTCATTAGTGTGTTTCCCCAGGAATCTGTAAGCTCAGGAGTGAAGATGCCATGTAGTATTTGCTCTCAAATATGCCTCTAGTGCCTACCAGGTGCCCAGAGCAGAGTAGGTACTCAAGAAACAAACTGAATGCATGGACTAGGCTACTACAGTTGGTCCACATTGCAGTTGGCTGAGCTCTCCCAGAAAAAATAAGAGTAACTAGGAGAAAGCTGCCTTCCATACCATGTATCAATAGTCAGCCCCAACACATTCTGAGATTGTGTCCGAAGAGTAAGTCAGGCATAATTTTTCTTTTAAAATTAGGCTGAAAAGCCACCCTCTGCCCCCGAGAGAGCAAAAGTATGTCATATTGGCCGAGATTCTTGACTGGGTTCATTAAGAATCAAGCACACGATGGTTATTAATTCCTTTTGTTCTGCTCTGTCTTCCTCTCTCCAGTCCCATAAACATTTTCAAAATCTATAAACAATTAAAGAAGAACAAATGAAGTGAGTAGCTGCATAATCCCAGCCTTTGAACCCCCTCCGGCCCAGCACTGAGATCCTGCTAGCTAATCATTTGCAGGCAGTTTAGAAATTAGAGCCCCAGGAGAAGTTGTCATGTCAGATGTGACATTTTGATCAGGGACAGTTGTTGGCCACCCATTGTTTGTGGTACTGTTTCATGTATACTGTAGACTTCTTTGGCATCTGTACTTTTTAAAACATTTTGCTCTGAAGATTTGATTAAACAAAGTGAGCTAAAAACAAATCAGCTACTGTTTGCACATCCAGTGCCTACGATTCCACAAGTGATTGGTGAAAAAAGATTATTGAATAATTTTACGAAAAAGTGAACAATAAAATTAGTGAATTCCTTAAACCAATTAAACTTTCACAACACCGAGGTGCACTCACAGATCAGACCAATAGACTAGGGTGCTAGGCAGACACAAGCTTCTTGAGCCAAACTGCTTTCAAAGAAAACCATCCATGCCTTTGTAAAACTGAAACTGCCTTTAAATTGTCCTCTAGCCTGCGTTTCTTTTATGTATCTTAGCCATTTCAGTTGACAATAAATTTAATTGGCCATTTATTTGGGCCAATTAAATAAATGTCAGCTATTAACTGAAAGCACTATTTGTTTTTAAACAAAAATAGTGTTCTGTGAGAATATACTCAGCAAAATCTATTTGCTCTGGTCAAATTTGCAGAGTGTTAACCCCGAAGTCCCTGACACCATTGTAGAAATCAGCATAACTTTTTTCTACAGAGGTGGGGCTGTTGCAATCACATATGGGGCCCACTTGCGCTTTGCCATAATTGCAACATAATCACCATCAATCCCTCCTTTTCGTAAAGATCTTTTGTTGTTCAAAGTCATTTCCCTTTAGATGACCTCATGTCACAGAATGGTCTTTTAAAACTAAAAATAAGCTCTGAAATTATCCTTTCTAAAACATCCCCTCCCCATCCAAACATTTTGTAGATGTGAAGCTGGGATTCAGGGCAGTTGAGGGGGATGACCGAGGCCTCGCAGGCACAAAGCACATAACTAGAACAATGTCCTAGTTCATGCCCCCCCACAACCTCTCTATATGACCTTGGCACATGCATTACTCTGTTTTGTTTTGTTTTGTTTTGAGGCAAGGTCTCTATATGACCTTGGCACATACATTACTCTGTTTTTTTTTTTCTTTTTTTTTGCGGGGGGCAGGCTCTTGCTCTGTCACCCATGCTGGACTGCAGTAAGTGGCACAATCATGGCTCACTGCAGCCTCAACCTCCTGGGTTCAAGTGATCCTCCCACCTCAGCGTACTGGGTAGCTGGGACAACAGGCGCACGCCACCACACTCGGCTAATTTTTGTATTTTTTGTAGAGACAGGGTCTCCCTATGTTGCCCAGGCTGGTCTCGAACTCCCGAGTTCAAGTGATTGTCCTACCTTGGCCTCCCAAAGTGCTGGAATTACAGGCATGAGCCACTGCTCCTGGCCTGCTCTCCCTTAAGGCAGTTACATCATCAACAAAATGAGCACAAAGCCATCTTTCCCAGTGGAAATGAAAGACAGTAACTGTAGGGGTGTCCCTGCAGAACAGAGACTCAAAAATATGTTGATTTTAGGGCCCATGCCTTGGGGAGCAACCCCCAACAACAAACTCTTTGCAACCTGCAAAATATCCTCATTATCTATCAAGAATCATAGCAGATATTTTTTATCAGGCTCCCCCCTATAATAACAGCACCTGCGTTTATTCAAGACTTACAGTGTGCCAAGTGGTGCCTGGGGTGGAGAATCCCCATGCCCATCAGTGTCTTTGTTGTCTCCTTCTCTTAATGCCCACAGCTAAACCCCATTTTGAGCCACTTTTCTGGGTTAGCTGTGGCCACTGGAAGATGATGTTTATCCCCTTATATCTAGGCCTGGCCATTCCTTCCATGATCCTTGCTCTTTCCCCATCTGCCAGCTCAAGAGAGAGAAATCTCAGGACCTAGAGGAAGCTGAGCACCAAGATGGAAAGAGCCTGGATCCCTGAAAGACTCTGTGGAGAGGATGCACTGAAATGTGACCATGAGCCACTGAGACTAGGAGTTGACTTGTTACAGTAGCTAATGTTGCTCATGCTCTCTAAATTACAGTTGTATTTGTAAGCGACTGTCATGTACTGACTTATTCATCCTCACAAGTATTTTCATTCTCATTTTGCAGGTGAGGAAGTTGAAGTACAGAGAGGTTAAGTAACTTCCCCAAATTCTCACAGCTAGTAACAGAGCAGGGGTTCAGCAGACAGTCTGCTCCCAGCATATATATTATTGGCAACACTCTGGAGACTTTGACAATAAGGGACTACAGGTGCTTTTTCTATTTCTTTTGGAGAAATCACCCTTCCTACCCCCTCCCTCACATCCTCACTTCCTTCTTCCCTTACTGATTTTCTTTCACATTTACTATATATCTACTACGTGCAGAGTTGAGACATGCAATAGCCTGAGGCTGTTATGAGAATCGCCATGGTCCCTGCCCTTATGATATTCACTGCCTAGTGGAGACAGAGAGACATGAGAACAGATAATCATCACCTAGTGTGACAGGTGCTCTGATAGGATAAACAAAGAGTACCATGAGGTCACTAATAGGGGACATAGTGATGCTGTGTGATTGGGGCCATGTAGAGGTTGTAGGCTAGAGAAAGGTAGATGCTTAAACTGGATCTTGAGGGCAAAGAGAAGTTTGTAAGGCCAAGGAGCTGGGGAAGGTCATTCCAAGTGGAGGGTATAGCTTGAGCAGGGGCATAAAGGCAACAAATGCTGTGCCATGCATGTAGACTTGCCAGCCTCGAGAGAAGGTAGAGGAAGAAGAGGAAGGGAGGACAAAAATGATGAAGAGGTTGGAAGGAGCTGATCATGAGGGGCTTGCATGACTAACTTAAGGACTTTCGACTTAATCATGGAAGCAAGTGGTGTTGGGGTCAGATTCACATTTCAGAGAGATTACTCCTAGAATGGCTCAGGATATTCAGGGCTGGACTGGCCTGGTGCTGGTGCAGAGCCAGGAGTGTCTCCAACATCCCTGCCAGCTTCCCCTGCCATCTAGCCCAAGCCGCTAGGCTCCTTCCCATCCATTATCATGAACAAGGATGCCAAGCAGTTTATCTCCTCTCTTCAAGAGGCTTCTAAAAACAGACTGAGGGGATGTAACAACTTCAGACAGCAGCCTCCCATCAAGCTTCAGATGGCCTCTCCAAGGCAGCTCATCTCCCTTGCTAGAATGGGACCAGAAAGCCGGCAGTGCTCAAGTAACTGCTATCAGAAAACATGCAAAAATTTTAAAAAAGCTTCTCCAAGAAGAGCGGGATGTCTCCCGAGTCCAAGAGCCTAGTCATTGAGATCCAAACCACCTCAAGTATCTCCCACTTCAGTTTAGAGCTGACAGCCAAAGTCAAGTGTTTGAGGACTGACTTTTAAGCTCACAGAATAAATAGAGGTTATGCGGTCACCACTGAAGATTCCACTCAAGGACAACACTCGGGGAGCCTGGTGGCTTTAAGAAAGCAGTATTCCCTGATCAGCCCAGAAAGGATTCATTTTCTGTAACCCTTGGAATCCATAAATGTCAGATTTGGAAGGGATGTCCAAAATCAACTGGATTCTACTGGAAGTGATGTCATGATGCTCAGGGCCTGCCCTTCCTGGAATCTTCTGAGGACAGCCACTGGGATTTCTGCCTTGTGCAATAGGGTGTATCCCTGATTAATTTTGGTCTCATAGATGTGGAGCAGAGGTGGGAAGCAATGACCCTGGACCTGAGTCACCAGAGTTTACCTCCCAACTTACAATCTTATTGTCTTATTGGGCTGTAAAATTTTGAGGGTTACGTAAGCTCTCTGAACCTCTCCTTCCTCTGTAACATAGATAAAATAGCATTGCCTCACCATACTGCCATTATGAGGATGACGTGAGATATTATCTATGAAATGACTCAGCTGAATGCCTGCCACATAATTGTTAGTTCCTTTCTCTCATTTGTGAAATGCAAGTGTATCTTACAGGCTTTATTGTGAATTGTGACTAAAATTCTTTTTAATATCCCAATATTTCCATGTGCACGGTACCATGTAGTATTGGCACTGCTTTCCCATCCCACGTGGATCTCATGTGCAGCCTACTTACCTGCAGCTCTACAAAGCTGGCAGGGCAGGTGTGGTCTTTATTTTATGGACCAAGGGACTGAGAGTCTTACAGGGCATTTTACTCGCCAAAGTCCATTGTTTGGGCTGGGCCTGCTGTTGCTATTGTTGTTTATTTCTGTCCCCTTTTGATTTGTGATGGAGAGAAAGAGCTGTGTGTTCGAGAATGTTCCCTCCTAAGGAAATGCTAGGCACTGGCTACCAAGCTCACACACATCATCAGGTGGCCCTCATGTCTGGGCATCTGTGGAAATCTAAACCCACAACCCCATGATACCACAAATTCGTCATTGCTTCCGTGGCCACTTTGGGCTGAGTCTCAGTTCTCAGCAAGGCTCTCCTATTTCCTCCATGTCTGGAAGAAGAGAATCATCCCATCTGTCTCCACGGACAGAAACTAAGGCCAGCGTGGGCCCTTGTCCAGGAATATAGTCAAGTTCTTCCCAGAATGGCCAGCTCACATCAACTTTAGCATAGGGCAGAAGTCTTTAAGAGGCTATAAAACAAGCTCGTTTCTTCTTTCTGGCAGACCCAACAGGGCCCAATCTGAAAGTAGGATGACGTTCAATGCATGAAGAAAGGTAATTAAACACTATTCAAAATAATAACCTAGAGTTCTGACTGTGTCAAGAAAGACGCATCGTACACATTATTTAATGGTTAGGAAAAACTTTATTTTCCTCCTTATAACTTGGGACTCCATTTTCTCTGAGAATTCATGAGTTTGTTCATGAATGACACATGTGTACAAGTGTACGTGTTTGCATGTGTGTATGTGCGCACAGGTGAGTATGCCATGTTTAAGACAACAGTTGCCCCCTGTACAACTGGGCAAAAGAGAAGGCAGGCCTATAGCTCATGGGGAGGAAGAGTACCAGGGCTCTGAGTACTAGGGTTCCAAGTGGTGATCTTGTGCCCAAGCTGACCTGTGTTTTGAGACTTAGAGGACTCAGAGTAGTGCTCTCCCAACCGAACCCCCATATCCACTTCCACACAGGTAGCCATAAAAAGGGAAGTTTCTCCTAAGGAGGAGATGCTATCCAGGAGTACCAACTGGTGACCACTGTCACATGAGCCTGCTGATTTGGGGAAATACACAATGGTGTGTTAACAGGAGACAAAAAAAAAGGATCCTTCTTAAGAAAAGCTGGAGGCCAGGCACGGTGGCTCACGCCTGTAATCCCAGCACTTTGGGAGGCCGAGGCGGGCGGATCATGAGGTCAGGAGATTGAGACCATCCTGGTTAACACGGTGAAACCCCGTCTCTACTAAAAATACAAAAATTAGCCAGGCGTGGTGGTGGGTGCCTGTAGGTCCAGCTACTCGGCAGGCTGAGGCAGGAGAATGACGTGAACCCGGGAGGCGAGCTAGCAGTGAGCCTAGATAGTGCCACTGCACTCCAGCCTGGGAGACAGAGTGAGACTCTGTCTCAAAAAAAAAAAAAAAAAAAGAAAAAGAAAGAAAGAAAAAGAGAAACTAGAGCAGGCCGGGCGCGGTGGCTCACGCCTGTAATCCCAGCACTTTGGGAGGATGAGGCAGGCGGATCACAAGCTCAGGAGTTCAAGACCAGCCTGTCCAATATGATGAAACCCCCGTCTCTACTGAAAAATACAAAAATTAGCCGGGCATGGTGATGGGCACCTGTAGTCCCAGCTACTTGGGAGGCTGAGGCAGGAGAATAGCTTGAACCCGGGAGGCTGAGGTTGCAGTGAGCCGAGATCACGCCACTGCACCCCAGCCTGGGCGATAGAGTAAGACTCCCTCTCAAAAAAAAAAAAAGAAGAGCAATGTTTTTCAAACTGAAGAAATAACATAGGAGTAGGGACATCCATTCAGTTGTGTATGACCAGCTTTCAATTTAAAACAATACTTAAAGAAAGAAACAGAATAAACTAGAATGTATTGGATGAAGTAATGGTAACTTTTTTTCTTGAAACTTTTGTCTGATGTAGACTATAATTTGAAAGCCCATGGCTAAAAGATACTAACCTTTGAAACGAAGTAACGTAGATATATTAGTAATATAAAAACCAATGTGTTCAGTGCTCTTTTTATTTTGGAAAGTTATGGGCCATTTAAGCTTTTACATATTTTTTTTCTTTAAAAGTCGTTGACTCAGTAATTGAGCATCTAGATGTTCTGGAATCTGTGCAGGCTCTGGAACCACCAAGCT
Organism: Homo sapiens; assembly: GCF_000001405.40. Taxonomy (NCBI): domain Eukaryota; kingdom Metazoa; phylum Chordata; class Mammalia; order Primates; family Hominidae; genus Homo; species Homo sapiens. The sequence continues at coordinate 174,352,901 of NC_000005.10, read as the reverse complement.
AAGTAAAATACAGCCTGTGACATGGAAGAGCTCACCATTTGCTGGGAAAGACTGACTCAAAAACAGATGTAACAGAGACAACAGTAATTAATGAACTAGTATTCATGATCTTCTACCTTCTCCCATGGCTGTTGGGAGAGAGATCTTTGCTTGTTGAGTCAGCATCCAGAAACTAGCTAAGGGAGAAAAAGCTAGAGATACTAAATTGATATACGCAGAACAGAGCTGAGAGAGGGATGGGAGCAGATCTGCTGTGTTGCAGGGAACACCATTCACATGGTATTCTATGGAAATAGCATCTTTGGAAGCTCCACTCCAAAGACTATAGTGGGAATGGTGTCCGTCATGTGTGTAAGTCAGTGGCCTTGATAAGAAGGCAGAAATAAATAAACACGCAAGGCAGATGTCAGAGGTAGCTTTAGAAAGTTAGGATTTGGGAGAGAGAGAATGAATGAGTTAGTTTAGGGAACAACTGTTGACTGAGAAGGATATTGAAAGAGTCAATCATTGGGATATAATTTTTTTTATTATACTTTAAGTTTTAGAGTACATATGCACAATGTGCAGGTTTGATATATAGGTATACATGTGCCATGTTGGCTTGCTGGATCCATCGACTTATCATTTACATTAGGTATTTCTCCTAATGCTGTCCCTCCCCCTATCCCCCACCCCTGACAGGCCCCGGTGTGTGATGCTCCCCGCCCTGTGTCCAAGTGATCTCATTGTTCAATTCCCACCTATAAGTGAGAATATGTAGTGTTTGGTTTTCTGTCCTTGTGATAGTTTGCTGAGAATGATGGTTTCCAGCTTCATCCATGTCCCTGCAAAGGACATGAACTCATCCTTTTTTACGGCTGCACAGTATTCACTGGGAGATAATTTTAAAGATGTGTAGTATTAATTGGAAATTCATTCCCCTCTTTGCCATTTCCATGGCATGTCTCAGCAAAGATTTTAACTACTTTTTACTACTTGTGTGTTGCATAGTTGTGCTTTTTGGGACTTGAGACTGGGCTGACAGTGGACCACTGTGTTGTCTGAAATTTACTTGAGTTACAGAACCATGGTAAAATTATGGTATAGTGTATTAAAGAGACAATAGTGCCTGAGAACACAGATGAAGAACCAATTATTTTATTCTTCCTGGATGGGAGGAACAGGTTGGGCTAGCTAAAGGAGAAGCTTTTTGAGCTAGGGCTTCAAAGAAAAAAAAAAACTAGCCTGGTAGCATAGGTGAATAAAAATTCCAAGCAGAAATAATACGATGGGGCAGGAATGGAGATGTGAAAGTTATGACATGTTGAGAAAATGGGATGGCTTGATAAGGTTGGGTTCTGGGGTGATATGGTTAGGCTTTGTGTCCCCACCCAAATCTCATCTGGAATTGTAATCTCCATAATCCCCATAATCCCCGTGTGTCAAGGGAGAGACCAGGTGGAGGCAATTGAATCATTGGGGGCGGTTTCCCCCATGCTGTTCTCATGATAGTGAGTGAGTTCTCACAAGATCTGATGGTTTTATAAGGGGCTCTTCCCTCTTTGCTGGACATTTCTCCTTCCTGCTGCCTGGTGAAGAAGGTGCCTTGCTTCCCCTTCACCTTCCACCATGATTGTAAGTTTCCTGAGGTCTCCCCAGCCATGCTGAACTGTGAGTCAATTCAGCCTCTTTCCTTTATAAATTGCCCAATCTCATGCAGTTCTTTATAGCAGTATGAAAACGGACTAATACATGGGGTAAGTGAAGGAGAGTGGAGATTATTCCAGAAAGTTCATTTATTAACAGATCTGCAGATCAGAGATGTCTAAAACTCTTTATCCTGAGGAAAATGGGAATCAGTGAATGACTAGTGCATGGTCGGATTTCCATTTTGGAATGGCCGCCCTGCGGTGTGGGGAAGGTCAGAAGTAGCAACAAAGAATGCGGATGACAAGTCTGGGGCTGGCACAGCTCCCCTGAGAAAGCTGAGGTGGTGCAGTTAGGGTGACAGCAGTTGTGATGGGGATGAGAGATTGGACGGGAGGGTCATCAAGGATGGCTTTAAATATGGGATTGAAGGACAGGGAATAATCACCTGGGTGAGGTTGTTGGGCCAGTCTGAGAACACTGGATGGGGAGCAGGCTTTGGAGAGAAGATGGCCAGTTGAATTTTTGACATATTTTAAAATCTGTTTTGGTGGCTAGGAAAGAGTTACTTGGGCTGGTCCATCTGATTCTCCAGCTAATGTTCCTCTACTCTAACCCTGCACCATCATGCAACACGGCCTCATGAATCTGCCTTTTCATCCGCCACCCCTGACTCCTTTAACTCATAGCTTCCTCTACCTAGAGGGTGCTTCTCTCCTTCCCTCACCTAGCAAACTCCTCCTAATCTTGGACATTCCAGGTGTTCACTGCCTTCCCTGGCTTACCACTTCCCATCCTTCCAGTCAAGGTTGGGCTTCACTCCCTCCCTGAAGGAATTCTTGGTTGTCCTCTTTTATGTGTACCATGTTAGCCCAGTGCACATGATTTGCCTGTCTGTCTCATTCATAAGACTGTAAACTATTTGAAAGAAGAAATCAGGCATTTCCTGAATCCAGAAAAAGGTCTGGGGCAGGGTTGATGCTGAATCCTTACAGAATAAATGAATGAGTTACAGTATTTTTAATTACCTTAGCTGAGTCCAGACTAGCTAAATTATTTTCTCTTTCCATAGCTACTCTGCCTCTGTGCCTTTTCCAAGTGACTATTTACACATATTCATATGGACGAGAGTTTTGGGACACTGAGAAATGAACATTTTTATTAGAGGACATGCCAGGAGAGCTGGATGGATGAGGAAAAAGCAGTGTTTGCCTTCCCCAGGGTTCTTTGGACTAGCTTGGAGACCCTTGAGTGGAAGAGTAGAAAAGGGATAGAGTTTCCATGACACCATACTATCATTAGAATAGGTATGATCTTTGTAGACAAAGGTTGATAAGGCGTGGGACATTAAAATTAATTCCACCTATTTCTTTGTACTTTTTTTCTAATGTGGCTACTAGAAAACTGACTAGCATTATATTTCTACTGGACTGCACTTCTATAAACTAGAATATAACCATTTAATGAATGAGGTACCCCTATAGATACCAGGAAGGATGATCTCCAATATAAATTCACTATTAAGGGAAGAAGGACAGTTGTGTTGCCCTAGATGCTAAAGTGACTCCATCTTGGAAGATAATCTGACATGTTGATCTCTGATTAATGCAGGTTCTGGGAATCTCTAAGATTTCCAGTTTCGCTATTGTTCCCTGTAAATCCTGCCTTTAGATCAAATCAACCTTGATAAACTCATACTTAACTTATGTTTCTGCCCTTAGGTTAAATTAAGCAGGTACTCCCTTTCCCTACAGTATATAATTCCTGAGTCTGGAAGCAACGGTGTCCATAAGTTTCCCAGTAAAATCGCCCTATAATGACAAGCTGGACTTGTTTGCCTCCTTCTCTGGTTTCTTGAATCCTTTTGTGTTTGGGGGGCAGCTTTGCATATATGGCCCTTTAATGGAACAGTAGCTAAATATATCACCCAATTAAAAAAAGAACAAGTATATACACATTTCAAAGAGAAAGAGGAAAGATGAAGACAGAGTATCTGAAAGGGCCCAGAAGGGACCCGATGGTGTACCCAAAGCTGGGAAGTGAGCAGTAGTTAATAAGAGTACTCTTGACAAGCTTCAGCAGAATTAGGAAAAGTCAGTAGAATGGTGAACCATCCTGGGGAAAGGTACAGTTTTGAGGAAGAGAGATATGTGGGAATTTGATATTTTACTAGATTTTATGATAATGACATGTATGCATTCTGTAACTTCTGAAATAAAAATTGATCATAAGACAGGCAGATCATCATTGTTGACAGCTGACACTGGTCCTGGAGGTTGTATCCGGACTCTTCAGAGGCTGGCCTGTTTCACCTGGCTCCCACGCACTTTCTCCTCTAGTACTAATTCCACGGAGGCGGCTGCATGCCCCATTTGATAAATTCCTTGTCGATAGCTCAAGCCAACTGAAATAATAATGGAAGAAACTTCTGCTTCTGCCAAGAACTGAGAAGTGGAATGACGCTAGTGAGTGTTTCCTGAAGCCAAAGGCAGGTTTCCTATAATTAGAAGCAATTTGCTGGCAAGTTTACTAGGCTCTTCCAAAGCATACAATATGGCAAATTGTTAAAGGTTTCTTTATTTTTCCTTTCCTCTTCATGACACACTGCAGATGGAGAGTGTGAAATACTCCCTTTTCTTGGGCTGGGGTTGTTATTTTAGAGGATCACATCTTTGCCGAGTCAGTGGAGTGGGAAGAATGAACCAATTTTTTGTGTATCATTGTGGGAAATGGGAGCAAATTCAGAGTCATATTCTAAATATTTTGAAGCTCAAGCCTTTCCAACTCTCTCCACTGAGAGACCTCAGCTTTAGCCAAGCAGGATCTAGAAAGTGAAATATAAACCAAGACCAAGCCCATCAAATTTCCATTCCAGTGTATAAGAAAATAGGAAACTCGGCATGTATTTACTCAAAGAGATATTCCCATTTTTGTATTCCGAAGTGAGTCTCAAAGGCCAGAGGTGCAGAAATTGATAGACTGACATCTACTGAGCACCTAGGATTTTTCCAGCTCTGTGCCAGGAACCTGGCCCATTACTATGTAGTGTAGTCCCCACCACTGTCCCCACCCCCATAGCCCCTCAGCCCTTTTGTAGGTAATAACACTATTCTCAATTTACAGACAAAGAAACCAAGACCCGGCAAAGCTAAGAAACTTTCCCAGGGTCAGAGGCAAAGCTAAGACTCAACCCCAAGTCTGACTGACTCCTAAACCAGTGCTCTTCCCCGTGCACCTGTCTGCCCTGCTCTTGGGGTCAGTCTTAAAAAAATGGAGGGTTGGTTCCCAACGTCAGAGCTGACTACAGGATTCGCAGACCCTCCTAGTCTGTAGCATCTAAGAGAGGGAGTCAGAGTAGGAGTCGTAAGACTTAAGAAACCTCCTCCCTGACCCAGGAGCCATGGCTTTACAGGATTTTTGACAGTCACCTTTCTAGGAGTCTTTTGATCTGGATTTAGCTGACCACTTTACTCAACAACAGGAGCAAGTGTTCAGCCAAGCAGTCCTGGAAAACCCATGACTCAGGATGCCATTTTCTCAGCCCCGCATTGTAACCTTGGTCATGCTGATGTTCTTAAACACCAGGAAGATGGTCTCCTCAATCTTGCTTGCCCATTTCTCTATTGAAGAGAGAAAAGCAGTGAGTGCTGGGGGTCATGCAGTGTGTCTGTACAGCATGACTCAGAATGAGAGGGGCATTATTCCAGGAGAAGTCCTCCATGCAAAGGAAAAGAAACTGGTTAATTGATTAGCCTCCCATCTGCCACCTACACACCCATCCATCCATCCATTGACATTCTTCCATTCATCCACCCACCCATCCATTCACACATTTATCCATCCATCCACTCATCCATCCATCCATCCATCCATCCATGTATCCATCCACGCACTCATCCATCCATACATACACATACATCTACTCACCCACCCATCCATCCACACCCATCCATCCACTCACCCACCCATCTATCCATCTACTCATTCATTCATCTATTCAGCCAGTGCAATGTCTGAAACAGAGCAGACAATAATTGAGATAATAGCCCCAAATGAAAAGAGATTAGGGTGATAAGATAATAGACTCTTGATTTTCATTTAAATTTTTTTGATGATTTTTAAAAATCTGAAGCCTTAAGGAAACAGGAAGATCATCAAGAAAAAAATGTGGGTTTTGGCAATAGGCATAAAGTCAAATTCTGACTCTGCCCTTTACCAGCTGGGTGAAGCTTGAACACTTTTCTCGGCTTTTGTTTCCTTATCTACCTTACAGAGGCAGCAACATCCACTTGGTGGTGGTGAAGGATGATTGAGATACTTGGACTGGAAAGCTTCTAGCCAAGGCTGACACATAAGGAAGATTTTAGGATGACTTTGTTGAATGGATAGAGAAGGAGGAAGAGCATGGTATATGGGGTCTCTGTTACCCTGAATGGTGAATTTCAGCTGATGTTGTAACCAGATGCCACCTTCTCTTTTTCATGATTAGATAACACATAGATTACCCACCTACGGGATGGAAGCTGTTAGAAGCTGGCCTTTCGGAGAGCAAGTGGGGAGGCAGGTGATGGTGTTTCAACGCCTTGCTCTAAGCCTCTTTATCAAAGTGGCTACATATCCCACCCAAATTGCCTTTGAAACTTGGCAAGTTCACTTGACCTGAGAGGTTAAGTGCTGCTGGAACCCCAGCTGAACACATTGTCCTGGGAATAGAAAAGTTTTGCCAGCTATGCCTTCCTGCATAGGAAGGTTTAGTCTGCTTACAGCTCTCCCACCCTTAAACTGGTTGGAGTGTGGCTTCTCTGGGTACCTAGAGAAGAAAGCCACTCCAGGATTTTGATGAACCTCTTGACCAAGCAGCACATGCCTTATATCTTGGGAAGTTCATGGTAGAACCAATTTAGCAGGTGAGGAAAGAAACAAACAACGAGAGAGGATGGTGGCGGTGATCAAGATTATCGCTCATGAATTCACATCGTCAGCTGCACTGTGATAGCATCACTTTTGGATTTGCCCAACCGTGTTGAACAGGCCTTTGGAGAATACCAGCAGCTTAGAGTCCCAGGTTATCCCTGAAAGCGGCCTCCAGGGAGCCAAGCTGCATCTCATTAATCAAGATTCTAATTATTCAGATGTTCCAGCTGTCTTTTTTTCATAGCATAGGAGGCTTAAAGCTTCTGCTGGCCTGGGGGGTGTGTGTGTGTGTGTGTGTGTGTGTGTGTGTGTGTGTGTGTGTGTGTGTGTGTGTGTGTGTGTGTCTTACGTATCAAGAAGAAAGCTCCTATTGGAGCACAGGTGAGTCAGGCTTGCATCAGGAGGTTCCTACAGGTGTGTTCTTGTAATGATAAGAAACTAGAGGTAATCAAAATGTCCCCAAATAGGGAGTGGTTAATTTTTTTTTCAATTCTAGCCATCTTATGGAACACCATGTAGCTGTTAAAAATGAATGAAAATTTCCTTCTCTAGACATTTTGTATAAGTATATTTCATATCATGTTTCTTTCCCTTTACAAATATGTATTATTGTGTCATGAAAAAACAAATGCATTTTGTTAAAGAAGACAAGGGCAAAGTGGGTCACTGAGATGTTTCTGGGGACACTGAGATGAAGCATAACAAAAATGCATCCACACAACTTCCAGAATGAAAGCTCCCAGGGGCTAGGTGCTGGGCTGGCCACTTGGCATAAGTACCTGTTTAACCCTCAAAAAAACGATACATTGAAGTGACCTTATTTGGAAATAGGGTCTTTGAAGATGTAATCAGGTTAAGAAGAGGCCATTGCGGGAAGTGGGGAGGCTCAACTCAGTATAACTGGTGTTCTTTTAAGAAGAAGGGGCACAGAGACCCAGGCAGGGAGAGCTCCATGTGGCCACAGAGGCCGAGAGGGGAGTGATGTGTCCACAAGCCAAGGAAAGCCAGGAATTGCCGGCAGCACCAGGTGCCAGGAGAGAAGCCCAGAACAGATTCTCCCCTAAAACTTCAAAAGGGGCACGGCCCTGCCAACACCTTGATTTTACACTGCCAGCCTCTAGAACTGCGAGGGAATATGTTTCTGTTTTAAGCCACTCCATTTGTGGTACTTTATTATGGCGGCCTCGGATACTAGTACAATTGTTGCTCCCTTTTTACAGAAAAAGTAACTGGGGCTTAGACAGGAAAAGAGGCAGGTCCAATGTGACACAGGCTGGAGGTGGCTGAGCTGGGATTCTAACCCAGCTGTGTGGTGAGCAGGTGGTCTGTCTGGTTCCACAGGGCTCCCTCCCACTTCCCACGCAGGCATTATGGGCAGCGTTACCATTCCTACCCTACTCCGTTAGATAGTACTGAGAATGTATTTCAGTCCCTTAAGTGAAATATATGAGGGGGGTAAATTTTCAGATCAGATAACTAAGCCTAAGAGAAGCAATCAGAGCAAGAGGTTACCTCCCACATCCAAATGGCTTTTTAGGAAAAAGCTCCTTCTACTTGGTTCTTGGGAACATTCAATGGAGACACAGTTTTCACCTCCCTCACCTCCCAACGAAATTTTCCTAAGGATCAGGTCTACCAAATCTTGCCAGAGGAAGAATAATTCTTTTCCTTTGGCCACCAATGCAGAAGCTGGCTGTGTTGGAGGCAGGTAACAGGGAAAGAAAATTTCACCCAGCTCTGCCCTCCTCTGGCAGAACTGTACTCCACTCCAAAGGGGCAGGTTCAGAGCCCATGGCAGACATTCCCAGGTCTGTCCCTTTTTCCTGTGCTCAGAGTGGATCTAATGAATATGCAGATATGACACCTGGAATGACCAGAAGGCAGATGGTGGCTCCTACTCACGCTAGGTATTCAGCTGCAGTCGTCCAGCCCTGCACAGGCAGGAAGCCCAGGCGGCGCTAAGGGCTTTGCTTGTGCTTTCCCATTGAATCCTCACAACACTGCCTTGAGTTAATTACTGGTGTCATCCTCATTTTACAGCCCTGGAAATGGAGGCCCAGAGAGGGGAAATAACTTGTCCAAGCACACACAGCTCATCACAGAAAAAGGCATGGCGCTAGGCAGTAAGACCCCAGGGCTAAGCTATACGACTGTCTTCAGTGATTGGGAGCTTGTGCTGTGGAATCACACAGCCTTTGCCCAAATCTTCTGCTTCGGGCTGTAAATGAGGATAATATTTGCACTTATCTCCAGATTGTCAGGAGGATGGATTGAATGTTTCAGCAGTGAGTGTCTGGGAGTGTCCGGCAGGGCTTTACAAAGGCGGCAGTTGTCATTCGGGCTGGTCCCCATCCTGGAATGCCTCCCTTTGTTCTTGCTCCTCACCAATATGAGGGTCCGGGCGGGGAGGATCCATATCTCACCTTTCTTAGTTCCCAACTGAGAGGCACAGGCCAGGCCCTCAGGACAGTCTCAGGAGGTAGCATGACATGATGGCCTTGGGGTTTTTCAACCCCAAGGTTTTTCAAGCCTTAGGGTCTCATTCCAGATAAGAGGGAGCTGGGGTCACATAGGGGCCTTGCTGATTTCCGGTGGGCTACTTCTCCTCTCTGAGCCTCAGTTTTCTTAGGTATAAAATAGGGCCCATAATGCCTCCTTCCTGGGTTGTTCAGAGGACGCAATTCAATCTCCTATGTGAAAGGTACCTGCCAAAGCAAGTGCCCATGAAGTCTCTTTCTTTCCCATTCTCTCTTCTGTCCTTTCTTTTCCACTTCTGTCCTCACCTGTAAAAGGGGCTGAACTGGAAGGTCCATCTCCCTGGGTCACATAAAGGACGAGTGAAAGCCTTCTATCACCCCTGCGGCACTGGACACGTCCATCAGAAGTGAATTGAAAAGAAACATCTAGAAACACAGAAATCATTTGCTTTTCCTGCCAGAGAGGACTGGGTCCATTCCCCATCTACCGCAGCTCATGGAAGTTAGAGGCCGAGGGATAGAATGGTTTCTTGGCAAGAAAAGAACAAAGCCCTGCAGAGTGAAGAAAATCCTAACACACCTTTCCAGAATATTATACCAAGCGAGAAATGGTTTCAGCTGAAGCTGTCTGAATAAATTACTGGCAGTTGGAGGGTGAGGAAGTGGAGCTAGGAATGCGTTTATAGAATGTATTTCTATGTCAAACTTAGATCCTGCTCTGTATATTTTTGTGGCTTTTAGACACAGGATATTTTACCAGCTTCTTTTTTCCTCAAAAAGCAGTTGTGCAAGTTAGGAGAAGGCTCCAGACAGAGCTCCAAGAGGGATATAAACTCTCCCTTTCTTCAAAAAATTGTATAAGAAAAAAGAGACCTTTTACTGAGAGGTACACATTCAGAGACATAATTCTTAAAGTTGAGTTGGTAAATCTTTGAATGCAGCCTTAAGATACTCTACTTGGTAAACTCCTACACATACGTCAAAGCCTAGATAAAAGTTGTCCAGCTCTGAGACCCTTCCTGACATGCTCCTAAAGCCAATGGGCCCCCTCCTTTTGTGCTTGAACTACCTATTGTAGAGGCCTCTGTCATAGCTCAAGATACCCTGTTGATTTCTGATAGAAATAGACACCCTTGTCTGTGTCTCACCAGAGGCTGTGACCTCCTTGGTCACATATTGACCATATTGATCTATATTGGATCACTTTTGATCCATATTGTTACCAAATAACTCAGCACAGGGCCTTCCACAGAGCAGGTGCTTAGCTAATGGATTAATGAGTGAAGTACGTGCATTCATTTATAATAAGCAAGGGAAGAATACAAGGTCATGAGGAAACATGGCACAGAAGATTCTTCCGAAGGAGGGTAGCTGGGCAGAGGGGTGGCTTGTAACATTTTCTGAAAAGTCACCAGCACCTCATTTTGCCAGACCAACAATATTAAGAGTGACCTATTACACACTGTTGAGGTTGATCTTATTGGGTATGAGGTCAGCACTTAAGAGAAGAGTAGAAATAGTGAAGACTTACCCCCTACCCCTGAAATTCTTTACGCTCATAAATAACAATAAAAAATGGCCTTATAAGCCGGGTGCGGTGGCCCACGCCTGTAATCCCAGCACTTTGGGAGGCCGAGACAGGTGGATCACAAGGTCAGAAGATTGAGACCATCCTGGCTAACATGGTGAAACCCCGTCTCTACTAAAAATACAAAAAATTAGCCGGGCGTAGTGGCGGGCGCCTGTAGTCCCAGCTACTTGGGAGGCTGAGGCAGGAGAATGGCGTGAACCCTGGAGGCAGAGCTTGCAGTGAGCCGGGATCGTGCCACTGCACTCCAGCCTGGGCGACAGAGCGAGACTCCGTCTAAAAAAAAAAAAAAATGGCCTTATATATCCAACCTCATAGATGATTTTCTCAATTTATCCACTTTTTTTTTTTTTTTTTTTTTTGGTGGCTCTTAAGTGTTCCTTCAGTTTTCTCTTTGGAAAAGTAAGATTCCATCATCCCTCAATTCCCTGTCTTTGATGGCTGAGAAAACCTTAAAATCATCCCCACACTCTTTCCACCCATTTTGGGAATGGGAATTAATGGCGTCAGGCCAGAGGACCTCCTGGCCCAAGGGCCTATGCCCACAGAAGGAAGGGCAGGCAGGGCCCTGGGCATGAGCTACACTGCATCTCATCATGCCATTAGGTCAAGGTAGAAGCAGCATCTCCATGTTTATTTATTTATCTTTTTATATAAAATATCATTTAATGCTATTATTTTTAAAATCTGTACATACACCGTAATGTATACGTACACACCACACATCACACACAAACATTTGCAAGGGACAGGAAACCCTCGCAAAGTAGCTTAAGAAAAAGTTGAAGGGAGTTCCTTGTCTCAAACCTCAAAAGGGCAGGAATCAAGCAGGCCTTGGGGATGGCCGAGCCTGTTCCCTCTTTTCTTTCTCTCACGGAAGATAAGCTTCTTCATGTGTCAGGGAACAGGGCTGCTGCCAGGCATAGATTCACATTATTCCAACTCTACGTCTGGAAACACAAAGAAAACTCTTGCCCCTGATTCCAACAAAAAATTCAAGGAAGAACTCTGACTGGTGAAGCTTTGAGACACTCCTGCCTCTGTGTTGGTGGTGGAGGGCGCTGTTTATCCAAGAGGGTGGGTGACTGGGTCTTGGACAGACATGGATTAGCCATGACAGTATATGACTTGCTAGGCTTCAGGTAGAACCTTGGAATCCATATTTTTAAAAATTCCATAGGTGATTCTATTGTGCACTCCCAATTGGGAAACACTGATCTATCTATACCTTGAATATATATGGATATAATGTATTAAGGAATGCATTCTAAGACCCAAGGAAGCTGAAAGAAATCACCTAATTTCTACCTTCGGTAACTACTTAGGTGTCTACTCCATGCTAAGTTTAAAGACATGCAGACAAATAAGATTTGTATCCCATTGCTAAGGAGCTACTGTTTAGTGAGAGAGACATATACAAATAAAAAGTGACAACTGGGAATAGTCTTCGGTACCTTAATGCATCAAGGAAGATGCCTGAAGTCACTAGGGAAGTATTTCCCAAGGAAGGAACATTTGAACTTGGTCTTGAGAGATTAAATAGGAGCTTGGTCATGCCAAGGAAATGCACTTAGCCTCAAGGGAACAGGATGTTGGAGGATCTGGTGAAGCTTTAGTGCCTAGTCCTTGGATATGCCCCTTTCTCGTTAGGCTTCATGAGTTCCAATCCCACCTTTACCACTTACCAGCCATATGACCTCAGAAGAAGTGCCCGAGTTACATGCTATTTCGGGTACCTTAATCTTCTCATTTATAAAATGGAGTTACTAATCTCATCCTCATGGGATGTTATGAAGATCACATTAGACGATATTATAAAATAGGTTTGCATACCAGGCTTTTGAATCACACAGACCTCGGTTTGTGTGCTGGCACCATTGCTTGTTCACTGTGGTCCTGGGAAAGTTGTTCTACCCTCTATTTCCTCATCTAAAACACTGTGGAAAATAACAGCACATCTCTCAAGGGTGATTATGAAGCTTAAGTAAGAAATGGTGTATGCAAAGTATTTGGCTCAAAGTCGGATACATGGTAAGCACTAAATACACCTTGTAAATCATTATGTAATAATTACTTTGCAAAGTCCTTAGTGAAGTGCTAGACACACAGTAGGTGTTCTGTGTCTTCCCATTACAGCTGAGACTGGCCTGTGCCTGGAAAGCACTCTTGAAAATCTAACTGGACAGATACCAAGAGGGAATGTGGATGGGGGACGGGGGGCCCAAATCCACCCTTGCTGAGGTTGTGTGTCAGGCTGAGAGGTTGCTCCATGCAATCCAGCTCAGTTTTCTTAGGCGGAGACCCAGAGTCTAATGAATGGAAAGCTGACATGCCAAGGAGTTCATTCTGGAAGAGAATTAGACCCATTTGAAGAAAATACTTCAATCAGCTCACCCATTCCACATGGAGTGGCATCCTGGCATATGTCATGAAATCACCTAAATCATGGGATGGTACGGTCTCTCTTTCCTCAGGAATGTCTGAGAAGCAAAAAGCGTGTTCAGATGGCCATACAAACAGGCAGCCAGGATATGCTCCTGAGTAGGTGAGCCTGCTGGGAGTGGGTAGGGATGAAGTCATGAAGAGATCAGAGCTTGGTATCTGCATGCCCATGGCCTGAGCAATGTCTTCTACCTTCATCAGACCTAACCAGGGCCTGGAAAACCCAAGATGCCCCTTGAGCCAAACTTCATCAGAAGAAGGGTGGTAATGTTTATGGAGTGCCTTCAGTCAGACAGGCTCTAGGCTGTTTTTCCAAACCTTGAAACCCTGAGATGAGCAGGGAAGTGACATGCCCAAGGTCAGAGTCTGTTTCCAATGAGGGTCTGCCGGGTGCCAAGGCCTGGGGTGTTCCATTGGCAAATTCCCACGAAGCTCGCTGTGGTGAGGAAACCTGTTCCAGAGTCATCCAGACACTGGTGCTGCACTTAGCAGCTGTGTGATCTTACAGGCACCTTTCTCCCTCAGAGCCTCGATTATCCCCATCTGTGAAATGGGAATAGCAATGCCTGTCTCAAAGGATCATGGTGGGGACTCTATTGCAATGAAGGCTGTGAAAATACTATGAGAATGATAAATTGTCTGTACACATGCACAGAGCTTATTTTATTCTGAGTTCCCAAAGGGATTCAGAAACCAAGAGAAGACAGGGGGAATGGCAGATAGGGCGGAGAATTAACTCTTAAGGGTGGCCAGGCTGGAAATTCCCCAGGGAGCAGCTGGTCCTTATTGGGCATCTATGAAAGGTTTCGCAAAATCTTGGCACAGGGGAATAAGAAAGAAATGCAAGACAGGGGACTTCTAAGGCTACATTTTGAGCCCTTCGAACATGGTGCCCCAACCAGCACCTCTTTGATTTCCAGGCTCCTGGAACAGGATACTGATGCTGTAATGTGCACACTGTGTGAGCAGAGAAATGGGCTCAGGTTTCAAACTGAAGCCACGAACCTCCAGTGTGGAGTCTGGCTGGTGAAGCTCCTCCCCACTGCAACACAGCTTAGAGATGGCACAGGGGTTGTTGTTGTTTTTGTTTGTTTGCTTTAAATCAACCTGTTCTCTTGAGGCTTTCCTTAAACGTGCTCCATCTCCAGGCAGTCCTAAGCCATTTTTTTCCTTTGCTAGGGATTTTTCATTCTCATCTCTAAAGGCATTTATTCTCTTTCAGTTTTCAAACCAGATATGAAGGGCACTATTTAAAAATTGGAAACCTTTCCTTGTGCAGTCAGTTGATAAGAAAGTTCCAAGGCCTCAGGGCACTGAGAGCAGGGAGAGGCTGAGTCCTGGACAACCTCACAGCAGGCAACGCCCGCCCTGGGCTTCTGGAGAACAGGGAGAGGAGTGTGGGTTGGGAGGCCCGCAGGGGTGTGGGCATGGCCAAGGCATAATTGCCAATCGCTGGCTGGAGGTGGGAGAGTTTAATCTTCTTCAGGAAATCCTCAGAGTGTGAAAAGTCGGGCCGATATTATAAAAACCCTGCTGAGAGGTTTTAATGGAAGCGGACACGGTGGGCACATTCTCCAGCTCCAATTTTCTCATTCTGAAACTGACCGAAGGAGTGTAGCAAAAACCCAATGCACATCATCTAATATCTCTAATATGCAGCCGCCTTTTAGCCTCTGGAGAAGGACAGGTATTCATTTTCATAAATTACTTTTTAACCATTTTTTTTTCAAAGTTGGCGGGGAGTGGTGAAAGAAAACAGAGACAAAACAGATGCCTTCAGCCCTTTGATCAGCCTCCCTGCAGACAACCCGGCTGCCCGATAGCACCTCTTAACTACAGCTTGCCGGGAAGAAAATGAGGGGTTTTAACGCTGCAATTACAGTGCCTGCTGAAGGCCTGTCATCGCAGCCAGAGGGACCTGATCCCACCAGTTCGGCTGCCCCCAGAATTACAACCATCGGGCAGAAAGTTAAATACCCCCTGCGGCCAGGCAGCTTCCACAGGCCCTGAAGCTCTGGGCCAGCCGCCCCCAACCCCCTGCCCCCTACCATGGTTCCCCCATCCTTGTCTCTATAAATATAGAAAACTAAGACCATACACGCCAGCTCAGCCAGGCCAGACAGAAGAGAAGGGAACAGGAGACAGCGGCCTTATCTCACACCCAGGAGTCGGGGAATGTGGCCGAGGCAGAGGTCAGATTTCTGGAAACAGAAGGGGGGAGGCCTGTTCCCCCCCAACCCCCTGCCACCCCACCGACTATAGCCTCTTGCTTAATCATCTGAGAGCAGTCAGGCTGGCTTTCTGAACACTGAACATCAAACACCTATTGGCTTATCTCAAGAGGAGAGACAGGGGAGGGTAATATTGACTCAGGCCTCTATACTCGCCTCAGGCTCAGCCCCCGGTGCTTTCCATGGGTCCTCCTGCCCCCTGCAGCTGGTATCTACAGGAGATGTTATTACCCAACCCCCTAGCATGGCCCAGGGCCACACACAGTGGAGCCCCCAAGTTCTCTCTGCCACATCTTCCTTTACACTTGGCGCAAATCTACTTGGGATGTCTGCAAACAAGCCTAGCTTTCTTGCCTCTAGGCCTTGGCAGACGCTGTTTCTTCTGCCTGGAGCCCCCTCCTTTGCTGATTTCCCAGCGGACTCCCCCTGGGGAGGCTCTCGCCTTTGAAGGATCTCTCTGAGAAGTCTTGGGGGAGCCCCCTGCCTTGTCCCCAGCATCCTGTGGCATTCCCGGCGCCCCTTCCACGTGAGGCTGCAGGGGTCTGACACCGGGGGTCTTCCTCACTGACTGTGAGCTGCTTAGGGCATTGATGGGTCACAGTCATGCCACACACACTGTGCCTGGTACATGGTAGAACCCTGAAAAGAACTGGTTAGATAAATGAGGGACTGGGAAACTTTCAGAAGAGAAAATTCTTGCTCATAGAAGTTCAGTCACTAGGATGGGGATGCTGGAAGTGGGGTTAAAACCTGGGTCAGCCCGAACACACAGCCAGTTCTTCCCAGAAGGGTGCTCTGCCTGTCTGGGGAATGACAGTACATGTGCCAACAAGGGAATACGCATCCAACACAGTGCCCTGGCTCTCAGGGCCAGGACTAGCCTTGGAAGCAGAACTGAAAGAGGTATCTGAAAAACTCCGTTATCAAAATGAATCATATTTTAACCTGATATCTTCCAACATCAAAACGAACACAAAACCCCACTCTGAACAAAATACCAAATTTTAAAATACAGACAGGGTCAGATTTGCTGACCTCTTCTCTTACCTCAGGTTCAAACATGACTCAGGATGATGCTGTTGGCTTTACGTTGCTGATGACCTTAGACATCCTTCATTGCTCCCTCTCTGGGACTCAGTTTCCCCATCTGTAAAAAGAGTCCAGGCTGGAGGCTCCTAGAGGCTCTTCTGACTTCAGGCTGGTGTAGGTTCATTCCCAGGCCAGCCTGCCTGCGGTTTCTGTCCCTCTGTGGCCCCAAAGCTGGGGAAGGTGTATGGATGGGCACTCACTTCCAGATCACGTCTCAGCCTCCTGATCCTGGGCAGCACCTGGGCTGAGTTTCACAAGTGCCTCCCGAAGAATGCTCAGGAAGGTGCCCGGAACCGAGGTCAACTACAGACGTGACGTTGCTACGTTTTTGGCTCCAAGGGGCTAGGATGACTCAAGGGTAGTGCTTTTGGCTTTTTATGGCCTCAGCGATGACAGCCCATGGTGAAGTCACCCTGGGATGCCAGCTCTCGAGAGTCACTGCTCTTCCTTTATGTGGCTTTTTCACTTATTTGCCTGACTCCGTAGCAGAAATGCTTTTATTTTAAGAACAATGAGAGGGACAACTGGGGAAATGTTGCAGTTATTTGCTTCAATTCTTCTGATGTTTGCTCATTGTTTTGGAATTACATTCTCATTCTGTCTTCTCTCACAAATTAGTGCTATACATCCATTCCAGCCACTCTCTAACTCATTCGTTAGTTGATCCGCTTAAATAAATGGTGCTGGTACCTGTTGAGTGTCCTCAGTGAGCCATGCCAGGCAACCATCCATTTGTCTGTGTAGTCCCAGCGTGCATCATGCACCTACCCCATGCCAGGTACTGGGCTAAGTTCTGCATTTACATGTTGGAGCAAATAAACCACATCTGTATCTTGCAGAGCTGACAAAAGGCTGGAGAACACTGGCATTAGACTAAAAGTAAATCAACAAATCTGTAGCTACCACTTCTGAGAAGAGCTGGAAAGAAAAGGCGCACAGCACTCTAAAAGCTTAAGACAGGAGGATTTAGTCTGGTCTAGAGATCTGAGGAAGCTTCTCCAAAGAAGTGCTAATGCGGGTAAGATATTTGAGGAACTGGGGTACGATGGCTCACGCCTGTAATCCCAGTACTTTGGGAGGCCGAGGCGGGCAGATCACTTGAGGTCAGGAGTTCGAGACCAGCCTGGCCAACGTGGTGAAGTCCGTCTCTACTAAAAATACAAAAATAGCTGGGTATGGTGGCATGCACCTGTAATTGCAGCTACTCAGGAGGCTGAGGCACAAGAATCACTTGAACCAGGGAGGCAGAGGTAGCAGTGAGCCAAGACCGCGCCACTGCACTCTAGCCCAGGCAACAGAGAGACTCTGTCTCCAAAAAAAATTTAAAAAGCTATTTGATGAACTAGGTGAAGTAAGGGAAGGAAGTGCATCTAGCACTTGCAAAGGCCCTGAGATAAGGGGCTGATGAGTTTGAGAAACTGGAGCAGGGCTTAGGTGGCTGGAGTGCAGAGAGCCGTGGGCCTCCGTGTGAAATGCAGCTGAAGAGGTATGAATACACTGAGAGCAGCATGCAGGGCATCGCAGGCCAGATCGAGGAGTTGGAGCTTGACATGATCATCCTGACTGCAGTAGTTGTTACTATTACCATTGTTATCACTATTTTTCCGATGAAGAAAATAAGGCCCAGAGAGGTTCACTCACTCATCCAGCAAACATTTATTAGGCAACTACTATGCGCCAGGCATGGTTCTGGGTGCTGGGATATAGCTATGACTGGGACAGGCTGGGCCTTGTTGCTGTGGAGCTTTTATCCATACATGCAGCAGAGGCAGGATGGAGATCTGGGTCTGCCCGTTCCAAAGCCTTTGCTATTTGCCGACCTTACGGTGTCTTGGGCCCAGCCCTGGGACGAAACATACTCAGGGTACTCCTCAAGAGCTTACCGTCTGGTGTGAGCTGCCACTGTGGTTTGTCCACTGGACCCAGAATCAGTATCCTGCCCCTGCCAGGTATTACAGTTGCTTCCTAAATCTCCAAAGAAAGAGGCTGAAACAGGAATAGGGCTGTGGCCCTGGTGAGGGAAGTGGCAGAGTAAAGCTCTCCAGCCCTGCAGTTGCCGGGCCAAATTCAGACCCACCTTTTAATCTCATTTCCACTTTCGTGGATTAAAGATGGTCACAAATTCTTTACTGATCTTTTCTTCGAGATAGAGACTGCTTCCCTCTCCGTTTTGACTCTGGGCTGTCCTTGTGACATGCTTTGACTAATGCACTGATGAGGCTGGGGTGCCAGCCTCAGCCTCTGTGCTCTGGGAAGCAGCATCCTGGAAGTAAAGCTGCTCAGGCTAACTACTGAATGATGAGCGAGCATGCAGAAAGGGCAGAAGGTAACCCTCCACCCCCTAGAATGAAGCGTGAGAGAGAAGCCTTCTTGGACCCTCCAGCCCAGCTCAGGGGCCTGCTGAATCATCTCAGAGCAACCGGAGGCCAGACCAGCAGAGGGACTGCCCAGGAAACCCAAGGACTCATGGGAAATAATAAACCACTGGGTTTCAAGCCACTAAGTGTTGGGGTGGTTTATTGTTCATTAAGAGATAACTGAAAGCCTGTGGGATATGCCTCAGGAGAAAACGTAAAGGGTGATCTATGACCTGAATAGAAGTTTCTCCAAAGAAGACATACATGTGGCCAGCAGGTATAAGAAAAAGTGCTCAACATTTCTAAAACCCAGAACCACAATGAGATATCACCTCACACCTGTCACAATGACTGTTATCAAAGAAATAAGATATAAGTGTTGGTAAGGATGTGGAGAAATTGGTCCGCTGTTTGTAGGAATGTAGAATGGTACAGCCACTATGGAAAACAGCATGGAGGTTCCTAAAACATCTAAAAATAGAACTACTATATGGTTCAGCAATTCCACTTCTTGGTGTTTATCTAAAGGAAATGAAATCAGGATCTTGAAGAGATATCTGCACTATTGACAAATAGCCAAGATGTAGGAACAGCCTAAATGTCCATCGACAGATGAATGGATAAAGAAAATGTGACATACACAAACAATGGGCTATCATTCGGCCTTTAAAAGGAAGGAAACCCTGCAACATGTGACAACATGGATGATCCCGGATGACGTTATGCTGGGTGAAATAAGCCAGGCACAGAGGGACAGATGCTGCAGGATTACACTTACAGGAGGAATAAAAAATAGCCAAACTCACAGAAGCACAGAGTAGAATGCTGATGGCCAGGGGCTGCAGTGGGACAGAGAAATGGTGAGTATGTGTTCAATGGGTACAAAGTTTTGGTCATGCAAGGTGAATAAGAATGCATCGCACAACATCGTGTCTGTACTTAACAATACTGTATTGAGCACTTAAAAATCTATTAAGAGAGTGGATCTCATGAAGTGTTCTTACCACAATTTAAAAACTAAAATAATGATTTATGGAGAGGAGACATCTGCTGTCCTCACTCGTATCCATTTCCCTTTCTCCTGTTATCAGAGGATCCAGCCTGGTCAGCCCGTTTTTTCCCAGGGTTGCTTGGGGTACCCACTCAGACCACGTGGTGATGGGGGGTCATGTGGGAGGTAAAGCTGATCCTCCTCCTGCTCCAGGAGTGGGCAGTTAACTCAGGACTAGCCGATCAGAGCATGGCATCATCCTGGCCACAGGGATTGGTTCAGAGATGGGCACATGACCCAGTCTGAGCCAATCAGAGCTATTCCTGGGACATTTGCTCTAAAGATTAGGAAAGAAGGAGGAGGGCTCTTTTCTGCTGGATTTTTTTTTTTTTCCCTAGACGGAGTCTCGCTCTGCTGTGCAGGCTGGAGTGCAGTGGTGCAATCTTGGCTCACTGCAAGCTCCGCCTCCCAGGTTCATGCCATTCTCCTGCCTCAGCCTCCCTAGTAGCTGGGACTGCAGGCGCCTGCCACCACCACGTCCAGCTAATTTTTTGTATTTTTAGTAGAGACGGCATTTCACCGTGTTAGCCAGGATGGTCTCGATCTCCTGACCTTGTGATCCGCCCGCCTCGGCCTCCCAGAGTGCTGGGATTACAGGCGTGAGCCACCACGCCTGGCCTTCTGCTGGATTTTAACCTGGGAAGAGGTGCCTCCAGAGCTGGTGATGGCATCTTACCTCCACATGGAGAGAGCCTTTGCAAGAATGGAGTCCATATCAAAGAAAGCAGAGCCATATTGTGAGGAATATTGTGGAGATGTTGTGAGGAATATTGTGGAGATGTCATCTGAAAACCTGGGCTTAGCCATGCCTGAAGCAACTCTAATTCTGGGCTTTTTGTTTATGCAAGCCTACAAGTCTTTCCCTGTGGCAGCCATGAAAATGTGCCACTCATACCTGCTGCCGTGGGACCATGGTTGACTGACAGCCCAGCTGCATGCTCCCCTGCATTTGCCCCAGGCCGTGCTCCTCACAGCAACCCTCGGCTGCTCCCAGCCAATGCCCGACCCCTGGGGGAACTAGTACTGTCCCATTCCTGTGGGTCCCCTCCACCTGGTGACTTAAACTCCAGGACTCCCCATTGGCCTGGCCAAAAATTTTTGGAAATTGCGTGGCAGTCTGAGGCTCCTACCCAAGGCTCCTTCCTCCCCTCTCCCTTCCACAGGGTCAGCCCTGAGTTATCCTGCCTTCCTGCCTCCTCCAGCTGCCTGGCGGCAATCCTTCACCAGTGAACCCCCTAGTAAATCTCCTGTGTGTCTAATTCCATCTTGGCATATGCTTCTTAGAGAACCTCCAACCCCTTTCGAGTACTTTTTAAAGCCAGTTTGACTGGGATTTCTGTCAGTTTCAATGGAATGATTTCTGCTAAGCACAATTCTCCTGCTAAGGCACTATGGCCTTGTCTGGAAGGTGACAAAGACCACGAGATGAATTTAAGTGGAGGGATGTGGTCAGATCTCTGTGGCAGACCTTCTGCCACAGGGGTAGACAAGAAGGGACTGGGGAAAGGAGACCAGTCGGGGTCACTGATAACTCCAGGTGGCATCCGTGTGAACGAACCCAGGCGGGTGGGAGAGTGGATGGAAAGGAGGGGATGGATTTGGAAGATATTTTCAAATAAGTCTCTTTTTTTTTTTTTTTGAGACCATCTCATTCCATTGCCCAGGCTGGAACGCAGTGGTGCAATCATGGCTCACTGAAGCCTCAACCTCCCAGGCCCCCTCCTGACTCAGCCTCCCAAGTAGCCGGGACCACAGGCACTTGCCACCATGCTCAACACTCCTTCTCCACCATGCTCAACATTTCTCCTTCTCCTCCTTCTTCTTCTTACTCTTCTTTTTGTAGAGTCTGGGTCTCTCTGTGTTGCCCAGGTTGGTCTTAAGCTCCTGGATTTAAGTGATCCTCCTGCCTCAGCCTCCCAAAGTGCTGGGATTACAGGCATGAGCCACCACGCCTGGTCTCAAGGAAGTCTTAATAGGATTTGGTGACTGGTTGGAAAGAAGGACAGGTGGAGTGGGCAGGGAGTAACAGAAAAGGCTTCCCCTCACCAACTCCGAATTCTCCTACTATAAATGATCACAATGATGACTCCCCAGTACTGGACACTCCCTGTAGCTGTTTGCTTACATAATATCATAACAGACCCAAGAAGTAATGAACATTATCCACTTTGCAGATGAGAGAACTGAGGCTTGGAAAAGTTTAAAAAGCTTGCCTAACATCTGACAGCTAGTAAATGGTGATGCTGGGATTGAAACCCAGGTCCCACTGGCTCTAAACATCAGGGTGCTCAGCTACCACCCCATGCTGCGGTGTGCCTCAAGAGCTGTTCTGAGGGAGGAATGAGGTGAGGATAGGGAAGCCCTGGCTTGCTGCCCAGTTCAGGACTGCCTCATCATCAATGGGGACCCCTTCTCCTGCCTCCTCCTGAACTGCCACCTCTCAGGCCATCCTCAGATTCACTCTCTGAATGGCCAGAGGTATAGCCCTAAGTTACTCACCACCTTCCGTCCTCTTTCTTCTTATTTCTAGATCATCAGCTGTACTTCTAAAATAGCTTGTTCATTGGCTGGAGAGAAAGAAGGAATAGCAAATAGACCTTGACAAAATGTGACTTCCTTCACTACACTATGATTGGTTTTCTGTATTGTACACATGGTATCAGAACAAGAAGAAGCAAGATTTTGAAATGAACACCATCCCCTCAATCCCTGGGACCCACCGTATCTTATCCTTATGCAGACATGGATGTCATTATGTGGCAGAGGCTCCTGATGGTTAAAATGAACCACTACAGGATTTTATTGCCTTCTTGGAAAGGAAAGGGATTTCGCAGGGAACCCCATCTTCCTCTTGTCCTTTGGCAGCGGCGGATGTCATTTTTGGCAAGCGTGGAAGCCTAGCTCTTCCTACCTTGCACCATCTTCCCCCGTGGATTCCTCATTGATGGTTCTGTGCACCATCCTCCTAATCTCCCACCAGCAAACACACACCACACGGTGGCCTTTTTCAGCAGGAGCCTCTGACTTCTCTTAAGTTCCGATCTTCAGCTGGCCTCTTCAGGAAAGAGGGATGCAAAAGCTCTAGCCCGGGAAGAGCAAGTTGCTGTGGTCAGTGATGGTAACTAAATGGAGCAAAAATCTGGTTTCATGGGGGAGCTAATGAAAACCAGATGGGTCCAGAGAGGTTCCTGGCCTGTCTAACAGACCAGCTGCATTGAAACTGTGCCTACCAGATGCACTGAGATGATTATTTCTTGAATGCACATTTGCTTCTAACTGTCACAATGACTGTGAATTGGCTTAACAAAGAGTAAGTCTACTCTGGCTATCAGCACAGCCAAAATGACCACATCGGGCGTTACAGGTTATTTTGAATGAATAAAGAGGGAAGGGAAGGGAAGGGGTGCGGGAAGGGAAGGAAGCAAGGTGAAATAAGACAAGATGAGCAAGTACCACCTGCTGTGTCGGGCACATCCATGCAGTGTCTCATGAAGTAGCCCAACAAGCTGGGACTGGGGCCCTTTGACCTCTATTTTGCAGGTGAGAGAAGCAGAGGCTCCGAAAATCGAGATTCCCCTTGTGTGCACAGGTGGGGCTGAGCTTTGAATACAGAACTACAAACACAGCAACTACAGATCTAACACTCTGATTTTCCCCTGCAACAGGGGCAAAGCCGTTCCCCTCATTCATACTCAGTCTCTACAAATTCAGTCAGAAAATGACCCCCTCTTTCTGCATTTACTCCTGGGAATGAAAAGCAAGCCCAGACATTGCCGTGGCCCTTTGAAGGGGATCCTCGGCTTTCTCCAGACCTGACCGTGGCATCGGCTTGATAGCAGTAACCGCCTTTTGTTTCAGCTGTGCCTCCACCTGCACAGGCCCCATACCCTGCCCCTGCCCCCTCCAGGTACACGCATATCTTTAGGAGCCCCAGAGGAGGGTCTCCTCGCAGGAGCTCTCCCGACAGTCCCCTTGCCTGCTCCAGCCACCTCATGAGGCACACTGTCACTAAGTCACTTTGTGCCCTGGTTCCAAACACGTTCTGGGAGTGCTGTCACCCCAGGGATCCCCTGGACCTCCTTGCCATCCACAGGCCCACAGGGCTGAGCCGGCAGGACGCTGTGCAAGACAGACCCAGGGGATCCTGTCCCCCACCTTCCTTAGACTCAGTGTGCAAAACCACTTCTGCATCCTCCTTCAATCAAAGACAACAAAAAATCTCACTAAGTCGACTCTTGGAGGACCTGCCCAGACATATCCCAAACAGGCCCAGGCTTGCCCAAATTCCTGAGTGGGCTCAAGCTAGAGTTCCTGCCTTCCAATTTGGTTTAGGAAACAATTTTCTACACAGTCTCTCAAATGAGCTTCCGAATAATCCTATGAAGTTGGCAGGAAAAATAGTTCTCCTTTGCAATTGGGGAGGCGGAAGCTCAGAGCATCACGTGGAGGGTCCGGTTAGACTCCTGTCTCCTGAGGAGCACGGCTTCCCACTCCTCTCAGTCACCTGCTTCTCATGGTCTGGCGCCCAAGAGCAGGAGACTGGATTCCCACCCCAGCTTCTTAACTGGTTTCTTGACTCCCTTCAGCCTCAGTTTCCTCATCTGGAAAATAGAAATAGAAATCATCTGGACCCCATAAGCCCCATAAGCTGTGAGGATTGAATGGACGGATGTCTGGAAAAAGCCACGCGACGCTCCCGACACCCAGAAACTACTAGCTGGCCAACAGCTACCTACGCTGATGGGCCAGAGGGGAGATCGGTGAGCAGAAGCCTGTGGCTTTGAAAGGCATTCACCCTTCATTTGAAGAGATGCTCTCATCCCAACTCGGCGCTTTTGCTGTACAACGGGTATAAAATTCCATCTCAGTACACAGAGTTATTCTTGTAAGGATAAAGCAACAGTTAATGTGACCATTTCTTTGGAAACGGTGACTGGTTAATGTGTTATTATTGTCACTAGCAGCCCGTCACCAGCAGCCTGTCCCCAGGTGTGACCGGGCCCCCTCCAGCCTTCCCTGCAGAAACCGTAATGGACGGGTCTCTGACTCTGGGAAAGGAACTGAGACATGTCTCACTGACTGACTGAGCCCCCAGGGTGTGAGCAGCACATTCGCTTACCCCGGTTCCTCCAACTCAGGTGAAGCCGTCCCATTTTTACAGATAAGGAAACTGAGGTTCAGAGGGGTGGCCCCACATGCCCAGGGTGGCACAGCAGGGGAGTAGAGAATCAGGGATTCCAACTCAGTGCCACCTGACTGCCAGGCCGAACTAGCCTGGAGAAGGGAACCAGCAGGCCCACGGACAGTAGATAAGCAGAGCCTCCTCTACCCATCTCCCTGGGGGCTTTTGTGAAAAAACTGGGGTGTAGCCTGAAAAGAGGTGAAAACAGCAGATGGTGCAAAGACGGTGGCATTATGAGAAAAAGCCCCAAACAGCCATCCAGGCCCAGGCTCCTCGGACAGGACTGTACCAGTAAGGAGCGCAGCAGTGGGCTGAGACCTGACAAACTGAGTTATAACCTGAGGCCCAGAGGCTCCCGCAGTGCCCCCAGCCAGGCTGAGAAACCTGATCCCAGATGTATTATTAAGTGACTGCCGCCTGGCTGAAGGTGGTTGGAGGCCACTGGGCCTCTTTGTCAGATAATGGCGCCCTCTGCTGGCAGTGCAGAGAGAAGCCGCTTCAAGGGAGAGGCCTTAGCTGCAGGCTAATAATAAAAACAACAGTTATGATGACAATAATAGTAATAACACATAATGACATCACAAAGAAGAGGAGGAAGAGAAAGACGCTTTTATGGAACACTTCCTGCAGTTACTGTACTAACCACTTTACAGATATTATCTCATTTCTGTTTTTTTTTTTTTTTTTTGAGACGGAGTCTTGCTCTGTCGCCCAGGCTGGAGTGCAGCGGCGCCATCTCAGCTCACTGCAACCTCTGCCTCCCGGGTTCAAGCGATTCACCTGCCTCAGCCTCCCGAGTAGCTGGGATTACAGGCGCCTGCCACCATGTCCGGCTCATTTTTGTATTTTTAGTAGAGATGGGGTTTCACCATCTTGGCCAGGCTGGTCTCGAACTCCTGACCTCAGGTGATCCCCCCGCCTTGGCCTCCCAAAGTGCTGGGTTTACAAGCATAAGCCACTGTGCCTGGCCATTTTTTTTAGTACTAATATTTTTGTCAGCTTGAGGAAGAGTGAGGTTCCGAAGTTAATGAACTTACCCCCGGTGAAGCTGTGGCATGAACTGACATGCTTGTCACTTTCCTGTCCTCTCTAGCTTGGGGAAAGACACTCTCGGCCCACCACATGGTCCATTTCTGTCCCTTGATATGCAGGTGGCTGGCATGCTGGGGGGATTGAGGGCAGCTTTGCTGTGTGACAGAAAAGCAGGGTCCTCACTCTATAAGATTGCCAGGCTTAGCAAATAAAAATAAATTGAAATTTAAAGCCAAATTCAAATGAGTATTCTATATTTATCTGGCCCATGTCCCCAGACCTGGAGACCCAGATTGAAATCTCATGCCACCACTTTCAAGATGTCTGGCCTCAGGCAAATGGTACAACCTCCCAGCTTTCGCTGTGACATCATAGCCAGGAGCCAGTTGAACCCAGGCTCAGTTAATTCATCAGACTGGCACTGCCAGGGCCTGGGTCGGCTTCCCGGTGACTCTCTTGGCTTCCCATGGTGGGCAGAAGACCCACATCTTGTGACCTGTTCCCTGCCCCCAGCACCATGTCCTCACAAAACTGTGACTAAAGGCAAGAAAGAAAGGAGGTTTCCATCCAGCGGATCCCCCACTCCGGTCTCGTTGTCTAGACATGGGCCAAGGGAGGCTAGGAAAATAAATCTCTGGCATTTCAGCCTCCGTGGTGGCAGATAGTCTTTGCCTGCAAGCCAGGGGTGGCGGGGGAGGCGTGGAAAGACAGAAAAAACAACTGTCAGTCAAGAACAAACACATCATGCTCTTTTCATGCCAGGCATTGCCCTAAGGGGATTTGCTATGTATGTTAATGCATTTAACCCTCACCATTATCCCATTTTACAGATGAGGAAAGTGAAGCCCAGAGAAGATAAGCAACCTGTTGAGGTTCACAGAGTAGCAGGTGGCAGAACAGGGATATGCACCCAGGCAGCTGGCACCATCACCTAGGAAGCCAGCCCCCAGCCCTTCTGCTTCTCTGGAGACAGCGGCAGACAGGCCGCACCCCCTCCAACTCATCTCTCCCTGGTTAGTGCCAACACAGCACAAGGCTGGTATTGAGTAAGTCCTTAACTAAGTACCTGAAAAACACCTTATGAGGACAAAGGGGCTGCTTCCTGGTAGGCACCTGATAAGTGTCAGCAATTCTTAGTGACTGGCACTTCCTTTCCACCTGCCCCTCTCCTGTCTGTGTGGATGGCGACATTGCTCTTCACCCGTGCATAACACCTAACTCCATGGGCAGAGCTCGGGGCACTGCCTGTGCCTGTGGAATGAGTTCTTGCTGTGTGACCTGCGCCTGGTCCCTGTGCGATTAGTTCCCATCAGTTTCTGGAATGTGAGTTGCTGATGAGACAATGCAACCGCTGTCCCAATTAGAAAGCAGGCGGCAAGCTGGAAAATGCCAAGTGTGGTTTTATTCATAGCTCTTAAACTTTTTGGTCTCATTCCTAACAAATTCTTCTTCCTATTATTTCTTATTTTTACACATTTATGTTTATTATTGATTATATGTATCAATTTAGAGTTTGAATTATCATTATTGTTGATGTGGGTTAGGTCTATCCATATTTACTGGGTTATAAATTGAACTTGATAAATGTATAAAATACTTATTTTAACTCATCTTTAAACCCATTACATATTTTTATTAAAAAATAACTTTTTTTGGTAAAACAATAAAAAGTAGAAAAATGCCATTGTGTTTTGTTTATGCAAATGTCTTTAATGTCTGTCTTAATAGAGGACAGCTAGATTCTCATATGGGCTCCTCTTTCAATCTGCTGAGATGTATTGGTTTTAGTATATGAAGAAAATCTGGTCTCTTAAAAATATGTGGTTGGAAATGGAGTATTTTAATTGTCTTTTTCAGATAATATTGCCTATTCTTCTTTGATATGAGACCCAAAATTGACAAATGGTTTTAGATTTCAGATTTGCTGCAACCTGGAATCCGAAATCGTATCATGGAATTATTTTCTACTCTGTTACATAAACTCCTTTGTTCTCTCTTGGATGGATCTTTCCTCATGCATGATTTTGTACCATCATGCACCAGTCATTTGGAAAACATTGGTTTACTGAGTCATGCTGAGCTTCCAAATGTTAGCACATTTATCTTAAATATCAAAAGATCCTGACCACTAACGTTACCATAGGTCTTATCAGAAGAGTGTTTAGTTATTAGGAAATGGCCAAACTCATAGTAGTGGATATAGATTTTCTGAAATTCTAATTTTGACTTGAGAGATCAAATTTTTATCTTTGGTAACAAATGTCATTTTTTTCCCCCTTGAAGCGACAAGCTTACTTCATCTGCTTTCAAGAAAATGTCTACTAAATACTCAAGTCTGAATCATTTGCCACTTGTACTTTCAGGTGAAATGGTTGTCCATAAAAAAGTGGTGAGTTCAGCCGAAGAAATTGCTCGTGTTTTTCCTCAAGACAGCTATGAAGCAAAAGTGCTTCATGCACAGCTTCCATTTTGTCACAAAAAGTTGTGTATGCAAGAGTTGAGACTGAATAAAATTAATTCATACAGCTTTGTCAGGGACATTCTTAAGTGAAACTAGCATCTGTATTTTTTAAAGCAACAAGTACATGGTGACACTGAAGAATCCAACGATGGCCACGGCAGCGTGCCGCCACTTCCCTCCACCCCTGCCAAAGCTCCAGCAGGTTCCCCTCTGCTGCTTCTGCACCCTCAGTGCACGCATCACTTAGGAGCCAACCACACTTCTAAGCTCTCTGCACATATGACCTCATACACCAGCCTCCACAAGTGGCCTTGTTTCCATGGAGACAGTTGCCCAGCTGAGGACTACATTTCCCAGCCTGCCTTGCTTCCAGGGCCGGCCACCTGACGGGTCCTCACCCTTGAAACAAATGCAGGCTGAAGTGACTCCTGCCAGCTCCTCTGACTCAGGTGTGCCTTCCTGGCACTCTCTTCCCCTTCCACCACAGGATGTGTGTGAATGGTGGATTAGAGACGAAAAGAAGGAGATATAGTCTGGACATCAATAGGCAGTGGAATGAGAGGAGTATGGAAGGAAGGGTGTGAAGGAGGAAGGAGTAGAGAAAGATGCTCAAATTCATCACCTTCCCAACAATGTGGACGTTGATGTTGCTACCAGCATGACGATCACCGAAGGAGAACCGGGATATCAGTTAATGTCCAGGCAGAAATCCTGGGCTGTTATTTTGAGTATGAATTTCTATTACACAAGGACTTTAAAAAATGTAAAGCTATAATCACATCCAATGAAATAAACCATATTTATGTAATATTAGTAGCATCCAATACCGAGTCTATGTTCGTTTTTTGCCCCCATAATGTCATTTAACAATCGGTTTGTTAGAATCCAAGTAAAGGATCCAACGCTGGTTTTTTTGTTGTTTTGTTTTGTTTTTTGTTTTTTGTTTTTTTGATGGAGTCTCACTCTTGTCGCCCAGGCTGGAGTGCAGTGGCACAAGCTCAGTTCACTGCAACCTCTGCCTCCCAGGTTCAAGTGATTCTCCTGCCTCAGCCTCAGGAGTAGCTGGATTACAGGCATGCACCACCACGCCCAGCTAATTTTTTTGGATTTTTAGTAAAGACAGGGTTTCGCCTTGTTGGCCAGGCTGGTCTCGCACTCCTGACCTCAGGTGATCCACTCACCTCAGCCTCCCAAAGTGCTGGGATTACAGGTGTGAGCCACTGCACCTGGCCTCAATACTGCATTTTTTTTTTTTTTTTGGATGTTGCTTAATTCTCTTTTAATCCCTAGTGATTTTCTCCACCTGACACCTGACTGCCATTAATTTCTCTAAGAAACTGGGTAACATTTTTCTTGTAGAATTTCCCAAATTATGGCTCTGACTGATTGACTGATGTTGCTTACACGTTCATCTCTCCCACATATATCCTGGAAACTTAGTTCTAGAAGCTTGATTACATTCATGTTTTTTGTTTTTTGTTTTTTGCGAGAAAATCTGCCAGGTGGTGCCTGCTTACTTCCTACTATGTCAGGGGTGTACCGTGCCTGGGTGTCCCCCTTTGGTGATGTTAAAATTGTCCAGTATAAGGTCGCATCTGCCTGGTCTGTCAAGTGTAGGTGGCCACATCAGTCTGTCCCTTGCGAGTCTAAGCAGACATTCATGATCATTGCCGAGATACAGTGTTTCATTTGCTATTATCCATTTTATCATTCCTCCTGCACTTGTTAGCCTTGACCTTCTAAAAAGAACTTTTTCTCATCAACTCTTTTCTTATCCTGAGCTATGGTCTTTAGAGGGAAGGCAAAATAAATATTGTATTCTTTCCCTTTATTTATCAATTTTCAGAATAATGAACTTGTACCCTAGCCACCTCCAAAAAGAATTAGTAGTGCCATTATGAACTCATAGCTTTTATACATTTGCTGCATTTCAATCCATTGCAGCCAGTATTCTTTCTGATGCTAAAGTTATCCCATCCTAAGACAGTGCAGGGGCCCTTCAAATTGGCCCCTCTCTCCTAGAAGTCTTTGATCATGTTTTAATTCCAGCATGACAAGAGATTCCAGACTCATCTTGTACATTTCCTGCTCAGGACCTGGAGTTGGACAATCCAACTTTACTCCAAGAAGCCCTGGCACCTCTCAGTGGGGAACGGTACTTAGACTTTCCACACCCTTCCAAAATCTAAGCAAAATAATAATGGATATAAAAATTAAGAAATATCCACATCAGCAAGGCAAAACCAGAAAGAGGATCCATGGTGCCAGGAACAATAGGGTTATCTGCACATAAAACACAGATAGAGTCCTACCAACCCCAGAGAAAGAAAACATGCCTGTCTGGGGAGGAAGTAGAAGGAACCCTGGCAGCTGCAGGGTTGCCCTCAGAAACTCAGCTGGGAAGAGTGAGAGGAAAGCCATGATTATTCACACCTGCGCTGTGGGAAAGCATGTCAGTGGTTCGTCTCCACCACCAGTGCAGTTCTGAGCCAGGCCCTTTTCACACAGCTTTGCCTGACTGTACAGATAACAAAACAGAGACACAAGGAAGCAAAGTTACCTGCCCAAGGTCACACAGCCAGTGATAAACTGAACCCTCAGCTCTGACTTCCACACCTGCCACTCTGCCTCCATCAGCACCTTCATTCTCACTATTGCCCTCACCTCCTTCTCCAGGGGCTCAGCTCACCCTTAGTTTCTCCCCAACCAGTGACTTGGGAGGTCCAATTCCTGGCCCACCAGCTCTGCTGTGCTTCCCTGGGGGGTATGAACGTTGATGTTCATTCCTTAGGCTGACAAATATCTATTGTGATGAACCGTTCAAGGTTCCACCCCCGTGATGATGAATTTTACGTGTCAACTTGACTGAGCCCAGGGATGCCCAGATAGCTGGGATGCATTATTTCTGGGCATGTCTGAGAGGGTGTCTCTGGGGCAGATGAGCATTTGAATCAATAGGCTGAATAATATGGTTAGGTACCATCCGCACTGTTGAGAGACCAAAGAGAAAAAAGTCGAAGGGTACATTTGCTCTCCTTGTTTGAGTGGGGGCATCTGTCTTCTCCTGCCCTCAGACATCGGTGCTCCCGGCTCCCAGGCTTGCAGATTCAGACCAGGGCTGATCCCCATCAGCCCCCGGATTCTCAGGCTTTCAGACTCAGTCTGAATGACCCCACAAGCTTTCTTGATTCTCCACTTGCGGATTAGTGGGATTTCTTGACCTCCATAGCCTCGTGAGTAATTCCTATTTTAAAAAAAACCCTCATCTATCTATCTATCTATCTATCTATCTATCTATCTATCTATCTATACATTTCTCCTATTGGTTCTGTTTTTCTGAAGAAACCTGACTAATACAATCCCTTTGTGTCTCATCTAGGGCTTAGAATACTTGGCGGTGCTCCCTAAATAGCTAGCAAATGAAAGACTGAATCAGTAAGCTCATGAGGGAAAGAAGGAAGGAAAGAAGGAAGAAAGGAAGGAAAGAAGGGAGGGAGGGAGGGAGGGAGGAAGAAGGAAGGGGGGAGGAAGGAAGGAAGCAAGGAAGGAAGGAAAGGAGGGAGGGAAGGAGGGAGGGAGGGAAGAAGGAAGGAATGATGGAAGGAAGGAAGGGGGAGGGAGGGAGGAAGGAAGGAAGGGAGGGAGAGAAGGAGGGAGGGAGGGAGGGAGAGAAGGAGGGAGGGAGGGAGGGAGAGAAGGAGGGAGGGAGGGAAGAAGGAAGGAATGAAGGAAGGAAGGAAGGGGGAGGGAGGGAGGAAGGAAGGAAGGGAGGGAGAGAAGGAGGGAGGGAGGGAGGGAGAGAAGGAGGGAGGGAGGGAGGAAGGAAGGAAGGGAGGGAGAGAAGGAGGGAGGGAGGGAGAGAAGGAGGGAGGGAGGGAGGAAGGAAGGAAGGGAGGGAGAGAAGGAGGGAGGGAGGGAGGGAGAGAAGGAGGGAGGGAGGGAGGAAGGAAGGAATCACAGTAGTAGCAGCCAACATGGTTGAGACCCCCGAGTCGTTCCAGCCTCTTCCAACAGGCAGGGAGACAATGCACTCTCCTGAAGCCACTGTAAGCTTTATCTGGGCCCCACAAGGGCAAGGAGAGAAGCCAAAGTCATTTCAGGGAATGTGGATTGACAAGATCGGCAGCCGGATGCAGGTGGTGTCCTCTCACAGCTGTCCATCAGGGGCCTGCAAACAAGAGGCATTCGTCAGGAGAGACCTGTTGTTGCTAGGAAGTCAGGACGTCCACTGTCCTGGAAACCAGTTCTGCACTCACTCAGTTTCAGAGGGCAACCCTGCGGCTGATGAGTAGGAGACAGTGATTCTGAGAACTCCAATTCCATTCCGATGCCAGCAGCAGGTACAGAGGGAAGGCATCCTCCCCTTCAACACAGGGGCCTCTGAATATACCCCAAGGACTTGTCAATTTACAGGGATGGCGAACTGCAGAAGGGTAGATATGGGTGCTAGTGAATGATCAGATATAGTTTGATTAAGGGAGGTGAAAGAGAAAGGGAACTTTATTGGGCTCCTATGCTGTGTGAAGCTCATGGAGTCAAGGTTTATGATCCCTGGTTTATAGATGGAAGAACAGGTGGAGTGAGTCAGGGTACTTGGCCGTAGGAACCCAGCGCACAGCGAGCGGTCAGTTGGATGCCTCACCCACTCAGCCAAGCTGACCCTTGATCATGCTGTCTCCTGAGTGGGCCGTGCGAGGACCTGAAGAGGGCCCGGCTGGGAGGAGGCTGCCCGCTGCCCAAGGGGCCATGGGAGCCAGCCAGTGATCTCTACTGTCATCACCAACTGGACGCAGTTGAAGCCCAGTTCTCCTCACATTGACTTGAGCTAAGATTTGGGAAACAAATCTCCTCAGTTATGCCTTTCTTTGAAGGTCCTGATGAAATCAATGGCTTTTCTCTGCATCAGCACTAACCATTTAGAAGCAAAATAAAAAAGGAAACACAGAAATGAAATTATTTACTTCAAAGATAAATTATAAAGTATCTAACCACAGAGTTAATACAACTAATACACCACCTGTATGAATAAAGCTACCTGTGTTATTGAGATAAGCCAAGAGAAATTTTAGACTACTGAATAGGAAGATGGAAAACCACAAAAATGTTCATTCTTGCCAAATTAACACATACATTCAATCCAATTTTAGTTAGGATCCCAACAGTTTTGAAAAGGAATACATTTTTGAGTTCCTATGGAAGAACAAATGTCAAAACAATGCAATATATTCGTGAGGAGGGAAAATACCTAAACTTACTGTAAAGCTACCATAATAAAAACCATGTGGCATTACCGCAGAAACAAACAAATAACAAAAAAAAAAAAAACCAACACAACAGATGACAAAGATGAAACAGGGCAATGAACCACAAGAGAACAATGATACAGGATAGAATATTGAGAAACATATGCAAGTTCACATGGAAGTGTAATAGTCATAGTGCCATTTTATTTTAGTGAGAAATAAATGGTATTGTATATCTGGAAGAAAACCTAAACTGGGCTATATTAATCACAACATTTTTTAAAAGATTCAAAGTGAATTAAGAATCAAAATGTAAAAAGCAAAGTGAAAAATAACAAAGCATTTTAGGAAAACATTGGATGGAGAGAATCTTCTTAGGCAAGACAGGAAACCTAGCTGCCTTAAGAAATAGGAGAAATGGCTGACTTTGCAATATAGTTAAATTTTTGTATAGCAAAGAAACCATAAATACAGTCAAAAGATTTGAGGGGAAACATTGCATATAAGACCAACAGAGTTAATATTTTTCAGTATATGAAGAGCTCCTATAAATTGATAAGTAAAAGGCAAAAAATATCATCTAAAATGGGCAAAGTATATGCAAAGACAAATTCATCTTACTTGTCACAGGGAAATGCAACATTTTAAAAATGCAATATTGTTTTCACTCATTAGACTCAACAAGAGTGGGTCATCTCTGACGTGGGGAAAATGTCATTCTCATACACTGGTGTGGCAGTGCTAATTGCTACAACCATCTTGCAAGGAATTCTGGAAATATTTATTATACATCCACAAACACCTTTTGGTCCAATAACCTCACTCTTCAAAATCTCTTCTTTAGATTTAAAAATATGAGTATGAAGATGCATAGTTCAGCACTGAATGGGGAAACAGAAAAGGTAGAAGTCGTCCAAATGGTCTTGAGTGGGATGTGGTTGAGCAAATCGAATTATTCCCTCAAGTGCATAGTCATGCACCTGTTACAGAGCATGCAGCTTCTGCCTGGGCTGACCTAAAGAGATGGCCATGATCCTTAAGCAGAAACAGCAAGTTACAGAGAAATTCATGAGGCACCACCTTGCTTTTTGTCAAAAAAGCAAAACAAACAAAATGAATAGATGTCAATGTATGTATGAGAGCAAAAAATATTTAGGAAGCTTAACCTCAAGCCTGGTGAGATCTGAGGCCCAAGAACAATGAGTTCTTCCCTCCCTCCCTTCCTTCCTCCCTCCCTCCCTTCCTTCCTCCCTCCCTCCCTTCTTTCCTTCCTCCCTCCCTCCCTTCTTTCCTTCCTTCCTTCTTTCCTTCCTCTTTCCCTCATGAGCTTACTGATTCAGTCTTTCATTTGCTAGCTATTTAGGGAGCACCGCCAAGTTTTCTAATGTGGGTGGACTCTCAATGTGGGTGGTGCTGGGGCTGGAGCTGTAAGCTGACTGTGAGCATCTCTTGTGAACTCTGTGTTCAGTGACCTCGCGTTGGTTCTTTGAAACTGGCCACGTTGGTAGCATTTGCACCGAGGAAGTTGGCAAATGCTCCCCTCAAGAGCCCGTTGTTAAACCTTTATCACCTGCTTACTCTTTGTACCGGGAAATGCATGGGCACAGATAATTTTAGAGCACACAGGAGACCTTTCAGCTCTAATTTTCCAGGGGTCTCTGGCCCCTGGCGGGGAATAACATCCTTTCCCAAGGATACTGTGGTCTTTGCAGCCTGAGTCACGCTATGCTGCATCCTTGCCACTGGAGAGCAGTGTTGCCCCAGGCAAGGCGTCTGCCCAGCCAGGAACAGTTGGGAAGAGCTTCCAGTCTCAGCAGTGAGCAGGCAGTGTCTCAGCCCTCAGGGCCCTGGGACCCCTCCCTGGGGGGTGGAGATGGGGGAGAGGGAGGAATCAAACCTTAGCATCCTTACACCCAAAAAGCATGGATTTGAAGAGCGGGGATAAGATAACAATAAGACACTCAGCACGTTACCATTCAGGCCAACTGGCTCTGATACTTACAAGCAGTGTGAGAAGTTAATACCCCACTAGCCTCAGTTTCCTCATCTGTAAAACGGGACACACAGCAGTATCAACTTCACATGGATTTGAGATGATTAACTGACTCGATGCACTTATGCACTTGATTGAGCTTAGAAAGGTGCCTGGCACCTGGTGATCCCCCAGGAACGGCAGCTCCTGTTATTATTTAACACAGTGTGTTTAGTGTCTCGTTAATATTTGTGCTCATCCTCTGAGGTATGAACTATAATTTTCCATTTTAGAGTTAACACTGAGGGACACAGAAGGGAAGGCGCTGTCCCAAGGCTACACAGTGAGTGGGGGACAAGCAGGGCCTTGAATCCCGGCCTCAATAATGCCATGAGACTCCCCTTCCTCATTTGGCACAGAAGCGACAATGAAGAGAGAAGAGGGTCTGGAGCCTGCAACGGGGTCTGAGCTGCCCTCCCCAGCCCTGCCTGCACACCGTGGCAGGCTGCTCAAGCTCAGCATCCCCTCTCTGAGCCCCTGTAAAATGTGACTTGCACTGACTACCTCAGAGTTATTGTGAGATCCAGTAATACAGCGAATACGAAATCCTTCAAAACAAATAAACAATCCATTGATGTCTTCATTCAACTCATGCTTGTCACACTCCAAATGTAGGCCAGGCCCTGGGCAATGGTGTTTCGTGAACGCCCAGGCTTTGCCCAGATGGGCTCACAGCCTGTGAAGGGAGGGCTGATGCAGCCTCAGTTTTCTCCTGTGGCTACAAACACTTTTACCCGGCACGATCTGGCATTTGGGAGGGTAGGCAGGGCACCTTTCTAATGTCCCACCACCACACACACATACACACACAGGCATACACTCACACACAGGCACACACTCACAAAGGAGATATTGGGTCACTCATGGGCTCATGTTGGGGAGCAACAGAGATGGCTGCTTGTTGACAGGCAGCGGTTCAGCATGGCAAGGACTTGTCCGGGGAGAGGCTGTCCCATGTCCAGCTGCAGCAGGGGCGCCCTGAGCTTTACCCGTGCTTAGGCGGTGTTCATTCCCTAGCAAAGCTCTTGGTATCCATTGCTGTCCCCCTGGAAGGAGGCTATCGATACAGGAGGCCACAGCCAGGCAGCGCATATCCAGTTCCTGAGCTTGGCTTTCCCACTTTTGAGCTGGGCACAGCGCCAGCCCCTACACCAGTATTGAGGACTGACGGAGGTTCTGCACGCAGCAGGCCTGGATCCCAGGGAGCGCGGACAGGACAGCGGATGCCCACATAGTTAGTGCTCATCTGCGAGGCTCTGCTCCCAGCTCCCGCCCGAAGCCCAGTGTCGCTTCTCCTTTGCAGTGTCTTATAAAGTAAACAGATGCTAGTGATCTCCACCTGTAGAGCTGTGTGAGGACTGAATAAGGCAGACATGAGTGCCAGGCACATGGGCTGGCAACGCAGAGGCCAGACCAGACCCAACCTCTGAAGCTGGCACCTCCACCCTTCCTGGTGCTCAGGCCGAAGCCACACTTCCACCTCAATGCCCTCTCTCCTGTCCCAAGCCACTTGGTCTTCAAAGGCAGCCGCCCCACCTCCAGCCTGACCACTACTCCCCTACATGCCCTTTCTGTGCCAGCCATGTTATCACCATGGCTGGGCCAAGCCAGTGGCTCCAGGGACCTCCTGGCTGCACTCTCCACGAGGTTGACAGAGTGGTCCTTTTAAAGTCGAAGTTAGATCCTGTCTGTTTCCTGCTCTGAGCTCTCCAGTGGCTTCCATCTCATTCACATGGAATAAAATCCAAAGCCCTCACCTGGCCCTACAAAGACCTCACCACCTGCTTCTTATCCACGCCTCGGAGACTCTGCACCTTCTGTTTCCTGTACCCGGCACACCCTTCCCACACAGCCACAGGTGTCTCCTCCATTCATCCCGGTCTCTGCTATGGCCACCGGGACAGAGCTGCCCCTTCCTTCCCTGTTATGTGGAGGCTGCTCTCCCCTGCACTTCCTTGGGACTCCCCATCTCTTCACCTTGCTGTCTGGTTCCTTTTAGCACCCAATGCCACATGATGGGTTTAATGCCGTCACCGTGCCCCCTCACCTGTGAAGCTCCTAAAAGGCAGGGGCTCAGTTTTGTTCTTTCCAAGCTCCCGCCTGGCACTATTCACTAGCCCTCTGCCTGGCACTACTAGTAGGCACTCAATAAATACATCTTGAAGAAATAAATGAATCAGTAAATGCAGGACTGAATGAGTGAATGAATGAAAAACTCTGCATTAACCCATGGATGTACTCTGAAGGACTGGTTCAGAATCAAAGGATTTTGTTCGATTACCCATATGTACCAGTGTCCTCTCCAGACCCAAATTCCTCCAAAAACAGACTCGCCTCTCCTTAGGGAGACACAGAATGCTTACTCCTAAACTCATTCCAGAAACTCTGGCAGCTGGGTCAATGAAAATCAACCCGGAAGAGCCCAACAGACCTCCCATAAATGGAGCTCCTGGTGGCCCTGCCCTTCCTCTCGGTAGGTGGCCTTGTGGAGGGAGAGTTAAAGACTCTACTGAGACAGTCCTGGGTCAAATTCCTTCTTTCTCCAATTGGTGTGACTCGGGCCTGTTGGAGCCTCAGCTTCCCTCTACAGATAAGGGGCACGAGCCCACTCTTCATGCCTAGCTTGCCGTGATGTTGAAGCAGGGATGGGGCCTTTTTGGCGACAACCTGCCACAGGCCGGGTGCACACAGAGCACTCAGCCTCTGGGAACATTCAGCAAGTCTCGGCTCCCGTTCCCCACTGTGGCCCCAGCCATGGCGCCCCTGCTGCCCTTGCTCCCCTGACAGGGGAAGTGAGGACAGGAGAGGAAACCGCTTGCCTAAGGTTATGGAGATATTTTGCAAAGCTGGAGCTGGATGCATCTCAAATTCCTGAGTCTGAGCCCAGAACTCACCCACTGCCACCCACTGAATGTGTTGACTTTTAAAGGCCGTCTGAAGATGTGGTTCCCCTGCTGAGCACTGAGGAGGGGAAAGGATGAGAAAGAAACAGTGCTCAAGTGAGCTCCACGCCTGAAGAAATCTACTGAGGCTGCGGTGGACTTGGGGACTGGCACTGACTGAGGGCCTTCCATGTGCCAGGCTCCTTGGCATCAACTACTTCATTTGACTCAATTCTAACGCAGCTCTGGGCAGTAGGCATCACTGTGCCCATTTCACAGAGGTAAAACTGAGGCTCCCAGAGGGGTAACCACATACCCAGAGTCACACACAACTTGCAGATGGCAGAGCTTCGATTCAAACCCAGGTCTGCCTAAGTCCCAGCTTTCCCTCACTGTGCTGTCCACATCCCCAAGTCCTCTGAACACTGCCTTTCCAGCCCAGCCAGCCAGGACTGAGACACACGCTTTCCTCCCACAGCTGGGTCTCCAGCTCAGCTCCCTGAAGGTCCTGGGCAGGTGACAGTGGTGTGAGAGGGGGCCGGCGGTCAGTGTGGGGGACCACACAGTGAACACGCCCTGAAAATAGGCTCCACTCAGTCTTAATGCTAACCCAGGGTTCTATTGTCAAGAGGAAAGGAAAAGCCAAGGTTTCATGGAAGATCTCCTGATCTTTCCATGTTGTCAGTTGCATTTGTGCACGGTTTTGGGTCCTTGAGCCACTGTCCCGTCACTACGGCACCCACACATTGGCAAGAGCCAATACGGGTTATCTGTTTCTGTTTGTTTCTTTCTTTCCGTTATGGGCTGAGTCGTGTCCCCTCAAAATTCCTGTGTTGAATCCCCAACCCCTAGTACCTCAGAATGTGACTGTATTTGGAGATAGGAAGTTTAAAGAGGTGATTAAGTTAAGGCCATCACGGTGGGCCCTAATCCAAAATAACTGTTGTCCTTATAAGAGGATATTAGGACACAGACAGGTACAAAAGGAAAGACGGCGTGAGGACACGGTGAGAAGGTAGCCGTCTGCAAGCCAAGGAGAGAGGCCTCTGCAGAAACCAACCCTGCTGACACCTTCGTGGCAGACTTTTAGACTCCAGAACTGTGAGGAAATAAAGTCCTGTTGTTTAAGCATTCTGTCTGTAATACTTTGTCCTGACAGCCCTAGCAAATGTCTCCTTCCTTCCTTCTTTCTCTTTCTTCTTTTCCTTCCTTCCTTCCTTCCCCTCCTTTCCCTCCTTTCTTCCTTCTTCCTTCCATGCCTCCTCTCTCTCTCTCTCTTCCTCCTATACCTGGTGGGACATAATGCGATAAAATTAAAGAAGGAAGCGATGGCTGCAGGGTGGACTGGGTCAGACCCGTCTGGAGAAAGGTGCTCCTAAGCACAGATCCACCCCCACACGCTTCCATGAGACATTCCACTCAGCTTCCTTCAGGGACCAGGGTGGACTGTGCTTGGGAACAGTAGGGGTGAAGGGCGAGGCCGGAGGGCATGTTCTCTACACTGATGGCTGCAGGGCAAGGTGGTGGGGCTCCGGAGGGCTCTTGTGAGCAGGGCTGCGGAGAGAATGGAAAAGAGAAAGAAGGGTGGAGAGGGAGGGCCAGGAGGTGCCTGCCTCCTACCCCCAAATCTCTAAAATTCTACTCAATCTCACAAAAGGAAATCTACCATGGATTTCCTAATGGTGCTGACAAAGCGGCTACCATCAGGGTCAGGGGGAGACAAAGACCCCGCCAGCTGGTGCAGGAGGTGAGGAGTGGGTGTGCGGGGAAACCGGGTGGGGCAAGTCGCTAGGAGGCCTCGACCGGCGCCCGAGCCACGTGTGTGCACAAATAACACCACAATCAGCGCCCCCACCACAATCAGCGCCCCCACACCGAGTGAACCGGTGCCGGTGCGCGCTTCCTCCCACTGCAGCAGCGGGAGACTCAGGCTCTGAGCAGGCTGGGGAGCCGGCCCTTGCCGCCAGCGAGCTGCAGGGCTGGGACTCGACCCTCGGCTCACCAGGTTCCCTGCGCGGCCCTGGCATCGTGGCCACCCGCTCTGGAAGCCGGGGCTTCAGACTCTCTCCAGCAAGCCTGGGCCGCAGAAGCCGGGACCGCAAAACAAAGGAGCTCGCGTTTGCGGGGAGCGGCCTGGCCACCAGGGGGCAGCGTGCGTCCTCCGATGCCGCCGCTGGGCCGCCTTTGTCGCGGTGCAGCCCGGCCCGCACCCCGCAGCTGCCCGTCCGGGGATCCCTCACAGGCCCCCGAGCCCCCGCGCCCCCGCGCGCCCGGGTCTGCCTCCTGAGCTGCTCCTGCCGCCAGCCCTTCCCTCCTTTGACTGGCGGGTTGAATGTCGGCCGTCCCTCTGGGCCTAGCTGGAAGATCTGCCCACGCAGCCTTCCTTCGGCTTCGGCAGAGACAGGCATCCGCCGCCGCCGGGCCGCAGCCCACCCGCCCCTCCAGCAGCCCCCGCTCTGCGGTGAAAGTCTTCCCAGCGTCCAGTGCAGCGCAAATGCAGATTCCAGCATCCCAGTGCCGTCTAGATGGAGCCAAGACGCCTGCAGAAATACGGGGGCTGCCGGGCCTCCTGGGTCAGGAGAGCTGTAGGGCCCATGTCTGTCCCATGCTGGCTACACCGGGCTGGGGGCTGGGAAGGTCCGTTTAGTTTACGGATCTTTCTCCAC
Source organism: Homo sapiens (assembly GCF_000001405.40). Taxonomy (NCBI): domain Eukaryota; kingdom Metazoa; phylum Chordata; class Mammalia; order Primates; family Hominidae; genus Homo; species Homo sapiens. The sequence continues at coordinate 174,311,628 of NC_000005.10, read as the reverse complement.
CAGCCCACGGCAGCCTCCTTGGGCCAGGACCACGTCTGAGTCGCCCCTGTCCCCCCAGGCCCAGCTTGGTGCTTGCTGGTCGAGACCTCTGTGGGTTCCCAGGGGTGCCCTGGGGGCCCCTCTCAGGCATGGCCCCCTTTTGAGGGGGGCCCGCCCTCCCGTGTTTCTCCTGGTCTGGGGCGCCTGTGCTTCGAGTCCTCTGTACACCCAAGGAACCCTCCGCTGAGGCAACATGGCAATCAGCAGAGTTGGGATCTCAACCCCGGCTGGCTGTTCCCATGGGTGCTGCGAACCCCAGCCTCCTGTCCCCGCCCCCGGGCCTCCTCACACACAGAGGGAAGAGTGTGCCGCTGCTCTGCACCGAAGCTTACACCCAGCTGGAAGATGTCCTTCGTGCGCATTTCCTCATTTCACCCTCAAAAAGCCCCACAAAGTCGAAACGCTGCCACGCCCATTCCACAGATGAGGACGCTAAGGCCCAGAGCTGGGGAGAAACCTGCACAAGCTCAGCCTCCTGGCGGGGCCTCCCAGAGCTCTGCACCCTTCCTGGAACCTGCCCACCCCCATTTGCTGTCCCCTGCCCTCTGATTCTGAAGCATTCTCCTGCCCTCTCTCTCAGCCCCCCGTCTGTTTCCTGAGAGGGTGACACAATATGTTCTTGCATAGTTTCTCATGACTGCTACTGCCTGTCTTTCCTCAATTCTGAGCGCCATCCAGGCAGGAACCATGCTAATTTTGTTCACCACCCTATTCCTGCTCATAGCAGTTTGCCTGACACATAGTAGCTATTCAATGAAATGTGTTGAACGAATGACTGAAAATTCAAAACATCCTTGAGGGAGTATGTTATATCATCCTCATCACCACCCCATGTTACAGATAAGGAAGGAATCTGAGCTCGGAATTAGAGCTGGAATTTAAAAGAAGGAAATTTTCGGATACAAATTAATCAAGAAGTCTATCAAAGTATTGTATTTGGTTAAAGAGTTTATAAATATGATATTACACATATGTATATTGCAGATACCCGGCATGTGTTAATAACAGAAATAGAACGGATAAAAATAGTCAACTTGATGAAACGCACCACATGAAGACAAAGGTGACGGACAGAGGAGGCTTTGGAGCGTTTACGATGCTGTTACGGTGGGTGTGCTGTGAGCCAACAACACAGTTGGAATTTGACCGAGTGGAGCAGAGAGCCAGGCTGAGGCTTAAATGTCCCAGCACTGTGCGGGCTTCCCTGGTCATGCCCCCCTCCTGCTGCTAATGGATTTATGAAAATAATAACACAAGCTACAGGTAAGTAAGTAATCAGCCGGGCCCTGCCAGTGGTAGCCTTGCTAGCTACACCTAGAAGAGAGGTTGGGAGAGATTGCAGTGAATTTGAGTTGCTCATGAAATGCCTGTACTGAACGGTGGGTTTGGAGCCCTTAAGAGACCCCATGCCTGCTGGGCATGGTGGCTCACACCTGTAATCCCAGCAGTTTGGGAGGCTGAGGCGGGCAGATCACGAGGTCAAGAGATCGAGACCATCCTGGTCAACATGGTGAAACTCCGTCGCTACTAAAAAAAATACAAAAATTAGCTGGGCGTGGTGGCTCACACTGTAGTCCTAGCTACTGGGGAGGTTGAGGCAGGAGAATGCCTTGAACCTGGGAGGTGGAGATTGCAGTGAGCCAAGATTGCGCCACTGCACTCCAGCCTGGCGACAGAGTGAGACTCTGCAAAAAAAAAAAAAAAAAGAGAGAGACCCCATGCCTGCTGGGGCACCCTCTTATACACTGCCCTGTGGAATGAGTTCAGATTGTCTCCATTTATGAGTGAGAGGAAGTCATGGAGGGAGAGAAAGGGGTCCGCAAAGAGAAGGGACTCCGCTGGCCTTGGCCTCACAGCAGGTGGCAGGGAGAGGGCACCCACCCAGCTCTGCACAGCTGCCTAGGCTGAAAACTGTTCCTGGGGCAGGGCAGGAGCTGAATCCTAGCAGGCTTTGCCATCTCCAGCTCCAGTCGTGTGCCATGAATTATTCCTCCAGCATCAGGGACACTGTCCAAGCCTGGCGACATGATGGGTTTTTAATTTATGATGCTTCCCAAAAGGAGGCTGCTGGAGGCCGAACTGTGAGCCACTCGGGAGAGCCTGCCGTCCTTACGCCCTCTGCACATTTGTCAACCCCACAGCACAGGCCAGGCCCTGGGCTCAGAGCCCCGTGAGCAACCTCAGGGGAGACAAAAGAGCTGAATTCAGACCTCTGATTTGCCTCTTACTAGCTGTGTGATGTGGGGGAAGCTACTAGGCTTCTCTGGGCACTTATCCTCATTTGAGAAACGGGCCAACCACTCACAAGGTTTGGGTGTCATGTCGATGAGAAATTGTATGTGAAATGGAAATACGCCTGATGCCATCAAGGCAAAAGGACTATTAGGCTTCTGGCCTCCAAGCCAAGGCTTTCTCCAGATCAAAAGGCAGAGATAGTAGCGGCGTGGGGAGGGGTGGGGGACAAGCCATGGGGCCTTTGAATGCTGGGCACTGAACTTGGATTTGATCCTAGGGGGCAGGGAGTGTTTGAAAGGAAGTGTTCAGGTTTGCATTTCAGGAAAGGCTCACGGGAGGCTGGAGTCTGGGAGAGGCAGGCACGGGAGATATGCAGGTAGGTGTCTGCCAGGGTGATGGGGGAAGCTGGGGAACACAGGAGCAGGGCCAAGGACCTCAGAGCTGCTCTGTTTCCATTCATGTCCCTATTATGGGTCACATTTGTGCTGTGCCAGGGAAGACCCACACCCCCTGGCTCTCTGCAATTTGGGGGCCTCCTCACTTGGCTTTTACCCTAATCTTTGAACCTGCCTCTTTCTGTCCATTCCCTGTGAAACATCAGAATTTAAACATTTTCTTTTCAAGGAGGCTGTGTGGTATCCAGAAGGGGAACTGAGGAAAATGTCCTGAGTTTCGCTTCCCACTATTCCTACTATTCACACTGTACCTTGGGCAAGGATCTCGAGTTGGGAGAATATCCGGGTTAACCAGGGGGACCCAGTGGTCTCAGAAAGGTCCCCCTGAAAGGGAGGTGGGAGAGAGAGATGAAGATTCTATGCCACTGGGCTCTGGAGATGAAGGGAGAAGCTACGAGTGGAGGAATGTAGGCAGCCTCTAGAAGCTAGAAAAGACGATGGAAAGCATTCTCTCCTAGAGCTTCCAGAAGGAACGTAGCCCTGTGATACCTTAATTTTAGCCATTGAGACCCGTTTTGTACTCCTGATCTCCAGAACTACAAGAGAATAAATGGATATTGTTTTTAGGCAGTACATTCATATGTTACAGCAACAGTAAGAACATAATGCCTCCTCTCTCTCTCTGGGCCTCAGTTTCCCCACCAGGGTTGTGGACACAGGGCATACTTCATGCTCAGGCTCTGTTGAGTGGGACCCAAGGCTGTATGGAGACCAAGCCGACCTTTCCCGCTCAGGACACCTGGACCGTCCCGGTGCCCACCATGGTAAAGGCCGATGCCTGTCCCATGGGTTGTGGGTGAGGTGAGTGGGTGAGAGGGACAATAGGGACTGGTGGGGCCTGTGGAAAAGCACAGAGCAAAGGCTTTGGCTACCAGGGCAGCCCCATGCATGTGGCCAGGTGAGGAGGTAGGCCCAGGTGGCCGGAGGGCCCAGCTCTGCTTAGAGAAGCCAGAATGATTGGTTTTCATGTGAAATCTCCAGCCTTTAGATGTTGCCAACCAATTAGAAAGAATTCAACACCGAGCGAGCCAAACCAAACACATGTGCAGCCCAACCTAGCCTCGGGGCTGCAGCAGCACCGCCTCCAGCTTGTTCATGCAAACTCTGGGCTTTGGAACCAGCCAGACTCGGGCTAGAAGTCCGGCTCTGCCACAGCCCTATGTCCTTGGGCAATGTACCCACCTCTTTGAGCCTCAGTTTCCTCATCTGTAGAAAAAGGGTAAAACTGCTCACCTCACTAGGTTGGATGAAGAATAAATTATGGAGTGCATGTGAAGTGCATGGAGTAGGCCCAGGCTGGGAATTCACTAGCTGTGACATGTGCGTCATTATCACTATGACAATTATTTTATTGTGTGGGTGGGAGGACAGCTGCCCACACCTCTGTATCCTGTGCTGGTCCTTCCAGTAAGAAGGGCCTCTGTGTCAATTCATGATGGCAACTTAGAGACCGGGCTCTGCAGAAAAGAGCCCGGCAGCCCGCTGTCTCTGAGTTCGTATCTCGGGGGGGACATGGGAAGTGTAGTGAGCTCACAGCATACCCAGCCGGGTGCGGGAATACTGTACGGGAAGGTGCTACAGAGAGAAGGCGAGTTCACTGCTGCATTGAATCCCAGTGGCATCCATCAGCATCCCTATCTGTTCGCTTACAAAGCAGCACTTGCCAGCCTCCTCAGATTGCCTCTGCTCCACCAGGCAGACTGATGGATAGCTCTGCAGCCGCCACACCCCCCCTCACCACTGGAGGTAGCGTTCTCAGTGCTTCCCAGACTTTATCCATTACACTATAGCCAATGTCGTCTTCTGCAATCTTTTACTTACTGTTTTACTTTAGGTTGACTCATTTCTCATATACATTTAGGTCGATCTTAGCAACACCATATGTAAAATAATGAGTTGGATGAGTACTTTTTTCTTATGTTTGTTAAGACAAATGCATCTCTGTTAAAATTTACAAATTTGTCATTGGAAGATCAGCCCGCCTGCCCCCGTGACGGTGGGGGCATCTTTGGATTGGGTGTGATCTCGCCCTCCCTGTTTCTCCCTGTGGGGTTTTCTCCCATCCTTGGTTGCTGCCGCGGCCCCTGCCCTGGGGACTGAGACATCAGAGGGAGCAAGCAGAGAGAGTGATCATGAGTATGTTCCTTCCGGCATCCTCATCTGCTCTCGATTCTTTAAAGACGTATTTTACAGTGTGTTTGACTCATTCATTCATGCCTTCCGCCTGTAGAATGCTTCCCAGTCCTTTCATTGCAATTAAATGTGTGAACTAAGTATGTGGCTTCTAGAGCTCCCACTGCCTGTGAGACAGTGCCTGAGCTCTGGGCATTGTACTGGAGGCTCTCCATGGCCCCCTTCCCAGCTCTCTCCCCTCCCATCACATCCCCATTTACTGGTTGTATTCCAGCACCATCCAGCCAGAGTCACCCTTGTGGAATTTCACACATGCTGGCCTCATCATCAGGAGAGGCCCCTTAGCCTTCGCTTGCTGAGCAAACTCCTACTCAATTTTCAAAACCCTACTCAGCACCACCTCCCTTGTGGAGCCTTCCATGACTCAATCTTTCTCCAAAAATACTTTGGTTTTTTGGCATCTCCTTTACCAGTACTGTGGGCTGAGTCTTCAATATTTGTTACCCAGCTAATGACAATCACCTCCCCTCCACCCCTCCAACCTCCCCTCCAATCTGATCTTCACTGCCAGAGGAACCCTAGAAAGACATCAGTTGGAGCATGTCATTCCCCTGTTTAAAATCTTCCAATAGCTCCCATTGTACACAGAATGAAATTCATGCTCTCGATAAAGGCCCCCAAAGCCTCGTGTCACCTGGCCCCTGCCTCCTCTCTGGCCGAATCTCCAACCTCTCTCCACCAGCTCCCTGGCCCAGACTTTCTGCCTCAGAGTCTGCAACTGCTCTCTAATCTAGAATGTTCCATTCCTCTCTGACCTCCACTTGTGTACTTTCCAAGCCCTGTCCTACCACACTCTCTTTACCTGCCTGCCTCTCGGTCATCACTCAGGTCTCCCCTGGACTACCACCCCCTCCAGGAAGCCCTCAGTGACTTCTCCAGTCTGCCTCCCTTACCTGGATGGGCCCTCCTGAAGGGGAGGGGTTGCATTGCATTCATCTGTGTGTCCTCAGGCTGAGGACCAGGTAAGATTCATTTACCTGTGGAGACAGACTCTGCCCCACTAGTCCCAGAAGCAAGACCAGCTCCTCTAGTGACATGGTCCTCAGCCAGCCTTCCTGAGGGCTGGTGCAAGTGAGCATGAGCACCCCTGACCGCACACAATGTCCCTTCCCTATAGTGGTCATTGGAGGCTTGGCGAGGACACAGCCTACCTGGAGATCAGGTAGTGGATTTACCAAGAGAGCAGCCAGCATGCCGATCTGGGTGGCGGAGACACATCCCCTCGAGATCAGCCAGGTGTGAGCAGAACAGTCACAAGATAGGGAGCCAGGAGAGCCAGGCTGCACACCCAGCTCCACTCCGAGTTCAGCGCAGCCCTGTGGGTGCCCTGCCTTACTGGGCCCATTTCCTGGGGGCCAGGTTAGAGTGCACCAAAGGCCCTCCCGGCCTGGGGTTGGTGCAACTCAAATTTTCATAGACCTTTAGTTCCTTCACCCAAAAAATGGGGACAGTGATGCCAACCACACCACCAATGAATGAACAGGAGCAACACGTGCAAAAGCCTCACTCGGCCACCCCAAGGAGCTAGGACCCCTCCTGGGACTTTCATGGGCTCCAAGCATTCTTGCCTTCATAGGTCCCTTCCTCAGAAAACTTTTAAAAATTATATTTTACAGCTGCATTGGTATAAAGACAAATATAATTCAGGCTGGATGAGAGTCACTATTCTCTTCTTGTTTGAAGAAAACTGAAACATTTTTGTGGGCCCCTAAGAATACCTTCTTCTCCTCCCCAGCCCCCCTGCATTTCATGTCCCACCTAACCTCCATGGCATAGGGTCCTGGGCTTTGTCAGGCGGCTCTGACTTCAACATGGCAGATGAGGGGTCAGCCTTGCTCACTGTGCCTAGCAGGTGGGAGAAGGCAACCCCTAGGGCAGGTCTGTAAATGTGCTCAATGTTTATTGAGCACCTCTGATCTCCAGTACAGCTAGTGTTAATTTCTCAGTGCTATTCACTCCCTTTGTTTTGTCTTAGTATAGTGTCTTCGTTCATGTCTGCCTGAGAAATTGGCCTTATTTGAAATAGGGCTTTTGCAGCTGTAACTAGTCAAGGACTTTAAGAGGAAATAATCCTGGGTTTAGGGCAACGCCCTAAATGCAATGATTGGTGTCCTTATAAGAAGAAGAGAGGGCCGGGCGCAGTGGCTCACCCCTGTAATCCCAGCACTTTGAGAGGCCGAGGCGGGTGGATCACCTGAGGTCAGGAGTTCGAGACCAGCCTGCCCAACATGATGAAACCCCATCTCTACTAAAAATACAAAAAATTAGCTGGGCGTGGTGGCAGGTGCCTGTAATCCCAGCTACTTGGGAGGCCAAGGCAGCATAATCACTTGAACCTGGGAGACGGAGGTTGCAGTGAGCTGAGATTGCACCACTGCACTCCAGCCTGGGTGACAGGAGCAAAACTCCGTCTCAAAAAAAAAAAAAAAAGAAGAAGAAAAGAGGACACAGAGACACAGAGACACAGAGGTGAAGAGGATCCAAAGATGGAGGCGGAGGTTGGAGTGACACCTCCGCAAGCCAAGGAACCCCCAGGATTTCAGCAGCCCCAGAAGCTGGGAGAGAGGCCCGGACAGTTTCTCCCTTGGAACCTCCAGAAGGAAGCAACCCTGCTGCCACCTCGGTTTCTCACGCCTGGCCTCTTGATCTGAGTGAGAATACATTTCTGTTGTTTTAAGCCGCCCAGTCTGTGGTCATGTGTTATGGGAGCCATAGGCAGCAAATCCACTCAGCTAATCCTTACCGAAGCCCCATCTCTGAGGGGCCGTCCTGATCGTGCTCTAGTTTAGAGACAGGGAATGAGGCTCACAAAGGTTTGGTAGCTTGTCCAGAGCTACCCCTCACACCAGACCCTGGCCAGAACAGGACCAGCACGCAGGGTCTTGGGGAGGTCAGGGTAGCAGATCTGGGAGTGGTGGGAGAAGAGACTGGGAGGTGAGACAGAGCAAGGCCACCAAGGGGGAGCCACATTCTGAAGCCATTGACACTGATCATTAGAAGCACCACTCGAGAAATGTTCACACACGACCTCGAGTGAAAAAAGAAATGTGAAAGCAAAACGGCTTCTGCACCAGGACCTCAGCTATGCAAAACCAGAGCTGCCTGTGCACAAAGTCTGCAAAGTATGCCATGTTGCACCTATAGGGTGCTAGATTTGTGAGAGATTTTTTTTTCATTTCTTTTCCAAAATTTCCCTGATGTGATAATGTTTTGTTTTGTTTTGAAAAGGGACAACACACGGAGGGACCCTTTGCCCTGCTCCTAAAAGTGACAAAAACCTGAAGCCCCCAGCGCACAGCTCCCTCCACTTGCTCTGTCAGTTCTGCTGCAGAATCCCAGTTCTCTCCTATACTGTCCGCACTGCGGGAGCTGCAGCTCTGCTGGAAGCTCGGCCCTTGGCTAACAGAACCCACCAGCTCAGGCTCACTTGTCAGGGAAAGCACAAAGAGAAGACTCCTTATCTCCTGGGCTGATGTCAGAGGGCCCTGCCAGAACCCAGGACCCTGTGCCTGTGGGGAAGTGCGAGTGGAGAGGGGAGAAGCATTGCAGGGTGGGGGCGAGGGGAGCAGAAATGGCCTTGGGTCTCCACTGTTGAGATGCTGCCTTTGCACAGGCTGTATTTTTCTGGAGAACCTGCTGCTTATTAATTAACGATTCCTTCCACTTGCCGGGCGAGCTCATCTGCAGGGCGTTGGGAGCACCTGGTAGAGGCTCAGAGCCATCTCCTGGAGTGGGGGGCAGCTGAGCCCTTTTGTGTCAGAAGCCCCTGCGGAGAGATGGGGTGGTCTGCAAGACCATCCTGATTCCCTTCAGAGGGCACGAGGATAGGTTCAGTTCGCTATTCAATCATTTATTTCTGTATATTGACAACTACATATGGAGCCACTGCTTTGGCCAGGCATAGTTCTAGGCCTGGGGATCCAGTGGTGGATAAGAAGTGTGTGATCTCAGCTCTTGAGGGCTTCACAGGCTAATGTGAGGGACAGCTGTCATCATCCTTCCACACATATTTAATTACATGTTTAATTACAAAGGTAAGAGGTGGAAGGAGACAGGAGAAGTGCCTCTGGGGCCCTAGGAGGCCGGCTTCTCCACGGAAGTGAAGCTTAAGCAGAATGCTGAGGGATGAAGAGGTTCCAGGCACAGTGTGGGAGAAGGGAGGTGGCCTTGCATCCGGGGAGAAGGAACAACAGCAGGTGCAAAAGCCCCGAGGCAGGAGGGAGCACAGTGCATCAAGGAATTGAAAGCAAGCAGTGTAGCTGGGGAGAGAAAGTGATCAAAGAAAACAGCGAGAGATGGGGCTTCAGGGAGGAGGGCTCAGGGAGGAAGAACTGAGACACAGGAGAGGTTCCTGGTGGGTTCCGCAATGGTTTTGGTCTCTAGCCTAACACAATAGGAAACACCAAAGAAGTGCGAACATCCGAGTGACGTGGTCAGATTTTAACAAGACTGGGACCTGCAAGCCAGGCTGGAGCCCCTAACACCCACCATGGCTGGAGAAGTCACTGAGATGCCCCCAGCCTCTTTTCTCCTTTGTAAAGTGGGAGTCAGCAGGACCACCTTGCTGGACCACTACCATTTAATTAGGTGTCAACTTAATGCCATAAGGGTATATTCTTCCCCACCTATAGGTGAGAAAACTGAAGCTCAGAGAGGTGAAGTGACTTGTCCAGGGACACACAGCAAGCAGGAAAGTGGCAGAGGTTGAAGTCCAGTCTGTCGCTATTCAAAAGTCTATCATTACATGGACCCAAATGTAATTCAGTTAAGATAAAGGACAGAAAACAGACATGGAACTGACAGTCTTCATCTCTTCCCTTTCCCTTCTGATCCAACCTCATCAGATGCACAGAAAGACTAGGGGTGCCTCTGTGTGGTGGGGGATGGGAGGGGGGTGGGTGGGGGCCTGGTTATTTTTGGCAGCCAGGGAACTTAATTAAGAATTGAGTTCACAGCTTTCCTGCTGAGAGTTAGCCGAGGGGTGCAGGATGAAGAAAAGGCATGGAAACCAGAGCAGCCTGCAGACAGTGACTCCAAAATAAAGAAACTCACACACAGCCTTCCAGCGGGACAAGGGAGGGGGCGTGGATACTATTTTGGGACCCGGTCATGCATCACAAACCCAACTTGATAATGTTCTGTTTTCACAGGCAGAATTCTTTCTGAGCTGGAAGAGTCTGGGGACTGTTGTCCTTGGTAGCAGCAGCGACTGTCATTGGACAGAGGGTGTTGAGGCAGAGCCTTTCATTCGGGGAAGAGCCTTGCCCAGGGAGTCGGATTCCCTGGAGCCCTCCCTGGTCCTCCTTATCTCTCCTTATCTCTCCTGCCTCATCCAGGCCTTTCCCTGTGGTCTCCTGAGCTCTGGAGGCCATGGGTCCTCGCCCCCACTTTCAGATTTCAGAAAGCTTCCTGGAACATCCATCCAAAACAGGCAGCTGTGCAAGGAATGCAGCTTAGAGAGAAGTTTTGTTTGGCCTGCACTGTTTTTTAAAATAATGTGAACCAATATTCTGAAAACACGAGATTGTATGTAGAAAGCACAGCTGTGTGTCAGGCCCTGAGCTAAGTGCTGAGGGTACAGTGAGACCCAAATAGAGGCCCGGGCAGACTCATGGCAAACACGTGTGTATGCACACCAGTGACACTATTTGGATGCTGATAAGGGCCACACAGGGTGATTAATAAGACAGGAAGAAGTGGCTACAATACACTGGGTGGTCGGAGAGTCTTCAAGTTGAGGAGGAGGCAGATAGTTAAATGAGGAGGAAGGCATTTGGTAAAAGTAAGAGCTGGTACCAACGGAGAAAGAAAAAGGAGAATATCAGTTTCAGGTAAGGGCACACAAACTGTGGGGCTGGAGCTTTGCATTCAGAGGGAGGCCAGTAAGGAGGATGGACAGACGGGTGAGGTTAGAGGACTGTTGTCGTCAAAGTCACATGCTTTATGGTCAGGGCTAGGAGTGCAAAAGGTAGAGGGACTACTCCGGTGCCATAAAGAGGTCATTGTTGTGACTCTCTTGTCATTGTTATCACTGTAACTGTTACATTAAACAAGAACGTCTTGCACAAAGTGGTCAAAAACCACCTTTCTCTGTCTCCTGAATGAGAAGGAAAGTCCCCATGCCTCTCCTGCCCCTCCCTCCTGTGTGGCAGAGGCAGACCTAAGCCACTTAAATCCCCAGCCACAGCCTCAATTCAGAAACTAACAGTGTCCGTCCATGATATTAATCAACCTCTCCCTCTCCTCCCAAAGGTAAAGCTGCTGCTCCTCCACTCCTTCCTCAGGTAAAGCCAACCTCAGTGGAAGGGACAGGTAGGGTCAACAAGTAATCTTCTCTACTGACTGCACCTGCCCTTCCTCTGCACTTGCCAGCTGCTCTTTCATAACCCACTCAGGATGGAAAGGAGGAGAGGAAAGGGGAAGCAACATTTCTTACACAACAGGGCAGCTTTGCATTCTCTGGTTCGAGAAGGTGTTAAAGCTGAGATTGCCCACTGAGGGTGTTTCCGTGGGTTCTCTGGGGGCTCCTCTGCTGGGATCCTCTGCTGGAACTCATATGATAGAGATGCCTTTCCTTTTGCTGTCTCCAGTCTCCCCTTAGGCCCTTGTCCCTTGGCCATCCCTTTATTTAGTGCTGGCTGCTCCTTCCAGGAGATCCTCTCAGCAGAAGTTAAAGCCGTGCCCAGCTGCCCTCCTTTACTGCTGGGTCCACATCTGGTGGAAGTACTCACACATTTCTTGGCGTGACTTAAGGTAAATCAGTTACATCATTATCATCATCACTGACATCGTCACCACCATCATTATCATTGTCATGATCGTCATCATCATCATCAGTCTAAACCACATTTGTCTAATAGACAAACATTTTCTTAAAAGTCCAGATAGTAAATATCTTAGGACTGGCTGTCCATTAGGTCTCAGTCACAACTACTCAGCTCTGCCTTCACAGATCTGCTTAGTAATCACAGACACTAAATGAGTGATTAGATGAATGAGTGTGGCTGTACTCCAATAAAACTTTATTTCCAGCCAGGCATAGTGGCTCATGCCTGTAATCCCACCACTTTGGGAGGCCAAGTGGGGTGGATCACTAGGTCAGGAGACCAAGACCATCCTGGCCAACATGATGAAACTCCATCTCTATTAAAAAATACAAAAAATTAGCCGGGCGTGGTGGTGCACGCCTGTAGTCCCAGCTACTCAGGACGCTGAGGCATGAGAATTGCTTGAACCCTGGAGGCAGAGGCTGCAGTTAGACCAATAACAGGCTCTGAAATTGAGGCAATAATTAATAGCCTACCAACAAAAAAAGTCCAGGACCAGATGGATTCACAGCTGAATTCTACCAGAGGTACAAAGAGGAGCTGGTACCATTTCTTCTGAAACTATTCCAATCAATAGAAAAAGAGGGAATCCTCCCTAACTCATTTTATGAGGCCAGCATCATCTTGATACCGAAGCCTGGCAGAGACACAACAAAAAAAGAGAATTTAGACCAAAATCCCTGATGAACATCGAAGCGAAAATCCTCAATAAAATACTGGCAAATCGAATCCAGCAGCACATCAAAAAGCTTATCTACCATGACCAAGTCAGCTTCATCCCTGGGATGCAAGGCTGGTTCAACATACACAAATCAATAAACATAATCCATCACATAAACAGAGCCATCGACAAAAACCACATGATTATCTCAATAGATGCAGAAAAGGCCTTCAACAAAATTCAACAGTGCTTCATGCTAAAAACTCTCAATAAACTAGGTATTGATGAAACATATCTCAAATTAATAAGAGCTATTTATGACAAACCCACAGCCAATATCATACCAAATGGGCAAAAACTGGAAGCATTCCCTTTGAAAACTGGCACAAGACAAGGATGCCGTCTCTCATCACTCCTATTCAACATAGTGTTGGAAGTTCTGGCCAGGACAATCAGGCAAGAGAAAGAAATAAAGGGTGTTCAATTAGGAAAAGAGAAAGTCAGATTGTCCCTGTTTGCAGATGACATGATTGTATATTTGGAAAACCCCATCGTCTCAGCCCAAAATCTCCTTAAGCTGATAAGCAACTTCAGCAAAGTCTCAGGATACAAAATCAATGTGCAAAAATCACAAGCATTCCTATACACCAAGAACAGACAAACAGAGAGCCAAATAATGAGTGAACTCCCATTCACAATTGCTACAAAGAGAATAAAATACCTAGGAATCCAACTTACAAGGGATGTGAAGGACCTCTTCAAGGAGAACTACAAACCACTGCTCAATGAAATAAAAGAGGACACAAACAAATGGAAGAACATTCCATGCTCATGGATAGGAAGAATCAATATCATGAAAATGGCCATACTGCCCAAGGTAATTTATAGATTCAATGCCATCACCAATGACTTTCTTCACAGATCTGGAAAAAACTACTTTAAAGTTCATATGGAATCAAAAAAGAGCCTGCATTGTCAAGTCAATCCTAAGCAAAAAGAACAAAGCTGGAGGCATCATGCTACCTGACTTCAAACTATACTACAAGGCTACAGTAATCAAAACAGCATGGTACTGGTACCAAAACAGAGATATAGAGCAATGGAACAGAACAGAGGCCTCAGAAATAACACCACACATCTACAACCATCTGATCTTTGACAAATCTGACAAAAACAAGAAATGGGGCAAGGATTTCCTATTTAATAAATGGTACTGGGAAAACTGGCTAGTCATATGTAGAAAGCAGAAACTGAATCCCTTCCTTACACCTTATACAAAAATAAATTCAAGATGGATTAAAGACTTAAATGTTAGACCTAATACCATAAAAACTCTAGAAGAAAACATAGGCAATCCATTCAGGACATAGGCATGGGCAAGGACTTCATGACTAAAACACCAAAAGCAATGGCAACAAAAGCCAAAATAGACAAACATGATCTAATTAAACTAAAGGAGCTTCTGCACAGACAGCAAAAGAAACTACCATCAGAGTGAACAGGCAACCTACAGAATGGGAGAAAATTTTTGCAATCTACTCATCTGACAAAGGGCTAATATCCAGAATCTAAAAAGAACTTAAACAAGTTTACAAGAATAAAACAACCCCATCAAAAAGTGGGCAAAGTATATGAACAGACACTTCTCAAAAGAAGACATTTATGCAGCCAACAGACACATGAAAAAATGCTCATCATCACTGGTCATCAGAGAAATGCAAATCAAAACCACAATGAGATACCATCTCATACCAGTTAGAATGGCGACCATTAAAAAGTCAGGAAACAACAGGTGCTGGAGAGGATGTGGAGAAATAGGAATGCTTTTACACTGTTGGTGGGACTGTAAACTAGCTCAACCATTGTGGAAGACAATGTGGTGATTCCTCAAGGATCTAGAGCTAGAAATACCATTTGACCCAGCGATCCCACTACTGGGTATATACCCAAAGGATTATAAATCATGCTACTATAAAGAGACATGCACATGTATGTTTATTGCAGCACTATTCACAATAGCAAAGACTTGGAACCAACCCAAATGTCCATCAGTGATAGACTGGATTAAGAAAATATGGCACATATACACCATGGAATACTATGCAGCCATAAAAAAGGATGAGTTCATGTCCTTTGCAGGGACATACATGAAGCTGGAAACCAGCATTCCGAGCAAACTATCACAAGGACAGAAAACCAAACACTGCATTTCCTCACTCACAGGTGGGAAATGAACAATGAGAACACTTGGACGCAGGGTGGGGAACATCACACACCGTGGCTTGTCATGGGGTGGGGGACAGGGGGAGGGATAGCATTAGGAGAAATATCTAATGTAAATGACAAGTTAATGGGTACAGCAAAGCAGCATGGCACATGTATACCTATGTAACAAACCTGCATGTTGTGCACATGTACCCTAGAACTTAAAGTATAATAATAATAATAAAAAAACTTTATTTCAAAAAATAGTCAGCCATAGGCTGTGATTCTGCAGACCCCTGATCTAAACAGACTTCGGAAATAATATTTTCTGACTGCATGAGAATCCAATGACCAAGCAGCCCTTCACCACAGGACACAAACCCGCCTTGTCATAGACCCTCATTCTGGGCAAATGTTCACACTGAGGCAGAAGTAGAGAAACTAACAGTGATCCCCGTGTACCCACACTTGGCTTCAACTATCACCTTTCTGCCATTCTTAAGACTGTCTTAAAAGAAAAAAAAAACATTGAATGGCAGTGGTGGGGGCTAGGAGAGAGCCAAGTAGAATGTAAGATTAAAAGGAAAAAAGAGCATCCAAGAAACATCTTCCCTCTGTTGGAGAAGCTTGTAGCTGTCTCTTTAAGTCATTTCAGAAGCTCTGATGGTTTGAGGTCAGGGAACTCCTAGATCTTCAAACCTCAAGGCAGAGATATTTTCTGACACAGCTGCCCTGGCCTTGTCTGACTTCCTAGAATAGCTGAGGAGAGCTGCCAGGATGAGTCTTCAGCGTAAGTTAAATGACTTCAGTGATTCTTGCTGATGGTGGCATCTTGGGGCCATGGAAAGTTCCAGGGGCAACTGTGAGTTGGGACACCAGACCCACCACCTGTCTGACCTTGGGCAAGGCACTTTGCTTCCTGAGCCCCAGTTTGCACCTCAGCACAATGGGTTAATAGTACCTGCCCCCAGAGGATGGTTGTGAGGATTAAGTGAAATAATGAACATCATGTAATGTTTTCTTGGATGTTCTGAACTCCGAGGAGTATAAATGTGAAGCTGTTGTTTTTCTCCCGTTCCTGCTTTCAGCTGTGTGTGGTTACAACTTGGTTTTCCATCCTTTGTCTCCATCTCTGGCAGAAGATGAATATTACGAGTTCTTTTTCCCTGGATACAACCCAGCTCGTTTTCTTTTGATTTCTCTCCCGTGCAAAGCCACTAATGCCCTCATTTATTCATCGCATAAACACACACTGGCATCTGTTCCATGCCATGGGCACAGTGATGAAGAGGACAGGTTCCCTGCCATCCGAAGCTCGGGCCGAGAAGGTGGCTGCACAAGGCCAACTGACCAGGGCACTTGGATGGGCAAGGTTTGCCTACCCTTGAGGGTTTACTAAGAAGGGTGGAATTGGCACCACAAAGCCACCTCAGTCCTATCCCATGCCTGCCCTACTAGCTAAGCAGAAGACAGGAAAGCATGGAAGAGAAAATCTGGGGGATTTGGAGTCATTCATCTGCTAAATGCAGACTGCAGGGGTTCTGTCCCTCTCCTCCTCCACGCCACACACATGTGCCCCTGTGAGAGCCACTCCGGCACCTTCCACACTGAGGCCATCGAAGACTCATCAAGTGTTGGCCAGAAACTTTGGCAGTGACAGCCAAAAAATTGAAAAGGACAAGAGCATTTGGCAAGCAGACTCATTTGTCCTCATCCCTCTTCCTCCTCCTATTTCTTGACCCCAGAAGAGGAGGCAGGCTGGAAGTGTCTCCAAAATAGGTGGCTGCAGTTCCCTGTTGTGCAAGGTAAGGGAGGGCAAGAAGGAATAAAAGAACAGCCTACACCCTCTTCCCCTCCAAGTCCCCTGAGCCTCCAGCCTGGCAGGTGAAAAGGAAAAGTTGGGGGGAAAGGGAGGAAATGGAACTTATATCAGAGACGAGGTTGTACTTCCACCCAGGTGAGACTGGACTTTGCAGATGGCGTCCCACTTAGGCCTCACCACAAACCTTCGTGTGAGTCAGGACTCATGGTGGCTAGTTAAGGAAACCTAAATCAAATGACAGTAAACAGAAAGAGGATTGATCACTCTCATAGTTGAGGAAGAATAAGTGGTTGAAGGGGAGGCTGCAGGAGCCAAAACCCCAGGAATTAATACCTTCAGCTTATTTCTCTCTCTCTCTCTCTCTCTCTCACCCACCCCTGGACCCCCAACTCTCATCTCTCCCTCTGTGTCTCATTGCATAATTATTTTATATTATTTGCCTATTTATTTTCCCAACAGCACTGGGCAGCTACTTAAATGTCTGTATTATTAATAGTTTCCCTTTTTTTTTTTTTTTTTTGAGTTGGAGTCTCCCTCTGTCACTCAGGCTGGAGTGCTGTGGCGCCATCTCGGCTCACTGCAACCTCCACCTCCTGGGTTCAAGCGATTCTCCTGCCTCAGCCTCTTGAGTAGCCGGGATTACAGCTGCGTGCCACCACGCCTGGCTAATTTTTGTATTTTTGTCAGGGTGTCACCATGTTGGTCAGGTTGGTCTCAAACTCCTGACCTCCTGATCCGCTCACCTCGGCCTCCCAAAGTGCTGGGATTACCGGCGTGAGCCACCCTGCCCAGCCGATTATTGCCATAACAAGGTCTCACAAATTCGGTGGCTTACAGCAATTTAAATTTCTTCTCTTAAAGTTCTGGAGGTCAGAAGTCCAACATGGCCTCACTGGATGAAGGTCAAGATGTGGGCATGGCTGTGTTCCTCTGGAGGCTCTAGGGGAGCATCTGGTTTCCTGTCTTTTCTCGCTTCTAGGGCTCCCCTGTGTTCCTTGGCTCCTGCCTCCTTCCTCCATCTTTAAAGCCAGCAACGGCCAGTTGAGTCCTCACATCGCATCACATAACACCACTCTTACACCAACTCCTCTTCTGCCTCCCTTTTCCACCTTGAAGGACTCTTGTAGTGGCATTGGGCTCACTCACACAAATCATAAAGAATACTCTCCTTATTTTAAGGTCAGCTGATTTGTTACCTTAATTCCATCTGCAACCTTCATTCCACTTTGCCATGAAAGGTAATATATTCACCCATTCCAAGGATTAGAATGTGGAAATCTTTAGGGCCTATCATTCTGCCTGCTGTAATGTCTCCCAGGCCCCTCACAATTGACAAGTTCATATCTGACCCCAGCTCTTCCCCCTGCAAATCTGCTCCACCTGCAGCCTCGCCAGTCTTACCAGAGGGCAAGATCAGCCTTCTGGATGTGCAAGTCACAAAGACTCAGCTCCTCCTCTTTCTCACGTCCTGCCTCCAAATGGTCAGCGAATCCTGCTGGCTCCACCATCAGCGTCTCACCAGAACCTTCTCACTTCTTACCAGCCTGAACAGTCTCCACCCTCTTACCCCATGCCTGCCAGAGCCTCTCCTCAGGTCTCCCTGACTTGACTCTACCACCTGCAGCCCATTCCCAACAGAGTGGAGAAAGGGGCCCCTTTAAAGCCTACATCAGATCACATCCCTCTCCACTGGCTGCCTCACATGATTCCTGCACTTACCGAGAGGAAGCTTTGTTAACTGCATTTCCAGCTTCTGTGCACTTGAGGATTTTCACGTTTTCCCTACACATCTATGCCAGGGATGCCTTGTTCCGGACAACCCAAAAATATACCTGAGTCACCTCACCTTGGCCTCCAGACTCCCTCGTTGCCTGCCACCCCCACCCCTCCCCTAGGGAGGAGCCCTGCTCCCGAGGACCCACTTTTCAAAATACAAACCAATCAATCTGGAGTTCACAGCCCCAACCGCCTTCTTTATCAGGCACTCATATTCTGTCCACTGTGCATCTGCCCTAATCACCCAGGGCAGGTATCAGACAACTAAGATTGCCCCAGTGCCCCAGAGCCCATGGAAATTACTCAAACGGGCCAAACCTGCTTGCCCTGCCTCCCCCATTCCATCCCACAGTGACCACAGTAAAGGCTCCTGCCACAGGGCCCCTCTCCCTCTGCCCTGTGCGCAAGCCTGGTCCTTCCCCTTGCAGGCCCCTGTGGCACAGCATGCTTGCTCCTTTTGGGAACTGTGAATAATAAAATATCTTTTCAATGGTATTTATTTCCTGATCTGCTGACTTCAATATACCTCAATTTTTTTTACTAATACATTCTATTTTAGAACACAACTAGGAATCAGCAAGGTGAAGATTAAAGTGCAACTTTATCACTGATGAAAGCTATGCTAGATGTGACTTAGATGTGACAAAAAGCTTTTTAAAAGTCCCCCGAATTGAATTTCAGTGTCCCCCTCTGAAGGGCAGAGCTCCGCTAAGATGGCCAAGCAAGCCGACCAGGATACTATCTTCCCATAGACAGGCAAATGTAAAGGAGAGAAAAGAAAAAAAGATATGATTCAGCATCATCTCCCCAACTTCCTACCCAGAAGAGGAAGTAAGGGGTGTGGAGAGGGGCCACGAATGCTCAGAGAAAGTCTCCCCCAGGGAAACAATACAAGTGGGGAATAAATGTTCCTTCTTCATTCTTACTGATGCTTTGGCATGAAGGGACTTGTTTTCATGGCCCACAAAGAAGCATAGTTTTGCACCTAGATTTGTCTGGGGAGGGGGAATGGATATAGACCATGGGGGAATGGGTACTAGGAGGTGCTGTGGAGAGCTGAGCCTTTGTAATGTATGCTAAGGTGTGGGAGGCATTTCTGGCGTGGTTCACCTGATCCCCATCTCCTGGTATCACCCCATTGTGTAATCTTCCCCCACTGAGTGCAGGCTGGACCTAATGACTTGCTTCTAATGAAATGAACATAACAAAAGTGTTGGACTATCATTCCCAAGATAAGGTTATAGAAGACCATAATGTTGTCTCTCTCTCTCGTCCCTTATGCTTGGCCTGATGAAGCAGGTGTCATGTAGGAAGAGGCCCACATGTCAAGGAACTGAGGGTGGCCTCCAGTCAACAGCTAGTGAGAAACTGAGGCCCTCAGTCCAACAGCCTAAGTGAAATGGAATCCTGTCAACAAGCACATGAGTGAGCTTGGAAGCAGATCCCTCCCCAAGTGAACCTTGAGATGTGACAACCCTGGACAACACCGTCAGTGCAGCCTGTGAACAACCCTGAAACAGAGGGCTCAGCTAAGCCATGCCCAGGTTCCTGACCCCTAGAAGCTGAGACGATAAATTGTTTCAAGTGACTGTTTTGGAGTCATTTGTCATGCAGTGATGGCTAACTAATACATAATTCCTTAGCACAATGCATGGCATATAAACGCTCAAAACAGATGCTATTTTGTTATATCTGACTCCAAGACCACTTTCCCAGCTATCCCCCAAGAGTGGCTGCTTTACTTCCAAGATTAAACACATTTTCCAAATATTAATATTTTACTTTCTGTGGTTCTCAGCTGTCTGTCTCTGAGTCTCAAAATATTTAGGACACAGGGTGAAGAAAGGCTCTTCTTCCCTTTAAATTGAAAGGCATCAAGAGACCGAAACTTAATGGGTTTTTTCCCCCTTGCTGTGATTTTACTGGTCCTGAATTTCCTCCTCACTCCCTGAATTTAGTTGCCACCCAAATTCAGCCCAAGCTAAATGGCTCTAAAGTGGTGCCAGATAAAAACAGCACGGCCCACATAGAAACAAACCTCCCATCCCCACAGTTGCCATAGAAATGAGGGAAAAGGTGACTAATAAAAAGCCTTGGCTGGATCTTGGTAAAATGGACCCGGTAATGATGTCTGTGAGATTGCTGTCATACAAAACCTCTGGAGCTTTATTCAGATGAATTGTTCCAAGAAAGCTAGCTCCACTGAACTCCCAGAAAGGTCATGGATAAACTCATAAGACAAATCATGCTCTAAAGGTATCTATGTGGTTCTTTCTATGTCTAACCATAATTTTCCTTGAGGAGCCACCCATTCTGCCCTAGGCTGTATCACTGATTCCAGATAAGCACATTCTCCAAACCAGCATGTGAAGCTTCATTCTGGAATCAGCAGTCACTCCTTGTTTTGTTCTTCCTTTTTTTATTCTTTCTTTTTTGTTTTGGTATAAGTGTAGATTTCTTTGTACCTCTTTTTTGAAAGTTCATTTCAGTGGGTCTCCTTGTTGGGACTTTCATATGATATCCCTGTTTTGTCTCCCAGCAAAGGTAGTTTCTTTCATTCTTCTCCATTCAGCCTCCTTCATGAGGAGGGTGACTGACAGATAACAAAAGCTGTCAGACTGATAGACTACTGGAAAGGAGATTCAGTTCCCAGTTGACAGCATGAATTCATCTCAGAAAATTGCTTGTTAAGGGCATGGAAAGGAAGATGGAGACAAAACTTTTGGCATTTTCTCCATTTGGTTATTGATTTGCACGACCTCGTCATTCTTAAAATGGGTGGGGCATGCAGACTACTGACTCTCCTTGTTTCTATCTCTTAGAGATTCCTGAGAGTTGTTGTGCTTCCTTGGGAATTGGTGAAATGGGACAGCCTGTCCATGAGCATTCCCTGGGAGAATAAGAGGGAGAGAGGAGGGAGGGCCCCACACAAATAAAACTGCTAGGTTATGGATCAAAATAATTAATATTGTTGCTATTATTGAAATATTCACCCTACCCAAAGCAATCTACAAATTCAATATGATTTGTATCAAAATCCTAATGACATTTTTCACAGTAATAGAAAAAACAATCCTAAAATTCATATGGTCTTAAAAAGCCCTGGAATACCCAAAGCAATCTTGAGAAAGAAGAACAAAGTTAGAAGCATCATACTTCCTGATTTCAAATTATATTGCAAAGGTATAGAAATCAAAACAGCATGGTACTGGCATAAAAAGACACATAGACCAATGGAACAGTCTAGAGAACCCAGAAATAAACCCAAACATATAGAATTAACTAATTTTTGACAAGGTCATGAAAAATACACATGGGGAAATGAGAGTTTATTTAATAAATTATATTAGGAAAACTGGATATCTACTTGCAGAAAAATTAAATTGGACCCTTATCTCACACCATATACAAAAAACAACTCAAAATGGATTAAAGACCTAAACCTAAGACTTAAAACTGTAAAACTACTAAAAGAAAACATAGGGAAAAAGCTTTTTGCCATTTATCCTGGCAATGATTTTTAAAGATATGGCCCCCAAAACACAGACAACTGAAGAAAACTAGACAAATGGGGTTAAGTCAAATTAAAAAGATTCTGCACAGCAAAGGAAACAATCAGCAAAATGAAAAGACCTATAGAATGGAAGAAAATATTTGTAAAACATATAATTGATAAGGGGCTAATATCCAAAACATATAAGGATCTCAACAAAATAGTAAGAAAATAACCCAATTAAAACTGGGCAAATGACCTGAATAGACATTTTTCCAAAGAAAACATACATACGGCCAACAAAAGACATGAAAAAAAATGCTCACACCTGTCATCTCAGCACTTTGGGGGGCCTAGGTGAGAAGATTGCTTGAGCCAAGGAGTTTGAGACCAGCAACATAGGGAGACTCCATCTCTACAGAAAAATTATATATGTATATTTGTTGTTCAACATATATATATATATATGTATATCATACATAGTTATGTTCAGTTTCACTAATCATCAGGGAAAAACAAATCAAATCCACAATAAGATATCATCTCATACCTGTTACAATGGCTATTATCAAAAAGAGAAAATATAAGTGTTGGTGAGGGTATGGAGAAAAGGAAATCATTGTACATTGTTGGTAGAAATGTAAATTGGTACAGCCATTATGGAAAATAGCACAGAGGGTCCTCAAAAAACTAAAACATATCATTCTCCCTGTGTGTGTGTCCCCAATTTTGTCTTTTTATAAAGACACTAGTGACTTTGAAATAGGACCCACCCCAAAAAATAATGTCACTTTAACTTATCTCTGTAAAGATCCTATCTCCAAATCACATTACATTCTGAGGTGCTGAGGGTTAAGACTTCAATGTATGAATTTGGAGAGGACACATAATTCAAACTCTAACAGTCCTATGATTCAGTTTGACTAATTCTGCATATGAAATGACCCATATTTCAACAAAGAAAAAAGTTGAAAACACGTGTGCATGTCTCTGGTGGTCTTTATGCAAACATTCTGAAGGCAAATCCCTGTCTTAGGCAATGATGGGCAATTGTATATTTCCAGATTCAACAGCAGGTGTATACCGTAGTCTGTGACAGTCTTACCCATATAAGACCCTGACTACAAGTATGGCTGCTTTGCAAGCTTATTTGGGAGGCCAGAATGCCAACTTTCACGTTTGGAGTTACTATTGTTGCACAAATGATTAAAACCTGGCTCTTCGAAGTTTAAGTAATTAACACCTTTGGTGATTGTCTCCGAAGGGATATCAGCTTGACTGAACATGATGGATTTTTAATTAACTCTTATTTTTGGCAACATGGGATTTCCCCATTAGTGTGGGCTTACGAAGAGGTGTTCCATTATGTTGCTAAATATGCTGTCACCTTGCTGAACTATGGTGAATCCACACTTTCACCCTGCCACGTAGAGAATGAAAATAAGTCCAGATGACTTGGAGGAGTGATGCCAATGTAGATGAGCTTGTCCCGTAGACCAACGGGGTCAGGGAGTATGTGGTACTACCCGGCTAAACTACTGTCATTTCCTAGGTAGAAGTTACAATGGGACTGAGAGACAGGCCAGTGTGGAGGGAATGAAAACATATATTTGGTGTATGGAGGTAAAGAACAGACCCAATTATAATAGCAATGAAAAATATATTATTAGCTATCTTTCACAAAAGGAAAAACTCAACCTCAGAGATGTTAAGAGGTTTGCTGGAAGTCACATGCCTTTAAGCAACTGGGCCCGAATTTAAACTTTAGTTTGATGCCCCATAGTTCTTTAGACCATATAGTACAAGTCCAGCCCTGGAGTGGCCATTTGTTCTGTCCGCTGGTTTTTCTTATGAGAATCACCATTCCTTCACTCTTGGATCATTCGGCTCAAGTGTGGCTGATCTCACCTCTTTCACTATAGGGTTGGACACATGACACTGCCTGTTCAATCAGAGTCATGATAGTTATTTCAGAGGAGGTCATGTGACTCATTCGGGCCAGTGCAATCTGGCAGAGGGGCTCTCTTCCCATGCTAAATTTGGAGCTGTTAGTGGCCATCCTCACTTGGGCATGGGTGAGCGAGCCTGCCTGGAAATGGATTGTGAAAGAAAATAGTCATAGCTAAAGTCAGAGTTACCCCTGGACTTTTCAGTTAATTGAGCCAATATGTTTTCTTTTTTGGCTTAAGTTTGTTTTATGTTTTTGATATTTGTATTCAAAAGAAAGAGTTGAGATTACTTCAAGTCTTTATAGTTTATGGTCTTCAAAGCACGTGATTGAATGGTGCCAGAGGGACAAATCTGATGAACAGGGACCATGAAGTGTAGGCAATGCTGACATTGAAGGTGGCATTGCTGGTTGTGTGGTCTCTTGGGGCCTGTCTTGTGGTTGGCACAAGCTGACAGGTGAATTGGGCTTCCAATGAGTGGGGGAAGTGAAAAATGGACCCCAGCCTCACTTTATTTGGTGTTTCTGATTTCATGAACTGGGTTAAAACAGGATTGTGGTTCTAATAGTTACATCAGGCAGTTCCATATCACTTTATGCCTTTACTCTAGAATTCTAGCACACTTTCAATCAACATGTTTTAAAAATTCCTGGAATATTATTAAATTCAAGGGGTTAACAATACCTGTTCCAATAGTCTTAAAGATAATCTTTTTAAAAAACTGGAAACTATTAGCATGCAAGTGAAGCCCATTTACATTTATTAATACAATTAATATGTTTGATCTCAGTTCTAATTATATTATTTATTTATAAGATAAATATATTAAAAGTTTCCTATGTATGATCTCTGTTCTTTTTTATTTACTTCTGTATTTCATTTGTTATTTAAGAAGGTTTGTGTCTGTGTTTTAGTGATTACCTTTACATTATTATCTTTACATAATGCCTAGAGTCATTTTCCTTTAGACAATGTCTGCTGGCTCTCTACTTTGATGGACAATATTAGATTGCAATCTTTCCTTCTTTCCTCCCTCACTTCTTCACCACCCAATAGAAAAATGTTGATTTTTTTCTATTCTTAACTAGACTTAACCTTCAGTTATTTGGTTTGTCCACTTTACATGACAATCTTTGATTCTCATCCATCAGCTTTAAGGCACACAATTAGCTTATTTCATTCTCCCTCCGTCTTAACCTTTCTCTCATTTTTAAAGTCAGGTTTTTTTCTATTATATGAACGTATTTACCATATACATGCATTCCTCTCCCTTCCTCCACTTTGCTCTTTTCATCTTAACTCTTCAGGTCAATATATTCAGTGTTTCTCATTTGCCATTTGGCAACATTGATTGACTACTTCGCTATCTTGTAGATTCTTTAGGAAGAGTCCAAGGGTACAATTGTCCTTGAGTTTGTGCATATTCAAAACTATTTTTCTTTAGCCTTGATACTTAAAGAACAGCTTGGTTGCATTCACAGTTCTCTACTCACTCTTTCTCTCCTCATTTATCTTACAGATCTTATGACTGTTACTCCTTGGCTTTCTTGCCATAAAGGCTGCTCTTGAGAGGACTAATGCCAACCTGATTTTCTTAATTTTGAAAGATGCTTTGGTTTTTCTCTCTCTTCCTCCCCCTCCTCCTCCCCCATCTTTCTCCTCCTCTTCCTCCTCCTCTTCTTCTTCCTCCTCTACTAGGATATGTTTTGGGTTTAGCCTCTCTGGATTAAATTTTTAAATATTATTTATGCTTCAGTGTTTTACTTTTCTTCTGGAATTCCAATTATTTATATGTTGAGTCTTCTTCGTATGTCTTCTACATCTGTAACTTTCTCTACAATCTTTTATCTGTATTTCTTTTTTAACTCCTCAGCGTCTCTCATTTCTATATTCTAAGTCCCTTCAGAATTTTTTGTCATATTTATTCTCCTTATGGTAATTTAGTCTTTGACTCTGAAATAATTTTGTCCTTCTGTTTCATTTGTTTAAAAAATTGCCCATTTCCATTTGACATCTTTTAGTGGGTCTGTTGTAGTTCTGTTCTGTGGTGTCCTTACGTGGCTGCAATTGCTTACAGATTTATTTTAAACTTAGGCTAGAATATTATGCTGCAGCTTTCCTCTGCTTCTTCATGAGATTTTTCTGGTGTTTTTTTCTTTGCCTATGTAAAATCTTTTATTCTTATTTTCTGTCATTTTTCTTATAAAATTTTGAAGTTTTATGTATTTATTTATTTTGATATTTGAGTGTGTTGGATTTTCCTGAACTGGTTAACATTGGTTTCTATGGCAAGAGTGGTAGAGAAAGAGGAGTTTAAGTGGCTTTTCCAGTTTCTCAATTCCAAGGTTCCCTCTCCTGTTTCATAGTGAAAGGGTGTTTTCTTTAATATATGGCACCCCTGTGTTGAGAACTAGCTTCTTCTAAACTTTTCATTCTCTTTTGTACAGAAATAGAGTGACCAAACTTCTTGAGTTGTCTGGGATTAAGGGCTTTCCCAAGATGTGAGACCTTCAATATGAACATTGAGAAAGTCCTAGGCAAAATGAGAGGAGTTCCTCCAAAAATTAAATAGTTACCATACCCAGGAATTCTATTCCTAGATACATGCCCAAGAAAATTGAAAACATATGTCCCCACAGAAACTTGTACGCAAATGTTCCTAGCAGCATTATTCAAAAGTCAAAAGTGAAATCAACCCAAATATCCATCAACTGACAAATGAATAAACAAAATGTAGTATATCCTTACAATGGAATATTATTCACCATAAAAAGGAATGAAGTATTGATCTATGGTACAACATGTATGAACTTGAAAAATACCATTCGAAGTGAAAGAAACTAGACACAAAAGACACAGAGTCTCATTTTGCCTAGGACTTTCTCAGTGTTCATATTGAAAGTCCCACATCGTGAGAAAGCTTCCAGTAAGCCCATCCGCCTTAGACTCAGAGGGCTCTTCTGCCCTCCACTTTCCTTCCTTTATTAGGATTCTGGCATCTAGGAACTCCAGCATCCTCGAGGCACTCTCCTCTCTCTTCCCCCACGCTAGTGTGTTCCTAAGTCTGTCCCTCTAGTCTTGTGTAATTTCCATGCCTCTCCCTTTTGCTCACCCACCACATTTCAAACTTGATCTCAGTGATTCTTACTGAGGGAGGATCTCTTTCCTTCTGGGTAAACCTTGGTGACATGTTCTTTATATTCTGTGTTCTTTATATTCACGACCCCCGTGGTCCTCCTTGCACTGGTCTGAGTTAGGCTCCAGCTCTTATCATTCAAATATCTGTTTCTTGACTCATGTGTAAATTGGAGTTTGCAATCTCCTCCTCCTCTTAGCCAAGCTGCAGTTGTATTTGAAGACTAATGATGTTTTGTTTTCTCTTCTGGTTGGTTTCTGGAATTTTAGGAGATGTGGGAAGATAGAAATCCAGAGTGTCCCAGGAACCCAAATGCCCAGAAAGATGGAAAATTTTATCAGACTGTTGATGGATCTCACACTCCGATGCCATGGTGGACACTGCTGTTGAGATTTGAACAGCCCAAGCATCCTACCCAGCCAGTCAATCTGGCAATTACTCTCAGGTGGCAGACTCAGGAAGAACTATTCACCAGTCATCTTAACATTCCCAGAAAGTGTATTAAGTACTTTCATGCCTTCATGCCTTTGCTTATGCTGTTATTTCTGCCTCAAATATCCTTTGCCTACTTTGTCATCTGGAAAAATTCTATGCATCCTTCAAATTCAGCTCAAATGTCATCCTTCTTTATGAAGCTTCTCCAATTCCTTCCCCTCATCACCATCAACTGATTCTGCTGTGTTACAGCATCACTAGGCTAAAATCCTCATGTTGTAGTGCTTATTCTGTGGGAGGCACCATACATTCTCTCCCCTCATGGACCCTGAATTTTTCCAGGTCGAGGAACATGCCTGGTTCTTCTTTGTGTCCTAAGCATCCAGCATGGTGCTCGACATAGAGTAGGTGTCATCAAACCTTTATTGCATGAATAAGTGAGTACAATATCTTAAGTCAGTCTTGCGTCTAAGACAGCTCAGTGGTGTAGACAGCATTCACACAGGGCTCCTCTCACCATTCACAAAGGCACAGCTGACATTGCAGACTCAGGCCTGTAGTTAGGAAGCACAGGGCTCTTTTATTCTGCTTCATTATTTTTTTTCAAGAAAACAATATGATGCATCCTTAGTGCTCCCCAAAGCACACCAATCAGCATACTAATCACCCTGAAGTGTCATCTGAATCTTCCAATTTCATAAATTTGCATATTTTCCAAACAGTCCCTAGTTCCCCTCCCTCCTTTTATTAGCTCTTCTTGGAAGAGCTGCACTCCCTCCATATAGCTCAAACTGACTTGATTTTTATTTCTCTTTGTAAAGACAGATTTGTGAGATGATGAATTAGTCATTGCCAATTTCATGCGTTTACGCTCCGTGCGTTTACACCTTATATTTATTCTGCCCCATTCTCCCCTTCTGGCTCCAGATGGTGTGGCAATACAGCCTCAGGTGTGGAAGGCGGAAAACTCATTCTCTCTTCTTCCCTCCTCCCATGGTCTCAGCTCCAGCATGACCGTGCCAGGTTTGAATGGCACAACACCCTCTGGCAAACATGGCTTTTTTTCTGCAGATTTCACTGGCACTTAGGAACCGGGAAATGCTAGCGAGACAATGGGAGCCATCACATACAGGCTCTTGTTGCTCCCTCCACTGTCCCCCTCCCAGATGAAACCACAGTGGGACCATATTTTGATATAGTCACAGATATTTTTTTTTTCTAAAGCCTTCATTTATTCAGGCAGCGGGCTGCAAGCATCTCAAGAGAAGACTGACACAATGGAACTATGAAACAAAAGAGTCAAATATTTAGGTTTTCAAAAGCCAAAAGTCCTGGTGGCAGATGAAAATGATTTGGAAGAACACGTGATCAGGCCAAATCCGCTTTTTCTTGTCATTTTATGCCTGAAATAGGCATCAAGATAAATATGTCAGACAAGGAAGAGTATAGAAGAAGTGCATCAGAGACAAAGATGTTTGTGATCTGTGAGAGGTGCACCCCATCCCTCCCCATCCCCCAGAGCTAGAGCCAGAGGACAGAGCAGACCACAGGCGTGGAAATCCTGGGTGATTATTGGGAATACCTGAGCATGGACAAGATCCATCCCTTGCATTCTATATAGGGCCACGGAGATGGCAGTTTTGTGTGGCTGCTAGCCGCCAGGTTCAGTTGAGGAGAAATGGTGACATGTCACGTCTACACAAAGACCAGAGATAAACAGTCAGAATCTGCAATTAGAAATTTTCCTATTCATTCCCATGAGATGGAAGCAGGAGCAGCTAATGGGGGTCGGGCCTGGTGAGGGTGGGAGTCAGGGGTCAGTGCAGACATCACTGATATGGCAAAGGTGCATGACCCAGGATGATTTAGAGTGCTGGACTCTCAGCGAACATCAGCCAGGACACAGCACAGCCCACAAACAGATGGCCTGCTCTCCATGATGCCATGGCTCTACATTAGCTCCAAGAAATAGACATGGTAGGGGCCAGGGGAGCAAGGAAGCCCCTGACTTAGCCGAAGAGACCCTAAATTGATTGAGATGATCCGGAATCACCTAAGATGACCCAGAATGAACGGCAGACTAGAGGCTGGAGGTAGCTGTTAAGGCTAATTATAGGACAAAGAGGAAAGGTTTATTTCTTGCACATCCATGTTTGGGTTTGCAACTTACAAACTCTATATGCCTTACCGAGCAAAAATACATGAGTTGACTTCAATGTTTCTGTGAATCCTAGATTCCTAGAGGGAAATGTAGAGATCATTCAGGGCAACCATATGTTTTAGGGATTTGGCCACTTTAAACAGCGATCCTGCCAGTACACCCCACTGCCACTAAGAAGAGGAACTGAATCTTCTTAACCTGCAAGCTTTCTAAAACCTCCAAAAGCCATCGATTGTATTAGAAAAGCTGGTCGTATTTCTCAACACAGGTGTCCACACAAAAACATTTTACAGGGATGTTTTAAAATATTTGTGGGGTATGTGTGTGTGTGAGTTTACGTAGAAAATGAAGGCTAGAATGGCATCTGGGAGCAGAGGGTCTTCAGCTTGTTTAGATGGTGGAGTTTCTTCAGGTCGTGGGCTCCTCACTATGAAGTAGGGACAGCTGGACTAAGAATGATATTGGCAGGAATATGACCAGTTATTTAAAGCTGTTAGTAAGGCTTAAATATAGTTACATTTTCAGGCTGTGAAACATAATGAATTATAAAAACAGTGGTCAAATTAAGCCCGATTGTCTCTTCCCAAGTTTTCTCATTAATTTTCATTTGCTCTCTTTGCATCCCATATGTTATCTATGCACACGGCCAGTGGAAACTGGCATGGAAGGGACAGAGAAAGTATATGGGAAAAGTGCCAGCCACTGTTTTCACTTGTTCTGCAAAATGGGGTTGGGGTAAGGAGGGAAAACTAGATTATTTGATTTTAGAAGCAATTTTCTTTAATTTGGTAAATGCTCATTGGGCACAAACTCAAAGTCAAGAACTCCAGCTGGCACTGAGGAACTAAGACAATAAGGGTGGTCTCCATCCTGAGGAGCTGCAGGGCTACAGTGGCAATGACTCGAGGGCCAGACAGTCTGGCCTGTCTGGAGACCCTATGTCAGCTCTGGGTGGACAAAGATATTAGAAACAGAGGGAGAGAAGTGGTAGCACCCACGGAGGCCAGGGAGTGTCATGGATGAAACATCATTTGTCAATCACCATTCCTACCACTTAGGCAGAGGGAAGACTCCTTAACTGTATGGGCATAAATAAAATCCTGGGTCTTGGCCATTCTAAACAAGGTCAAGATATCATATGATCATACCACTTTGGTATGGTCTCAACTCCTAGAGGGAGGAAAGTTAGAATAATTGCACTGGGCCCACAGTAGATTACCAGCCAAACTAGACTCCTACCTAACTTCCTGAAAGCCCTTTCGAAAGGCAGCTTCTTGCTGAGACTGCACTTGGGAAGGGGCAGAAGAGGCATCTCACATGGTTGTCATAACCACGGGCTTTCCCATTCCGATACAGGCTGGGAGGACTTCCCAGTGGTGGTGCAGGTCTCCCTGGATTCAGCTCAGGTTGTTCCTATCACTACAGCCCCTGGTATTGGGAATGGTGGGGATGATGTGGAGACCAGTTTGCAAGGAAGCTAAAGTGTGAGCCTCTCATCACAAATGAGTATGGAGAAGGAGAGCAATTTGTTCACTGTTTCTGAGCTCAATAATAGGATGCAGAAAAAGTAGAATGAGTTCAGCAGCCACAAACTGAAGAGTCTGTGAAAAGGTAAATCCTGCAATTCACACATCCCTTCTGAGTGAAAAAGTTCCCACAATATGTTGTTGTTGTTGTTTTTTCTTTTTGAGATGGAGTCTGTCTCTGTTGCCCAGGCTGGAGTGCAGTGGTGCAATCTTGGCTCACGGCAACCTCCACCTCCTGGGTTCAAGTAATTCTCCTGCCTCAGCCTCCCAAGTAGCTGGGATTACAGGCATGTGCCACTATGCCCAGCTAATTTTTGTATTTTTAGTAGAGACAGAGTTTCACCATGTTGGCCAGGCTAGTCCCAAACTCCTGACATCAAGTGATCAGCCTGCCTTGGTCTCCCAAAGTGCTGGGATTACAAGTGTGAGCCACTGCAGCCAGCCCCCACAACCCTGATTCTTGAGGATGGACTATCAGAGGCATTGGCTGCTCTTTCTCGAATGAATGAAAGCTCAGCACTACTAAGGCAGCTTATGCAGAATCTCTTCCTCTGTTACAACCAGGGCACCTGAGACTCATCATTTCATCACTCTGGGCCTTCATTTTCTTTTCTGTGAAATGGGTGTGTCAAGCAGGGTTCAGTTGCAGAAAACAGAATCTACTTGAGCACAAATGGTTAGAGCATCTTTAAGAGGGTTGAAGAAATGAATTCTAGAGTAGATTTTCAAAACACTGTAGAACTGGCCTGCCCAGGAAGCTGCTGCCTCTGCCCAGGGAAGAAAGGATAGAATCTCGAAGCTCTTTTCCAGGCTGGGATCCCATGACACTCCAGCTCCAGAATCATGTTGCCTCGGCCATGATGCGCACCTGCAAGATGATGCCCTTGACCCCATGTAGCTTGGGCGTAGATGCTAGAACCACTACCACAGCTGCCACAGAAAAGCCAAACACCCCCACCTTGCAGCCTCCAGGCAAAAGTGCACAAGTGGCTAAGTGCAGTCCCTGCTCCAGAAGTGCCATGTCTGATCTCAAATCTTGTTGCTGCTTGGCCAAAAGCAATCACATCGCGAATGGTAAATTGCCTATTGGAAATTGCCTATTTTAGGGCCCATCCTCTGTAGGTGGATGAGAGCGAAGTGGGAACGGATGTTGAAAACAAACCCACAGTTCTTCCACCAGACTGCTTCTCACAGAGCCATGGAGGTAATTCAGGAGGATGAAGAGGATCGTGCCTGGAATGCTACAGGTTCATAGCCAGCAGCAGGTCCCTCCTATTTCCCCTGTGAGGAATCCCATCAGATTTGTTCTGGAGGTGATCAGAGATGCCTTGACCTATGGTGTGAATGACTCAATGACCAAGTCACCAAAAGGTGAAAGAGGTTCTGTTTAGGTAATAAACAACCATTATAAAGTCTTGCATTTTGTTTATTTATTTCATTGTGAAGATAGCAGCCCCTCAGTTCTTGCAAAGAAGATCAAATGTAAAATAGAGCTGCAGGCCAAGTACGGTAACAGCCCTGAGAGGTGATAAGAGATGGATGAGAGAAGAGAAAGGAAAGAGAAAAGCAGAGAGAGAGAGAGAGACCTGCAATGTTAGCAAGCAAAATACTCCAAAGAGAGTTTTATAAAAACAAGTGATACAGGACATAAATTCTCTATATCTTAACACACGTTTTACCATTTTATCCTTACTTCAATTAAGAAATATTGGTTGGGCTCCTACCAGAGTTGGGCACTGTGCAAGACTCAGTAGATGTAGTGGTGATGCAGCCGTAACTATTGTTGACAGTGTGAGCTATCTCTTCCCCATGCCTGCAATGGATAAACTTGGTTGGCCTCCAATCCAGACTCCCCAAAGCTCCCCTCCTTGTGTCTGAGGCAGCAAAATCCCAGGTGCTAGTGCTTTAAAAATGCTGGCTTCCACTTCCTAAGAGATCCAGACTGAGGCTGACAACTGAAACCCCACAGGTGTGAGGATACAACTTGGCTTCATTTTTCAGACATTAATTTCTGACCCCAGATTCAGAATCGAAGAGGGACAATAATAATGTGGGATGGTATTTCCTGTAGTACAAGGTTCAATTCATTTTGTCTAGTGGAAATATAAAGGTTTATCAAATGAGATTATGCCTAAGGCAAGTTCTCAGAATGACTTGTGCCAAGGAAGACAGGCAGGAAGGGTGTTTCCAGCACGTTTGTAAAGGCTCAGAGTATGAGACAATAAGGTGAATGTATTAGAGTTCTCTAGAGGAACAGAACTAATAGGATACATATATATTCATATATGTATACATAAAGGGGAGTTTATTAAGTATTAACTCACATGATCACTAGGTCCCACAACAGGCCGTCTGCAAGCTGAGGAACAAGGAAAGCCAGTCCGAGTCCCAAAACTGAAGAACTTAGAGGCCAATGTTCAAGGGCCGGAAAGGTCCAGCATGGGAGAAAGATATAGGCTGAGAGGCTAGGCCAGTCTAGTCTTTTCACATTTTTTTTTTTCTGCCTGTTTTATATTCTAGCCACGCTGGCAGCTGATTAGATGGTGCCCACCCAGATTAAGCTTGGGTCTGCCTTTCCCAGCCCGCTGACTCAAATGTTAATCTCCTTTGGCAACACCCTTACAGACACTCCCAGGATCAATACTTTGCATCCTTCAATCCAATCAAGTTAACACTCAGTATTAACCATCACAGTGAGCTAAGCTGGCATGGGCCAGTCAGGAAATTATAGAAGTCCTTGTGCTACTCTCCTGATCAGCAGACCCAGTCATAGGCTAAGTGAGGACTGGCTGGGATGACCCTTCATAGAAACCTCCCAGAGCCAACAAGAGCTGAGAAGACTCAGTACTTCTGCATTGAAGCACTGGTTTATCTTTAATCCAGTTAAGTGCCTGAGAGTTCACTTGGTGTCCACTTTGGGTCTGACCCTAGATCTGAGCTTTGAGCTCAGAGAATAAAAGGAGGGCAAAGACCCAGTCCCAGCCCTTAGTATTCTCTCTGTGATGGTTCATTCCAGGTGTCAACTTGACTGGATTAAGGGATGCCCAGATAGCTGGAAAAGCATGATTTTTGGGTGTGTCTGTGAGGGTTCCCAAAATAGATTGGCATTTGTATCCATGGACTGAGTAAGGAGGATCCACTCTCAACATGGTAAGCATTGCCCAATCAGCTGAGGGCCTAGATAGAACAAAAAGGCTGGAAAAAACAAGAACACGCACTTTCTCCCTTCTGAGGCTGGAATACCTTTCTCCTCCCTCGGACATCAGAGATCCAGGTTCTCCAGCCTTCAGACTCTGAGAGCTGCACTGGCAGCCCCCCAGTTTCTCAGGTCTCAGACTGTGAGTGACACCATCAGCTGCCCTGTCTCTCAGCCTTGGGACTTGGTCTGAGCCATGCTGCCGGCTTCCCTGGTGCTCTCGCTTGAAGATGCCATATCACAGCCTCCATAACCATGTGAGCCAATTCCCCCACTGAGTTGCCTATCACATATCTGCTTCTCTCTACATTTATCTTACTGGTTCTGTTTCTCTAGAGAACCCTAATCCTCAGTCTGGTAGGAAAAACAAATAGGTGAGTCAGTGCATGGTGAAGCATTAGGGATAGAGCCAGGGGCCAGGATCAGTCATCCCGAGAAGTATTTCAGAGAATAAGAATTGCACCTGAGGACCAGATATGACCCATAGCTGTATTATTTGGGGGTCACTATGTTTTCACGCTTAAAAAATGTAATTGCCAGGATTTTAAACATTGAGCTGTCAGATAAAAATGCAGATTCCTGATCTCTCTTGAAAAATTAGAAAGTTAAGTCCAGAGTGGCCCACATTCTACCATGGCCTGCATGTTTTCCTGGAGCTGCATAGACATCCCGTTCAGATGGGGCGCTTTCTCTTCATCCCGCCTCATCTGGCTTTCCTCTTTCAATCGCATTGGTGGTGTGGTCCCCACCGTCACCTGCATTTGAGATCTCCGCACAAACCAATCCCCAGTTGGGTGCACAGCATACCACCAGTGGGGACTCGGGATCATGGTCTTAGTAGTGACCATGGAGTATCCCCCCTTCCTTTCACTGATTGCCTCCTGTGCTGGCCCAAACCCTTCTGACTACCTTCTTGTGCTCTGAGAAATCGGATGAACACTGAGGCTTTCATTTAAGCATCAGAGGCACAAGTGAAATATCTGAGAAGACCCCAACCTGCAGTACACAGCCTCTCAATGACTCATGTTCAAGTTGCCATGAAGGGAGGAAGTATAGGGAAGATGTCATAGTGAGTACAGCAAGTATGTGCCCCAGGTAGGTCCCAGCAAAGAAGTCACAGCAGAGAGGCAACCACTGCAAGCAAAACAGAGGGTTGCAGCACAGCCCATACTTTACTTTGCAATGGGCAGAACCCAGCTCCATCCAGGCTGGGTCTATTTTGTAGCAAATGAGTACATTTCTGACAGAGCCAAATATGGCTCCTTTCTTGGGTCTCATCTATCCAAACACCTGTTTTGCTCCATCTTCTTCCTCTAATCGGCATCCCTAGGGAGCAACTCAGCAATTAAAGCTTCACTACCATACTGGGGTCTCTTGTTCCTCTGTAGCCTGACTCCTTCCCTCCATCTGGGCTTGTGTCTGTATCCACAAAGCATTTCCACCAGCTGCTTCACCACTGTTTTATGAATGGCAACATTGGGAGTGCAGCATGCCCTTAAGTATGGTGATGTGCAGAATGATTTTAGAGGGCACCTGGCTGAGCGTTTTTAGGCTTGAACTTACTTTAATGTGTGTTATGGACTGAATTCTGTGCCCCCCAAATTCATATGTTGAAGCCCTGACCCTCAGTGTGATGGTGTTTAGGGAATAGAACCTTTAAGAATGCAATTAAGGTTAAATGAGGTCATAAGGGTAGGGCTTGGATTCACCAGGACTGGTGTCTTCATAAGAGGAGGAAGATACACTGGGAGTGCACGCACAGAAAGAAAAAAAAAAAAAGCCAAGCGAACTCACGCGAGAAGGTGGCCAACAGGCCAACATAAGCCAGGGAGAGAGGCCTTGCCAGAAGCCAACCCTGCCAGCACTTTGATCTTGGACTTCCAGCCTTCCGAACTGTGAGAAAATAAATTTTTGTTTTTTAAGCCACCCAATCTGTAGTGTTTTATTATGGCAGCCCTAATAAACAAATACAATGTGTACCAGGAAAAAATAGGTAATTGGCATCTTAAAATGCAACCTCACAGATTATGTTGATCAGGGTTAAGTTTTTGAGATTAATAAAAATATTAAAAGAATAATAGTAATTGCAGCTACAAGAAGTGGTGAAAATTGTAAAGGTCTTATTCAAATAATTGAATATTAGGCAATAGTGGTTTATTGGAAAAGTGGCATTGGAAGAAAGCAGTCCCAAATTTGAATTTCAGCTTTGCCCTCCTTACCTGTGTGAGTTTGGAAAAGTCAACTTTTCTGAAGTCAGGTCCCCGATGGTCAAAAACAGGCACTAAGATTTTGAATTTGAATTTTCTTTTTAATGTGTCTGTCAGCCCCAGGGGCTGGGAGCACCTCAAGCCCGTGTCCTCATTGGTGTTCTTTCATGTTTTCCATGTGCAGCCCTGGACCTGCCCCCAACAGAATGAGGAAGGACATGAACTTCGTCACTTACTAGCTGTGCCACCTTGGGAGAAGTATTAGATCTCTGAAACTCAGATTTCTTATCTCTGAAGCAGAGACGATAATAACTGTCTCTATCTTAATGGTCTTGTTTTGATAACTAAATGAGGTAATCCCTGTTAAAGCACTTAGTGCACTACCTGGCATACTGTAAAAGCTAAACAAAGTGTTATCATTACTATTGGTTCTTAGTCAATGTTAGTTGAATATAAGAGCAAATGAGTGTTTATTCAAATGGATGGATGTATACTTGGTGAATAAGTAGGTGAGTGGTGGGTGGAAAGATGGACGGATGGATATATTTTTCAATCATTGAGTGTGTATGTATATTTATAAGTAAATTAGCTGATTGATGGATAAGTAGGTGGATGAATGGATAGATAAATGAGTGGATAGATGGATGGATTAATGGATTCAATGGTTGATTTTTAAATCAATGATTATAAGTATGTTCTTGGAAGTAAACAAGTTGATTCATAGATGAGTGCAAGGATGGATGGATGGATGGATGGATGAATTTTTCAATCAGCGAGTGTATGTATGCATTTATAAGTGAATGAGTTGATAGATGAGTAGGCAAATTGATAGATGATGAATGGCTTTTTCTGTCAATGAGTGTATTATGCATTAATAAGTTTATGAGTTGATTTATAGATGAATAGGTGGATGAATGGACAAATAGATGGATAAACTTTTTGAATGAGGAGTGGTTACAGAGGATTGGTGGATGGATGGACAGATGGATGGATGGATGGATGGATGGATGGATGGATGGATGGATGGATGGATGAACAGGCTGTAGCTGATCCATCTGAACCATCATCTGCTTCTTCTATATAGATAATGGCCACACGTTAAAAATAGACAGTGAAGGTGGCCTTGGGAATACAAGTTTTAGATGACAGTTAAGTGACAGTCGGAGGCGGTTCTTTCTTTTACATGGAAAGCCTGATTATGGGTTTATGGCAGTCTTCTTAAAGCTACGGAAGTGAGAGGATGATTTTGGGTCAAGAGCATTATCATTTTCAATGTTCCGAACTATTTAACTTCCCCTTCTCAGAAGTACATTTGCCTCTAATCTGATAAGCAAAAGCTCCTTGAAGCGCAATTGGACTTGGCCCCCAGGTACAGCGTTATTTGCAGACAGGCCCTGGGTAATCTGTCATACCTTTTTAATTACCAAGAGCCACCTGGAGATCATGAGCCTTTCTGTGGAGTCTGAGCAGGTTTTGAGTAAGATTGGGAAAATGTCAAAAGAGTATCTGCCACAGGAATTTTTATCAGAGCTATGGTTTCTTTCAAATAATCTGGCAGGGGTCTCAAGATCTCCAAAAGGGCCAGGTTTTCAGCAGCCAGATGTTTGTGGCATTGTCCAAAGAGCCTAGCTGGAGTCTCAGGACATGCAACAGAGATTGTGCTGCAGGCCAAGTGTCACGAGCCCACAAGTTAAAAATAAATGTGGTCGCTTACACACACACACCTGTTCTCTCTCTCTCTTGTCCCCCACTTTTTTTTCTTTCTGTTTCTTTTCTCACTTCAGTGACTATCTGTAACCACTACTCACAAATTCCACGGCAGCATTATTGCTCTGCAATATACAGCTTCTTCCCACACCTACACATCAGAGGCTTTGAGACTTTGCGTGGGGCTCCCACTCCTCTACCCTGTCAATTTCCCCTCTATATCAGAGGCTACAACAGACTCCACTCAGAGACTGGAGTTGGAGGCAGGCAGGCCTGGCTTTCAGCCCTGGCTCTGTTTCTTACTCTCCATGAGGTCTTGGGCTGATTACTTTAAACCTCTCAGAATCACTCTTTCCTTGTCTCCAAAATGACATTAATAAGCCCTTTCTCATAAGCTTGTTTTAAAATGAAATTATATATACTTTGCATGCTTCTTTGCTCATATTAGAAACTTACAAAAATGTTTAACTGATTACTCAGTATCCCGGCAGGCTACAAGTGAAAACTCAAAGGGTTTACCTGAAGGGAGGCTAATGAAGAGGCTATTTACAGAGGTGTGTGCAGGGTCAATAGGACCCATGGGCAGATCCCGCTCCTCTGACCTGTATCCTTCTAGGCCCAAAGGGGCAAGAGAACGGAAGCTGTTCCCAGGGCCTGGAGACAGCTTTGGACACAAAGGGGTTGTGTGACAGGACCTACAACAGTAGAAACAGCCAAACAGAGGTAAGACAGGAAGCAAGTGAGGAGGGAGATAGATGCCCCACCTCTCTTTCCTCCTGCCCTGGGACCAGACCTCCCTCTGTCCCTACCAGAGTCTCCCATTGTCTGAACCCCCAGGATGTTGCAAGACAAGGGAGCCAGATGATGTGGCCCATAGATGATGTGGGCTCAGAGCAGGCTGGGGGGAAGATTTGAGGTGGGGACATGCAGAGAATGACTAGCACAATGGCATGTGATATTTTCATCTTACTGTGTCTCCCAATAATGCAATATTCATAGGACCTCCACCACTAATCATAAGAATATCATAGTTGGCACTTTCTATGTGCCACACAGAAAACCATGCACTTGACTTTCATCATCTCACCCAGTCCTCTCTGCAACCCGATGAGATAGGTGCTCTTTGTGTTCCTATTTTATAGATGAGGAACCTGCAACAGGTACTGATTTGTGAGGTCTCCTTGGCCCCCTTTTCTGTCCAGACACTACTCACAGTGGTCCTCCCAACAAAAAGGCAGAGCCTAATTGTGGGTGGCCAGGGTTTTACCTGGCATCCTTGGCATACAGACAGCCAGGCTTGGTAATTATGCTTTATGCAGCTATATCCAAGTCATGGTGTCCACCACCCCTTAGGTCAGTCAAATATCTTGAGCATTCAAGCTAGCATTTATTTAAAATCTTGCCAAGTGCCTGAACTTCACAGAAGCATGGACATTTTGGCTTGCACAGAGACCACCGTGCTGGCATCCACAGGGTTTCGACCCAAAAGCCTCTTTCCCTGTGAAAGCTGCAGCCCTGAGATGCTTACAGAGACCCAAGGAAGACAAGATAGCTCCTGAAGGCATTTTTTGGTTTTTGTTTGTAATTTTTTAAACCAATAATAGTATACAACTTCTTTTTACCTGAGTTTAAAGAGCCATTTTCTGTCCCTTAAATAACCTGCATATTCTAATTACTAACTCATAAAGAAAACAAAATTATATGAAATTAGGCAGAGTGAATTATTCATCACCGTATTTTCTGTCATCATTTTCCACTGGCATCTCCCTTCGAGAAGGAAACTTAATAATGAGAGAGTGAAAAATTCCCTCTTCATCTCTTTTTCTTCATAGAAGCCCATTTACTATTGTGGTTGAACTATGCCATGGTAGAAAGCAAAATAATTATTACAATAATTACAGTCATAATCATAGCCAGTGGGATTTTGTTTTGTTTCTGTTTGTGAAAAGGAAAAAAAAAAAAAAGATGGTGATACTTCACCCAACCTTCCATTCTCTATTTATCAACAATTGCTTATGGAGAGTTCTACTGTGTGGCAACTCCTGGCTCTTTGGCAAGACTCCCAGCCCCACCCACCCCAGCTGGGCTGGGAGGTGCCTTGTTGTTTACCTGACTGTCCCTGTCATAGAACGGTGAGCTCCTGACATCTGGATCAGTATCTCATACAGCTTTCCATTCCCCCAGGACCTGGTATTCTTCTCATCATGAAAAAGGGTTTGAAAACTAAGTGAGGAATAAAAGTGTGAATAAAAGGGATATAAAAAATGGAAAATAAAAACTACAGATACTCTTGGTTGAGTTCTGCAGGATGGATAATAGAGCAAACACTCAGAAGATGAAATTTATTTTTCATTTTTCATTGTGCCATAAAAACACATAACACAAAATTTACCCTTCTAACAATTTCCAAGTGAACAGTAGAATACTGTCAACCACATGCACATTGTTTGCAACAGAGCCCCAGAGTCCACAATTCTACCTTAGACCCATTAAGCAACTCTCCCTCCCCAAGCCCCTGGCAACCACCCTTCTATTTTCCATTCCTATGAGTCTGACTACTTTAGACTCCTCACATAAATGAAAGAGTGCTGTACTTGTCCTTTCGTGACTGGCTCATTTCACTGGACATAATGCCCTCAAGGTTTATCATAACATCTGACAAGATTTCCTTCTTTTTTTTTTAACACTGGGTAGTATTCCATTGTATATGCCACATTCTCTTTATCTATTTATCCATTGAGGCACATTTTAGGTTGCTTCCACTTCTTGGCTATCGTGAATGATGCTGCTATAAACATTGGTGTGCAAAAATCTCTTCAAAATCCAGTTTTTAATCCTTTTGGATACCACTATGGTCTGCATGTCCTAACACGTTGAAATTTAATTGCCATTGTAACAGTATTAAAAAGTGGAACCTTTAAGAGGTGATTAGGTCATGAGAGTTCCACCCTTAAAATGGATTAATGCTGTTATTGTGGGAGTGGGTTCCTGATAAA
Source organism: Homo sapiens (assembly GCF_000001405.40). NCBI lineage: Eukaryota > Metazoa > Chordata > Mammalia > Primates > Hominidae > Homo > Homo sapiens. The sequence continues at coordinate 174,270,609 of NC_000005.10, read as the reverse complement.
AAGATGCAGCTCACCCCTCATCCTCTTTCCGTACTTGCTTACCCTTTCACCTTTTGCCATGGGACAATGTAGCAAGAAGACCCTTGTCAGACACCAACACCATGCTCTTGGACTTTCATCATTCAGAATTGTAAGAAGGACAATTATTTTCTTTATAAACTACCTAGTTTCAGGTATTCGGTTTTAGCAGTAGAAAATGAAATAAGAAAGACACATACCCAGAAGTGGGATTGCTGGATCATATGGTAGTTCTATTTTAAATTTTTTGACAAATTTTCATACTGTTTTCCATAGAGGCTGCACCATTTTACAATCCCACCTACAATGCCCAAAGTTTCCAATTTTTTCCACAGTCTCACCAACACTTGCTATTTTCTGTTGTTGTTTTTTTTGATAGAGACCATTCTAATACATGTGAAGTCATATCTCATTGTGGTTTTGATTTGCATTTCTCTAATGATTAGTGATACTAATCAACTCTTCATGTGCTTGTTGGCCATTTGTTTATCTTCTATGGAGAAACATCTATTCAAATTTTTCACCCATTTCTAAATCAGGCTGTTTTTTTTGTTGTTGTTGAGTTGTAGGAGTTCTTTACATATTCTGAATATTAACCCCTTATCAGATAACTGGTTTGCAAATATTTTCTCCCATATGTAGTTTGCCTTTTCAGTCTTGATTGTTTTTTTTCCTGCAAAGAAGCTTTTAAGTTTGATGTCATCCCATATGTTTATTTTTGCTTTCATTGCCTGTGCTTTTGATATAACATCCAAAAACCTTTTTTCAAACCCAATGTCATGAAGCATTTCCCCTGTGTTTTTTCTAAGAATGTTATAGCTTCAGGTTTTATGTTTGTCTTATGTTTAGGTCTTTAACCCATTTTGAGTTAATTTTTGTATATGGTGTGGAATAAGTGTCCAGATTTTTTTCCTTGAATGTGGATGTCCAGTTTTCCCAACACCCAATACCATTTGTTGAAGAAATGATCCCTTCCCCTATTGTGTAGTCTTGGCACCCTTCTTTTTTTTCAACTTTTTTAGGTTCAGGGGTACATGTGCAGGTTTGTTATGCAGGTAAATTATGCGTCATGGGGGGTTTGGCGCACAGATTATTTTGTCACCCAGGTATTAAACACAGTACCCAATAGGTAGTTTTTAAATCCTGACCCTCCTCCTCGCCTTCTACCCTCAAGTAGGTCCTGGTGTCTGTTGTTTCCTTCTTTGTGTTCATGTGTACTCAATATTTAGTTCCCATTTATAAGTGAGACCATACGGTAGTTTTCTGTTCCCGTATTAGTTTGCCTAATGGCCTCCAGCTCCGTCCATGTTGCTGCAAAGGAAATGATCTTGTTATTTTTTATGGCTGCATAGTATTCCATAGTGTATATGCACCACATTTTCTTTACCAGTCTTCCATTGATGGGCATTTAGATTGACTCTCTGTCTTTGCTATTGTGAATAGTGTTTTGATGAGCATACTCATGTGTGTGTCTTTATGGGAGAATTATTTATATTCCTTTGGGTATATATTCAATTGTGGGATTGCTGGGTGGAATGATAGTTCTGTTTTAAGTTCTTTGAGAAATTGTCAGACTGCTTTCCACCATGGCTGAACTAATTTATATTCCCACCAGCAGGGTACAAGTGATTCCTTTTCTCCACAACCTCTCCAGCATTTGTTATGTTTTGACTTTTTAGTAAGAGCAATTCTGACCGATGTGAGATGATATCTCACTGTGGTTTTGATTTGCATTTCTCTAATAATTAATGTTATTGAGAGTTCTTTATATGCTTGCTGGGCATGTGTATTTCTTCTTTTGAAAAGTGTCTGTTCATGTTGTTCATGTCATTTGCCCACTTTTTAATGGGGTTGTTTGTATTTTGCTTGCTAGTATTTTTTAATTTAATGTTTAATGTTTAATTTTATTATTACTATTTTTCCATGAGTTGTTGGGGTACAAGTGGTATTTGGTTACCTAAGTTCTTTAGTGGTGATTAGTGAGATTTTGGTGCCCCAAAGTCCATTGTATCATTCTTATGCCTTTGCATTCTTAATGCTTAGCTTCCACATATCAGTGAGAACATATGATGTTTGGTTTTCCATTCCTGAGTTACTCCACTTAGAATAATAGTCTCCAATCTCATCCAGGTCATTGCAAATGCTGTTAATTCATTCCTTTGTATGGCTGAGTAGTATTCCATCATATATACATGTACGTGTGTGTGTATATATATATATATATATATATATATATATATATATATATATATATATATATCACTGTTTCTTTATCTACTCATTGATTGATGTGCATTTGGGTCTGTTCCATGATTTTTGCAATTGTGAATTGTGCTGCTATAAACATGGGTGTACAAGTATCTTTTTTGTATAATGACTTCTGTTCCTCTTGGTAGATAACCCAGTAGTGGGATTGCTGGATCAAATGGTAGTTCTACTTTTAGGTCTTTAATGAATCTTCATACTGCTTTTCATAGTGGTTGTACTAGTTTACATTCTTACTACATTCTCACAAGCATTGTAAAACTGTTCCCTTTTCACCACATCCATGCCAACATCTGTCATTTTTTTATTTTTAAATTATGGCCTTCTTGCAGGAGTAAGGTGGTATCTCATTGTGGTTTTGATTTGCATTTCCCTAATAATTAGTGATGTTGCACATTTTTTCATATGTTTGTTGGCCATTTGTCTTATCTTCTTTTAAGAATTGTCTATTCATGTCCTTAGCTTATTTTTTCGATGGGATTCTTTATTTTATTCTTGCTGATTTGTTTGAGTTCCTTGTATTCTGGATATTAGTCCTTTGTTGAATACATAGTTTGCGAATATTTTCTCCCACTCTGTGGGTTGTCTGTTTACTCTGCTGGTTACTACCTTTGCTGTGCAGAAGCTTTTTTAGTTTAATTAGGTCCCATTTATTTATCTTTGTTTTTGTTGCGTTTGCTTTTGCGTTATTAGTCATGAACTCCTTGCCTAAGCCAATGTCTGGAAGAGTTTTTCCGAAGTTATTGTCTATAATTTTTATAGTTTTGTGGCTTAAAGTCTTTGATTCATCTTAAGTTGATTTTTGTATAAGACGAGAGGTGAGGATTCATTCTTGTACATGTGGCTTGCCAATTATCCCAGCAACATTTGTTGAATAAGATGTCCTTTCCCCATTTTACATTTTTGTTTGCTTTGTCAAAGATCAGTTGACTGTTAAGTATTTGGCTTTATTTCTGGGTTATGTGCCTATTTTTATACCAGATCAGTTGGCTGTAAGTATTTGGCTTTATTTCTGGATTCTGTATTCCATTCAGTTGGTCTATGCACCCATTTTTACACCAGTATCACGCTGTTTTGGTAACTATAGCCTTATAGTATAGTTTGAAGTCAGGTAATGTGATGCTCCAGACTTGTTCTTTTTGCTTAGTCTTGCTTTGGCTATGTGGGCTCTTTTTTGGTTCTATATGAATTTTAGAATTGTTTTTTCTAGTTCTATGAAGAATATGATAGTATTTTGATGTGTATTGCCTTGAATTTGTAGGTTGCTTTTGGCAGTATGGTCATTTTCACAATATTGATTCTACCCATCCATGAGTATGGGATGTGTTTCTATTTGTGTCATCTATGATTTCTTTTAGTAGTGTTTTGTAGTTTTCCTTATAGAGATCTTTCACCTCCTTGATTAGGTATATTGCTAAGTATTTTATTTTATTTTATTTTATTTTATTTTATTTTATTATTTTTGCAGCTGTTGTAAAAAGGCATTGAGTTCTTGATTTGATTCTCAGCTTGGTTGTTGGTGCTGTATAGCAATGCTACTGATTTGTGTACATTGATTTTGTATCATGAAACTTTACTGAATTCATTTATCAGATCTAGGAGCTTTTTGGATAAGTCTTTAGGTTTTCTATTTAAACAATCATATAATTGGTGAACAGTGACAGTTTGACTTTCTCTTTGCTAATTTATTGCCCTTTATTTCTTTCTCTTGTCTGATTGCTCTGGATAGGACTTTCAGTACTATGTTAAATAGAAGTGGTGAAAGTGGACATACTTGTCTTGTTCCAGTTCTCAAGAGGAATGCTTTCAACCTTTCCCTGTTCAGTATAATGTTGGCTGTGAGTTTGTCATAAGTGGTTTTTATTACCTTGAGGTATGTCCCTTCTATACCAATTTTGCTAAGGGTTCTCATCATAAAAGGATGCTGGATTTTGTCAAATGCATTTTTGGACCTATTAAAATAATCATGTAATTTTTGTTTTTAATTCTGTTTGTGTGATGTATCACATTTATTGATTTGTGCATGTTAAACCATCCCTGCATCCCTGGTATGAAACCCACTTGATCATGGTGTATTATCTTGTTGATATGGTTGGATTTGGTTAGCTAGTGGTTTGTTGAGGATTTTTGCTTCTATGTTCAATGGAGATATTGGTCTGTAGTTTTCTTTCTTGTTATGTCCTTTCCTGGTTTTGGTATTAGGGTGATACTGGTGTCATAGAATGATTTAGGGAGGATTCCCTTTTACTCTATCTTTTGGAATAGTTTCAGTAAGAATAGTACTAATTTTTCTTTGAATACCTGATAAAATTCAGCTGTGAATCCATCTGGTCGTGGATTTTTTTTGTTGGCAATTTTTTTTATTTCTGTTTCAATCTCACTGTCTGTTATAGAGTCTGGATATTAGACCTTTGTCAGATGCATAGTTTGCAGACATTTTCTCCCATTCTGTACGTTGTCTTTTTACTCTGTTGATAGTTTCTTTTGCTATGCAAAACCTCTTTAGTTTAATTAGGTCCCATTGTCAGCCTTCATTTTTGTTGCAATTGCTTTTGGCATCTTCATCATGAAATCTTTGCCAGGGCTTGTATCCAGAATGGTATTTTCTAGATTATCTTCCAGGGTTTTTATAGTTTTAGGTTTTACATTTAAATCTTTAATCGATCTTGAGTTGATTTTTGTATATGCTGTAAGAAAGGGGTCCAGTTTTATTCCTCTGCATATGGCTAGCCAGTTATCCCAGCACTATTAGTTGAATAGGGAGTACGTTCCCTATAGCTTGTTTTTGTTGACTTTGTCAAAAATCAGTTGTAGGTGTGCAGCTTTATTTCTGGGCTCTCTATTTTGTTGGTCTACGTTGGCACCCTTTTTGAAGATCATTTGATCATAAACATAAGCGTTTATTTCTGAGTTCTATTTAAGTCTATTGGGTTATATGTCTGTCTTTACACCAGTACAATACTGTTTTTATTACTGTCACTTTGTAACATGTTTTGAAATCAGGAAGTGTGAAGCCTCTAGCTTTGTTCTTTCTCAGGATTGTTTTAGCTATTCATAATCTTTTGAGATTCCATACACAATTTAGGATTGGTTCTTCTATTTCTTCAAAAAAATGCCATTGGAATTTTGATAGGGGTTGCATTGAATCTGTAGATCGTTTTGAGTAGTTTTGCATTGAATCTGTAGATCGTTTTGAGTATTGTTAAAATGGGCATTTTAACAATATTAACTGTTACAATTCATGAACATAGGGTGTCTTTTTATCTATTTGTGTCTTCCTTAATTTATTTCAGTAATGTGTTGTAGCTTTCAGTGTAAAAGTCTTTCATCTCTTTGATTAAGTTTACTCTTAAGTATTTTATTTTTTAAATGCTATTTTAAATGGGATTGTTTTCTTAATTTTCTTTTCAGATTGTTCATTACTAGTATATGAAAATGCAACAAATTTTTGTGTCTTTTTTTTCTCCTGCAACTTCACTGATTTTGTTTTTTCTAACAGTATTTTTTTGTGTGTAATCTTTAGGGTTTTCCACATATAAGATTATGTCATCTGTGAACAAAAATGTTTTTAATTTTTTCTCTCTAATTTTGATGACTTTACATCTTTTTCTTGCCTAATTGCTCTTGCTAGAAGCCAGTACTCTCTTGAATAAAAGTGGCAAGAGTGGACATCCTCACCTTGTTCTTAATCTTAAAGAAAAGCTTTCAGTTTTTCGCTACTAAATGTGATGTTCACTGTGGGCTTCTCACATATAGCCTTTATTACGTTGAGGTAATTTCCTTCTATCGCTAGTTTGTTGAGAGTTTTTATCATAAAAGTGCTTTAAATATTGTCAAATGCTTTTTCTGCATCAACTGATGTGATCATGTGATTTTTATCCTTTGTTCTGTTAATGTGGTGTATTATACATGATTTTCACATGCTGAACCATCCTCACATTCCAGGATAAATCCCACTTGGCCATGGCATATTATCCTTTTAATGTGCTGATGAACTTAGTTTTCTAGAATTTTGTTGAGGATTTTTACATCAATATTCGTCAGGGATACTGGGCTGTAGATTTTTGTTGTTGTTGTTGTTTTGTTGTAGTTCTTGTAGTTTTCTTTCTTATAGATCTTTGTCTGGCATTGGTAGCAGAGTAATGCTGGCTTCATAAAATGAGTTTGGAAGTGTTCCCTTTCCTTCAAGTTTTTGGAAAAGTTTGAGAAGAATTAATATTAATTATTTTTTAAATTCTCCAGTAAAGTCTGGTCCTAGGCTAATCTTGTTGGGAAGCTTTTGATTATTGATTTCTCTGTTCAGATTTTATAGTTCTTCATGATACAGTCTTGATAGGCTGTAAGTTTCAGGAATTTATCAATTTTTTTCTAGGTTATCCAATTTATTGGCATATAATGGTTCATAGTAGTCTCTGATCATCCTTTGTATTTCATCAATTGTAATGTCTTCTTTTTCATTTCTGATTGTGGGGACAACAGTGATTCTATCTTGAATGCTAATCCAACATGTTGATTTCTGACTAGCCCCAGTCCTGTGAATGTCTCCTGAGTCCTACTTTAGTTACTGTCCCTAGAATACAAACATGTGAACCTTGATGTTATAGCACAAATTATAGGTCATAATGCATGTAGCACACATGCCTGTTCTGAAGGGTTGCCCTTAATTATCTCCCTGGAGCATGTACCCCCTTTCCCCATGGCATTTAAGCCCTAGGTCTGGGGAATAACAGTGCAGAGATCTACCTGCCTTGCAGCCACCCAGGACTACACTTCTGTCTGTAAGTTTCTCCAATAAAACACCCATTACTGACAAACTGGATTTGTCTGTCTCATTCTTTGGTTTCTTGGTTCCTGTAGCATTTGGGGATCACTTTGCATATACGGCCCTTTCACAGAACACGGATTCTCTTTAATTGAGTCTTCTCTTTTTTTCTTATTCTAGCTAAGAGTTTGTCAATTTTGTTGCTCTTAAAAAAAAACACAACAACAAACAAACAAACGAACAAACAAAAAAATGGGCCAGGCACAGTGGCTCATGCCCATTATCCCAGTACTTTGGGAGGCCAAAGTGGGAGGATCGCTTGAAGCCAGAAGTTTGAGAACAGCCTGGACAGCAAAATGAGACTCCATCTCTACAAAAACTTTTTAAAATTAGCTAGGCGTGGTGGTGTGGGCCTGCAGTTCCAGCTACTTGGAAGGCTGAGGTGGGAGGATCACTTGAGCCCAGGAGTTCGAGGCTGCTATGAGCTATGATAGTGCCACTACATTCCACACTGGGCAACAGAGTGAGACTCCATCTTTAAAAAATTGTTTCAAACCAACTCTTAGTCTCACTGATTTATTATATTGTTTTTCTATCCTCTATTTCATTTATTTCTGCTCTGATCTTCATTATTTCCTCCCTTCTGCTAACTTTGGGTTTAGTTGTCCTTTTTTTAGTTCTTTGAGGCATAAAGTTAGGCTGTTGCTTTGAGATCCTTCTTTTTAATGAAGGTGTTTATCATAAAAAGCTTTCCTCTTATTGCCTTTGCTCTATCCCATAAGTTTTGGCCATGTTGTGTCCTCATTTTCATTTGTCTCAAGATATATAATAATTTTTTTGTTATTTCTTCTTTGACTCATTGGTTGTTTAAGAGTGTATTGTTTAACTTCCACATGTTTGGGGATTTTCTAGTTTTCCTTCTGCTACTGATTTCTAGTTTCATTCCATTGTAGTCATAATGTGGAATAATTATTGACAAGCAAAAATTTATTTATAAGTCTTTCATTGAAACCTCAGGATCATGGTCACTAAAAACATGTTTGAGAGCAAAGAATGGTAATTAGAAATGAATTCTAGTGCTCACTGTAAGTAGTGCTTATTGTAAACAAATTCACATTTGTGGCATGTCTTTGATATGCTCTATTTTATGTAGCCTGTATCTTCTGTTATTTTTATTTATGTACAGATAAAAGGGCTCTACTAGGTCTCTTCCCAGTGTTACCCTGGGTCTGCTTTTTAAAGCTTGGCTTCTGTCTTCTGGATTCTCACTCTACAGGGCACTCTGTTCTCACTCTGGGTCAGGCATGGTACCAAGTACTGCAGTTACAAAGATGAACCAGTCATTGCACCTGCACTTAAAGGGCTTTCAGTGTTTATACATAAGGCAGTGATGGAGCAGGTGGGCCATTCAGAAAGGGAATCCACTGTGTTGCAGGAACTTTAATATGTCAGCTCATTTAATATAATAATATCCTGTGACAAAGGGATTCTCTCCAACAAGTAAAAGAGAAAAAATAAAGCTCAAAGAGGACACTGCTTTGTTTAAGGTTACCCAGCCAGGAAATGGCAGCACTGAGACTTGACTAGGTCTATATAATCTCAAAACTAACATCTTTACAAATGTATTGTCTTCCTACCACACTTCCCATGGAAAGGAATGACTCCATAAATTGCATGCTTCCTGTATGAATCCAGGGATTGTTTACAGAATCTCAAATAAGGCTAGAAAACATTCACAACAAAAAACCCTCAAAATTATTCCCATATCTAGAGAATAAAGTAACTCTTTCTTCCGTTGTCTTTATTTAAGATGTGATGGAATCACTCTTGGCATCTGCCTAGACTTTTTCTGAAATTAGTAACTTTAACTCCCCATTAAATTCTGGAGGAAATGTATTTTGGAAGTCAGAGAAGCTAAATTCAATAAAAATATGTATGAATTCATTTTATTGCACAATTGGTATGCTCCTGCTGGATAAATTTCTTCCAGTAGCTTCAAAATTAAGAGCACGTCACATATTATGCTATAGGCAGAACCAGGAGTCCTGTAGAAAACTCAACCTTGGAGAAAGCTTTAGACCCTTGGAGTTAGAAATGACCTCAGGACAGGTCATCCAGCTTCCTGCCCACTGCAGGAATCCTCTCTACAACATTCACAGTGTATGGTTGATATGGTTTGGATCTGTGTCCCCACCCAAATCTCATGTTTAATTGTAATCCTCAAGTTTTAGGTGGGGCCTGGTGGCAGGTGATTAGATCGTGGGAGCAGATGTCTCATGAATGTAGCACCATCCCCCTTGGTGCTGTTCTTGTGATAGGGAATTCTTGCAAGACCTGGTTGTTTAAAAGTGTGTAGCACCTTTCCCCTCTCTTTCTTGCTCCTGCTCTGGCCTTGTGACTTGCCTGCCCCTACTTCACCCTCTGCCATGACTGTAAGTTTCCTGAGGCCTCCCCAGAAGCCGAGCAGATGCCAGCATTATGCTTCTGGAATAGCTTGCAGAAACATGAGCCAATTAAACCTCTTTTCTTAATAAATTACCCAGTCTCAGGTATTTATAGCAATGTGAGAACAGACTAATACAATGGTCCTTTAGCTGCTGCTTGAATACTTCCAGGAACAAAGAACCCACCATCTCTTGAAGTCCCCTATTTCATTGTTGAATAATTCTACTTACTCCCAAGGTCACTCAGCACCAAGCTAGGAATCAGATACACTGAGGTTCTAGTCCCAGATCTGCCACTTAGTAACTGTATAATCTTGGGTAAGGCAACTGACTAGAATCCTTTTTCTTCACCAAGGCCCCACGGACACGCCAAATTGCTGCCTTGTCTCCCCCATTTAGTCTTCTCTTCTCTAGGCTGAAAATCTACTGTATTTTCAACTTCCCCTTATATGTTGCTTTCAGATCTCTGAGAAGGAATGCACTGAGCATCTTCCTTGGTAGATATTTCCCTCAAAAACAGAATCTTCCAGTTTCCAAGGCACATGATTTCCCCAAGCCAATGAGTGACACCTCCCAAACAAGCAATATAATCAGATTTATTATCCCATCACCTGGCTGGATGGTCTCAAAGCCACTTTCTAACACATTTCTGCAAGGTTCAACCACAATATTTTTTTCCAATCTGCCTATCTTTTTCAATAATAATCACAAACATTCGTTTATTACCTAGCCATGCCAAGCCAGTCGTCATTCATAGAGATTCTCAATTAATCATCATGACAGTCCAGGAAGATGGCAAAATAGGCACAGCTGCTTGCTGCATGCAGTCCCTTCCTTTGATGAACTAACCCACCACGCATTCTAGGTGGCCTTGAAGAGATGGTTGCAGTGCCTTGTCCCTCCCCCATCTCAGTCACATGAGAGGACCTGCGATTCATGGAGTAGCAATTAGAATTTTGTCCCCTCCTTCATATTTAGATGCCTCGTATTTCCACCTCCAACCAAAATGGAACAATGGAGAGCAGATTTAACCTCCTAGTTGAAACAACTGAAAAAAAAAAACTGGACAAAACAGATGAAACAATGGTTTTCAGCCATGGGAATCCAACAGTACAGGACATTTTAAGCCTGCTTCCCTTTGTTATTGCAAGACAGCTGCCAACATCTCCTAGGGCTACTTGTTCTTTCATCCATGAGAGGGAGAAGGGAAACATCTGTTCTGTCATTCCAAGCAAGAGTCACAGTGAGATAAGTCTAATTGATTGGACCAACTGAGGCGACGGCACAACCACAATGGGAGTGGAATGAATGTGCACGGGGGGTGAAATATGATGTTTGGTGCTGCCCCTGCAACTAGGAGTGCAGCAAGATCTTCCCACAGTCCCTGTGCTACATGGAGAAGCCATGGTCTTCTGAATAAAAATTAGACAACTGTTAGAAAAATACTTATGTGAATTCCGAGTAAACAACCAACAAGGGTCCATTACAATATGTAACAATAACAGACCAGTTAAATAAATTATGGTACATCCACAAAATGGGCTATTTTGCAGCCATTGTGAAGGATTATGACATGGATTTATATTTATTTTTGTAGGAAAATGTTCATTTTAAGTAAAAAAATTGAAAAATACAAAATGGCTTACATAGAAGCATCCCTATATTTTTCTCAAAGGATGGGTGCATAGAGAGAAAGATAGCAAAAATATCTGGAAAGAGTATGCCAAAATATGAATAATGATTGAGTGGTAGAAATATATGTGTTTTAATTTTTTCTTCCTTCTTCTTAATTTTTTAATGTATTTGCTTTATTTTATAATTTTTAATCTTATTTTCCTATAATGGACATTTATAATAATAAAATTAAAGAAAAAATTTTCAAGGAAAAATATCCTCTTCCAGAATTGGAGCCTATGTTTATTTTTGCTTTAACCAGATGCTTCATTTTAATAAAGCAAATACTCTCAAAATCCCCATTTCTCCCTCCAGTCACACAGACACATCTAAAAGCAGCATTTTGCTAGAAGAAGACAGATGGTGCCGGGAATAATGTAAAAGTTTGAGAAGAATGAGTTCAGCTGCCTTCCTTTCTCCAAAGTTATTAGTTTTCGGACAACCAAAGGTTAGATGGTTTGGAGGAATCCATGATCAATGCAAGCATAGAGTTTATAAACCAGCTCTTCTTGGAAGGGTAAAACAAGCACCCAGGAAGTTAGTCAGTAGGCAGGCCCCTGTTTACAGCCATCTTGGAAACACAGACATTCATCCTCACTGTTCATCCTGCAAGCTGAGGCATACCCTTGGCCAGAGCACCAATTCAGTCTCTCACTTTGGGTCTCAGTCCTCATGGTGACATTAACAGCAGCCAGTTACGGAGGGCTCCACTGTTTCCATGCTGTATTTCACTTAATATTCCTAGCAATGTTTTGAGCTAAGGTCTCTCATTTTCCCACTTACAACATACTTACTGAGTCCACGGAGGTGAATTGATTTCTGTGTGGTCTCACAGGTAGAAGAAGAGCCCAAACTTGAACTCAGGGCTGTGTGGGTTGAACACTGCCCTTTTTACTGTAGCGCACCACCTTCATCTTTGAACTAAATTACCAACAGAACATAGAGCGTTTTTTCTCGATATAATTTGGAATAGTCTATATCCACTATTAGGAGTTCAGATTGAGGGTGATGATAATGAATTCAAGTGCATCTGGATACTTCCTGGTCCATCTCTTCACCTCCCATGGGGTTGCAGGTGTAGTGATTCTCATAAGACCATTAGCAAAGGAAAATCAAAGCATCAATTTATCATTGTTTGGGCTCCTGGAAAAGCTGATTGGGTTATATAAGCCTAGCTTCAAGGTCTAAGCAGGGAATTGTATTTCTCCCTAAGCTAACTAGATTTTATAGTCTTGATATTATCTCATAAAACACTTGGTATAGGAACATGGCAATGGCCATGATGCTTAGTCATGAATGCTGAGAGAGAGAGAGAGAGAGAGAGAGAGAGAGTGTGTGTGTGTGTGTGTGTGTGTGTGTGTGTGTGTGTGTGTGACTCTCGTTTCTCTTGGGTAACTAAGATGGCAGGACTAGGCAACTTGCCCTCCAGCTGAGTGAAAGAGAGACTTTGCCTGATGTTTTTACACTCTAGTGAAGCTGCTGTAGCTCTAGGCAATCCTATTAACCCTCCTCCCTTGGACAAGAGCAAGGAAGAAGGAGGGATAAAAGAAAGGATCAGGGGATCTTCTACTTTCAGAAGCATATGACATCATTTTGCACACACCATCACATTGAGGGAATAACCTATTTGGGGGAAAAATATGACTGTTTGGACATTTCGGTGTATATTAGGGAGACATGCTTGGCTTCTAAGCCATTTCTTAAGTCATTCTGAAGATAAGCAACCCCTAAGTGTAATCAGATAGGTTGTTTTGTGGGAATTCTGTCTCCATCCTCCTCCAAGCATGAAAAAAAAAAAAAAGATAGTCAAGCAGGCATGATCTCTAAGAGGTCTGTGAGCCAGACAATTGAGCCAGAACTAGACAGGGGCATTGAACATGCAAGGCCATGGTAACAGTCAGCCCAGAACATCAGCTCCATTTCCCTTCAAAGCATTTTGAATTAATTTTTAATTCACTTTCTGCCTTGTCAGTTATGAATGGAGATGCCAGCACCAGCATAACAGCTGGAGTGTGGCAAGCCCTAAAACTGATTTTGGAAGAAATATGGACAATGATCCAAGGCTCAGCCTGCAGTGAGCAGCAGCCGTGGGCCTTCGGAAGAAACATTTTAGCCTTGTGTTACATAATTTCCCCTGTTTGCATCATGACCACAGTGGAGGAGTTAGGTCATCTGCTCATGGCACGTCTAAAGTAAAAATGGCCATATGCCCTTCAAGATAGAGTGAATTCCAGCTCATAACCCAATAAAGGAGTAGGCTGACAATGACAACCACAACAGAATTATAGATTGTAATGAATTCTTACTATGTATTGAGCATTGAGACATATACATATATATTTTTTAATCATGGTCAAATACCCACAACATAAAATTTACTATCTTAATCATTTTTAAGTGTACGGTTCTGTACTGTTGAGTGAATTCACATCATTGTGCAAACCAATCTCCAGAACTCTTTTCATCTCACAAAACTGAAACTCTGCATCCATTAAACACTAACTCCTCATTTTCCCTCTTTCCAGCTTCTGACAATCAGCATTCCACTTTCTGTCTCTATGAATTTGGATGACTTTAGGTACGTCATACATGGAATCTTCAGTAGTTGTCTTTTTGTGACTGGCTTATTTCACTTAGCGTAGTGTCCTCAAAGTTCATTCAAGTTGTAGCATGTGCCAGAATATTCTTCCTTTTCAAGGCTGAATACTATTCTCTTGTATGGATAGGCCATACAAGATGGTCATTCATCCATTGGTGGACACCTCAATTGCTTCCACCTTTTGGCTATTGTGCATAATGCTGCTATGAACATGGCTGTAGAAACATCTCTTCAAGTCCCTGCACCCAATTCTTTTGGATACATACCAAGAAGTGGGGTTGCTGGATCATATGGTAATTATATTTTTACTTTTCTGGGGAATTGCCATACTATTTGACATCTACATATTTTCTCATTTATTCTCACAACAACGCTGTGATACAGGGATAATGATGAGGAAACAGACTCAGGAAGATGAAGCACCGTTTTACAGATGAAGAAACTGAAACTCAAAAAGGTAAGTACTCAGTAATTATGGGATAGTGATCAGGAGCTTGGGCTTGGGAATCAGACACACCTGGAGCTCTGGTGGATTGAACTCCAGATTTCTCTGGCTCAAACATGTCAGCCTCCACAAAAAAATGTGAGTTTTTTCTTGTTACTTTCCAAAATTGTATATTTCTACTTCAAATCACCCTGGAAGTTAACTCTTTTGGTTTATTCCCAATCAAATTACTGAGTAGGGAAGAAGGGAGCTCCTGTAAATAATCCTGCTGGGAGAACGTGAGGTTACATTTCTATTTACATAGCAATGATATTTGTATGGAAAATACATTTCTAGGTCTGGCCTAGGTATAAAAGAAAGAAATGTAAGGAGGGAACAAGAAAATTGGCTCTTTTTTTTTTGAGACATAAACAATAACCAATTATGTTGAACTGGAATCAAAATAGGTGGCTGGTGTGTCCAATGGGATATTGCGGAAGAAAGCAAGGAAAGTGACTGCATATAGTATCTCTCCACTCACTCATTTTAATCTTTACAATTATGAGGCATATCACATACATATGTTTCAGGATATAATATGTGTTGTTTCAATAATAGTAAGTATTTGTGCCCTACCTCCCAGTTTAAACACTGAACATTGCCAGTATATCAACAATCTAAACTTGCCCCTCTCCAACCCCACCCTCCTCCCTTCCTAATACCCAGGGGGTACTCAAATCCAAAATTTTGTGTTAATCATTCATTTACATCTCTTCATATTTTGTATATGGATTTGTACTTGCCAGTTTTGACCTTGATATAGTTGGAATCCTAATGTCTGAATGAATGGCTGTGTCAGTTTCCTTTAGATCAATATTTTGATTGTGAGATTCATAAATGTAGCTCTATATATCCATGGTTCATTTCCATAGCTACAAAGTGTTTTATAACTTATTTATCCATTCTCTTGTTGATGGACTTTTGGGTTGTTTGCAGTATTTTGCTGTTGTGAGCCATGTGGGAATGCACATTTAATTTGGGGTATAAACAGCAAAATGGAATTGCTGGCTCAGGCAATATGCCTATATTAAGGCTTACCAGATAATGTCAAAAATTTCCCCAAAGTATTTGTATCTTTTTTTTTTTTTTTTTTTTTTGAGATGGAATCTTACTCTGTAGCCCAGACTGGAGTGCAATGGCACAATCTCTGCTCACTGCAACCTCTGCCTCCCGGGTTCAAGCCATTCTTCTGCCTCAGCCTCCCAAGTAGCTGGGACTACAGGCACGCACCACCATACCTGGCTAATATTTGTATTTTTAGTAGAGACAGGGTTTTACAATGTTGGCCAGGGTGGTCTCGAACTCCTGACCTCAAGCGATCTGCCTGCCTAGGCCTCCCAGAGTGCTGGGATTACAGGCATGAGCCACCGTGCCTGGCCTCATATCAATTTATACTCTTACTAGGAGTATCAGTTTTTGTATTGTTGTTCAACCTGCCCTTCAATACTTAATAGTAACTGGTTTTTAAAAATTTTGCAACTGTGCTTGGTATTGAGTTGTATCTCATTGTGGTTTTAGTTTGGATTTCCCTAGTTACTTATAAGTTGATCTTTTTCTATGCTTTTAGCCCGTTTGTATTTTCTCATCTCTGAATTGCCTGTTCAGGTTTTTTGGTCTCTTGTTCTATTAAGTTACATGCTGGAGGGGTGGTAGAGGTGGGAGTGCTTTCTTATTGACGCCTAGGAGTTCATCATGTATTCTGCACACCAAAACAGTTTAGGTTTAAAATAAATTTCCCTGCTTGTGAATTTTCTCCACTCATTATGGTTTCTCAATTTAATATGGTTAGACGGATTGATATTCTTTATTGCCTGCATTTTTATTTATTTATGAAATATTTCCCTACTATAAATTTCTAAATTCATTCTCACTGGTTTATACTTTTCACATTTAAATATTTTATCTATCCAAAATAAATTTTTAGATAAGGAAGGCATTTGATTTCATTTTCCTTATATGAATAAGAAATTGTCCCAACACTAATTAGTGAATTGTTTCACAATACATACATTAATAATTTGTGTATAATTTTTTAAGTTTTATAAGTGAGTGTTTATATAATCTATGCATAATTAAAGCTTCTTCCTTTCTATTCCTTACAACTCTCATTTCTTTTCCTTGCCTTGTGTACTGGTTTAGACCTGCAGCATAAAGACTGCTCACTGGTAGAGATGGTAGTCTTCCTTGTTTTATTTCAAATTAAAAAGGCATGCTTTTAACATTTTACCTTCGAGTAGGACATTTTGTTGTTGTTTTTCTAAACTTCATCAGGCAAAGGAAGTTACCCTTTATTTCCACTATAAAATTGTTGTTTCGTTTTTAACCCATTTATGCCTGAGGTTGCAATTTTTTTGAATTTTTGCAATCAGACCTTAGTGATGACCTTGAGCAGTAGGATATAAATAACTCCCACGTGCTTAGCGTTCCAATAATGGAACACTAGGCATAAGTATAAACTTTGGCTTAGCTTTGTCAAATCCTTCTCCTGTGTACTAATATGATTATCAGACAAATTTTTCCCCTTTTAATCTGGTAATCTTGTAATTTAGATAAATAGGTTTTTCTACTGTTAAGTCAATCTTGCTTTTTTGAAATAACCTAGTTATAGTATACTCCTATCTATTGTTGGATTCAGTTTGTTTTCTTGTATTTGGTTTAGGAATTTTTCATCTACAACCTTGAATAAGATTGGCTTATATTTTGCTTTTTAACATAGTCCTTCTCTGGTTTAAATATCAAGTTTGTAACAATTTAAGAGGAGTGTTTCCTCTGCTTTTCTCCGAATTTGTGTGAAGAGTGAAATTATCTGTACCATCACTATTAAGTAAGCACGATGTTTTATGTATGAGAAAAAATGAATTCTACAATTACGTACCATGATAACTCTTGTGCCACTCAAGGTTTTCACTTTTTCTTGAGTCAGTTTTAATGATCTATATTTTTCTATTATTTGTCTATTATGCCTGCTTCTAAATATATTGATATAAAAGTATTCACATGGTCTTTTACTGTTTCTAAAATCTCTGCTGAATTTGCATTTATGTCTATTTTCCTACTTTTGATATTTTTTAAAATTTGAGTATTTTGTCATATTTGGGGTTTTTCAATATTGCTAGAAGTTTCTTAATTTTTTAGAGTTTAAAAAAAAACAACTTCAGGCCAGATATGGTGGTTCACCCCTGTAATCCAGCACTTTGGGCGGCCAAGGCAGGTTTGGATGGCTTTAGCCCAGGAGTTCGAGGCCAGCCTGGGCAACATGGCGAAACCCCGTCCCTAGAGAAAATACCAAAAAATGTAGTCAGGTGTGATGGCGCATGCCTGTAGTCCCAGCTGCTCAGGAGGCTGAGGTAGGAGGATTGCTTGAGCCTGGGAGGTCCAGGCTGCAGTGAGCAGTGATTGCACCGCCGTACTCAGATTAAGTGACAGGGTGAGACTCCGTTTCAAAAGCTAAACCAAAAAAAGAAAAAAACTCAACTTCAAGATTTTTATACTTCTTTCTCTTTGTTTTCTATCTCATTTTATTTTATATTTGCATTTACTTTTATAATTCCACTCTAATCACTTTGAGTTTATTTGCTTGTGCTTTTTCCAGCTTCTTAAGTTGAACACTTAGTTCATTTTTTCTCATCTCATTTACTTCTTTTCCAATATCATCATTGAAGGCTATAAAATTCCTCCTAAGAAGCAATTTAATGCCATCCCACATTGTGTTAAATAGCAATTTTATTATCATTCAGTTATAAGCATTTAAAAATTTTTCTTTATTAATTCATCTTTAATTCATAAGTGATTCAGAGGTTTGTTTTTAAATTATAAAAATTTGTAGATTTTATCATAGAGTCCAGGGAGTCAAATTCTAACTCTTAAATTTCCCCTGTCACACCTATCCCTATCATCACAAATTGAATCCAGCATCTTTCCCACCATTGCCCTAGCCATCTTCTAGGCTTTCTAGGGAAGTCTGGAAGCCTTCCCCACTTCAGGACTCCAGGCAGCCTCTGCCAATCAACCAGGGATGAAACGTTAAATGTGGAAACTATTAAGCATCCCTGTTGTAGGCCCTGGGGAGCTATTTGGGCCTGTGTGCCAAAGCTGCTAGGCTCATCTTTGTGGTTAAGAAAATTCACTCTGATCTAGAGAGGGTAAAATATCACAACCTTTCCAAACCCTAGATTATTTTAAATTACAGGTATATAGATGCATCAATTAGATCAAAGGCATTTACTGGAAACCTACTGTGTTTAAGGCAATGGACTGTAAATAATGAAAAGGACTATTGCTGCCCTCAAAGAGTTTACAGTCAGCCTTGTAACATGACCTGTTCAACTCAAAAAGTCTTCACTGGGTGTGTTGCGTGTGTGTGTGTGTGTGTGTGTGTGCACCTGACACTGCTTTATGTGTGCAATCTCATTTCCCAGCCACTCTGGGAGCGAGCTGGTGTTATCTCCACTTCCCAGATAATGAAACAAGGCTTAGAGAAATGAAGTAGCTCACCCACGTTTGTCCAGCCAGTATTAGAGCTGAAATCCAAAGCCACATTTGTCTGACAGCACTGCACCGTGCTGCCTCCTTGGAAAAGATTACAAGGTTTTATTTTTTTCCCTTCCCATTTTGTCCACATGCTCTGCAATGGGAGAGCTGGATGGGAATTGATGGATAGGCAGTCACTGGCTTCTCTGCTGCAGAAAGTACATCCAGTCTTCAAGCTGCCCTGAATTACATAACGGTTAGTTGACTAAAAGAATCTTGCTTTGGGGGCCTGTTGTCTGTTTCCCTTATCTCCTCAGTACATTTTGGCCAACCAAGCAGAATGCTTATCTTGTAGCATTAGGGCTTTGGAAAAATGTATTCTCTCATGCTGAGTGCCCTTCCCTGGGGGCCTGTGTGACACAGAGTAAACAAGTCTTTCTGACCTTTTTTCTCTCTAATCTATACTGCCCAAGGCAGAGAAGTGGCCAGAAGTCTGGTCTGTGCCATGGAGAAGGCAGTTAGGGCTGCACAAATGCATATGTAACCATACAGTTCACATTACCTGAATATCGGCTATATGCCATGTGCATACATGACTTACACTTATCCCACTTCATCTTTAATTACTAGAATAAGTGTTATTATCCCCATTTTACCAATAAAGGCAGGGGACTCAGGAAATATGCATGATTTACCCACCACCACCCAGCCACTAACTGCCAGAACTGAGATTTAAACCTTGGTCTGTTGGACTGTCTTCTCTTAAAGACATGTATTTATATGCCATATGCTACTTCAGTTTCTGCAGATGTAAGAAGAAACAGTGAAGAGATAAAGGTACCCAACAGATGCATCATTATACACTAATGAGTTTGTTCTAGAAGGAAAAAAATACATATGCTATACAATCTCTGGACTATAATAAGATTTGTTCTCAGTCTTGCTAATCAAAGCATGGCCCTCAGACCAGTAACATGGCTTTACCTTGGAGCTTAGAAATGAAAATTCTTGGGTACCACCTCATACCTATTGCATTTTAACAAGAGCCTCAGGTGATTTTTTTTGTATATTGAATTTTAAGATTTCTACAAGACTCCAGGAAGGCCATTAAAATAACATTGTTTTTCATTTACAACCAGGTCTTTAATTCTGTATAGACACAGCCCTGTGGGTCTAGGCATGTACTCATTTATACATCTCCTCAAAAATACCAGTCTGTCCCTTGGAAACTACCATGGTCAGAATGTTTGTCTCCCTCAAATCTCCTATGCTGAAATCCTGAAACTGGATCCCTTCCTTACACCTTATACAAAAATTAATTCAAGACAGATTAAAGACTTACATGTTAGACCTAAAACCATAAAAACCTAGAAGAAAACCTAGGCAATACCATTCAGGACATAGGCATGGGCAAGGACTTCATGTCTAAAACACCAAAAGCAATGGCAACAAAAGCTGAAATTGACAAATGTGATCTCATTAAACGAAAGAGCTTCTGCACAGCAAAAGAAGCCACCATCAGAGTGAACAGGCAACCTACAGAATGGGAGAAAATTTTTGCAACCTACTCATCTGACAAAGGGCTAATATCCAGAATCTACAATGAACTCAAACAAATTTACAAGAAAACAAACAACCCCATCAAAAAGTGGGCGAAGGATATGAACAGACACTTCTCAAAAGAAGACATTTATGCAGCCAAAAGACACATGAAAAAATGCGCATCATCACTGGCCATCAGAGAAATGAAAATCAAAACTACAATGAGATACCATCTCACACCAGTTAGAATGGCGATCATTAAAAAGTCAGGAAACAACAGGTGCTGGAGAGGATGTGGAGAAATAGGAACACTTTTACACTGTTGGTGGGACTGTAAACTAGTTCAACCATTGTGGAAGTTGGTGTGGCGATTCCTCAGGGATCTAGAACTAGAAATACCATTTGACCCAGCCATCCCACTACTGGGTATATACCCAAAGGATTATAAATCATGCTACTCTAAAGACATATGCACACGTATGTTCATTGTGGCACTATTCACAATAGCAAAGACTTGGAACCAACCCAAATGTCCAACAATGATAGACTGGATTAAGAAAATGTGGCACATATACACCATGGAATACTATGCAGTCATAAAAAATGATGAGTTCATGTCCTTTGTAGGGACATGGATGAAGCTGGAAACCATCATTCTCAGCAAACTATCGCAAGGACAAAAAACCAAACACCACATATTCTCATTCATAGGTGGGAATTGAACAATGAGAACACATGGACACAGGAAGGAGAACATCACACACCGGGGACTGTTGTGGGGTGGGGGGAGGGGGAGGGATAGCATTAGGAGGTATACCTAATGTAAATGACGAGTTAATGGGTGCAGCACACCAACATGGCATAAGTATACACAAGTAACAAACCTGCACGTTGTGCACATGTACCCTAAAACTTGAAGTATAATAATAATAAAATTAAAAAAAAAAAGAAATCCTAACCCCCAAGGTCTTAAGAAGTGGGGCCTTTGGGAGGTGATTAGGTCATGGGATTAGTGCTCTCATAAAAGAGACCCAAGGGAGGGAGTCTGTTCACCTTTTCCACCAAGTGAAGACCCAGGAAGAGGCAACATCTATGTGTCAGGAAACAGGCCCATACCAGACACTGACTCCACTGATGCCCTGATCTTAAACTTCTCAGCCTCCAGAACTTGAGGAATACATTTCTGGGTTGTTTTCTTTTTGTTTTGTTTTTGTTTTTGAGATGGAGTCTCTGTCTTGTCACCCAGGCTGGAATGCAATAGCTTGATCTCGGCTCACCGCAACCTCCTCCTCCCAGGTTCAAGCAATTCTCCTGCCTCAGCCTCCTGAGTAGCTGGGATTACAGGCGCCCACCACCATGCCCGGCTAATTTTGTATTTTTAGTGGATACGGGGTTTCACCATGTTAGCCAGGCTGGCCTTGAACTCCTGACCTCAGATGATCCGCGCCCCCCTCGGCCCCACAAACTGCTGGGATTACAGGCATGAGCCACCGCAGCCAGCCAATTTCTGTTGTTTTTAATCTACCCAGTTTATGGTATTTCATTTTAGCAGCCTGAACAGAAACTAAGTCTCAATTCAAGGGTAAGATACTATCAATTATCTCGTTAGACTCATGGTTGTTTTTTTTACACTTTCTCTTTCCCTTCTTCCTTTTTTTTTTTTTTTAACGATTTACTGTTTGATTCATAGGCTTACATGTCTCTTGTCTCTTCCTTTAACCCACTCCCTAAATGATACTTCTTAAACTCAAACATAAGCATGCCATTTCCCAGCTTAAAAGTCATCAGCAACTCCCTATTGTTTTACAGGAAAGTCTCAATTTTCTTGGCTTCAGTGTCCTCCAAGTTCTGGTGCCATTTTAATTTCCCACCTCATACCTATACTTGAACTACTATCAAGTACTATCATTCCTCATGGATCTCAGAATACCACACATCCTTTACATGGCAGGGACACTGCCCACATTGCTCCTTACCTTGGCTGGAATAGGCATCTGCCCCTCTGCTGCCTCTCAGGCTCCCGCTGGAAGGTCCGTAAAGCCTACCCCATCCACTAGGAAGGGTTCATTGCTCATTGTCCCATCATCCCACATACCGTAAAAGTGGTTCTCAAACTTCAGTGAGCATCAGAATGACGGCGAAGGCTGGTCACCCCACGCCCAGGGTTTCTGATTCGGTAGGCCTGACTGGGGTCTAAGTATGTGCATTTCTAACAAGCTCCAGGCTGATCCTGATGCTGCCGCTCTGGGCTCCAGGCTTTGAAAGCCACTGTAATACAGGAGCACCAACCACATCGTGTGGTAATTAGTAGTTTTCCAAATCCGCCTCTGCCACGGGATTCTGAGTTCCTGAACAGGCTCAGCTGTGCCCATCCCTCACAGCTGTGCCCTCTCAGGAACTGAATGAAGGACTGGACCAGCACAGCATGGTGCGTTTGGAAACAGTCCTGACTGGGATCATGTCTCCCCCACTCGTTATCATGAAATGATTTCTTCATCTAAGAAGAAAATGTATCTCATGAAGCTATTGTGAGTGTTGAAAGAGAAGAGGCGTGAAGTCCCTAGCAGGTAATATGTGATCAGTCAGTATTAATGAGAGGAAGGGTGGGAGAAAGGAAGGAAGTTAGAAAGCAATGAAGGGAGCAGAAATCAGCCAACGTTTTGGCATCCTGGGCTGTGAGCTTGGTGTACAGGCAGCATTGCATGGGGACATTCTAGTCCCAAGCAAAGCGTGAGTGGAATTGTATAGGCAGATCCCAGAGCAGCGGCATGATTTTGAAACATTCAAGCTCTCTAAGCTCGTAGGCTTAAAGGTTACAGGGAGCGTTTTCCACTCTGATGAATAACAGAAGAGACACTCAGATATTCCTAAGTAGAACTCTAGCAGGAGAATGCGTTCAGCGGGGATTAGCAATCCCAGGTGCAAGCTGGGTTTAAGGAACGGACCAAGCTAGCAAATGAGACCAATCCCAGCGTGAGGCCTGGGATCTCTGGCTAGGGAGGCTGGTGGCTGGAGATTAAGCTCTATCAAGCTCTCTTATGTAAAAACTCTTGAACAAAAAGGCTTGATGAGCTTCTAGGTTGCTGAACACGTGCGCTGGGAAGGTGGAGCACCGAGAAAGGGTATGCAGGCTTCACGTCCTTCCTCCCATACCTCGCTCTCTGCATCTCTTCCATCTGGCTGCTCATCTGTAGCCTTTGTAATGTCCTTTGTAATAAATGGGTAAACATAAGTAAGGTGTTTCCCTGAATTCTATAAGACATCCTAGCAAATTAACCAAACTCAAGTTGTGTGTGGGGGGTGAGGGTCATGGGAAGCCCAGTTTGTAGTCAGTGTAGGTGACAACATACTACTTACTTTTTGTTTGTTTTACAACCTACCACTTGCATCTGGTGTCTGAATCGGAGGCAGTCTTGTGGGAGTGAGCCTTTAATCTGTGGGATCTGACACTGTCTCTAGGTTTGCTTTTCCTTCAGACCATATAAGGTATCATATTCACAGATTACAGGGATTAAGGCACTGATAATTGTGGGGGTTGGGGGAACATTACCCAGCCTACCATAAATAATAAAAGAAATACTGCTGAAAGCTTTGTCAAACTGGACTGGGTGTTTTAATTATATCATTTCTTTTTCTTTTTCTTTTTTTTTTTTTGAGATTGAGTCTCGCTCTGTTGCCCAGGCTGGAGTGCAGTGGTGCTATCTCAGCTCACTGCAACCTCTGCCTCCCAGGTTCAAGTGATTCTCCTGCCTCAACCTCTGAGTAGCTGGGATTACAGGCACCTGCCACCACGCCTGGCTAATTTTTGTATTTTTAGTAGAGACGGGGTTTTGCCATGCTGGCCAGGCTTGTCTGGAACTCCTGACCTTAGGTGATCCACCCTAATCCACTTAGCCACCCTACAAAGTAGGCATTAGAGAAGAGGGCCACACATTGTCATATACCAACTAAGATTTCAACCTTGACACCTCTGTGGAAAGTTCATCTGTTTTTTTTTTTTTTTAAGCATGATGATGGTTATAACCCTGGAGAACACCCTAAGTACAGAATATTCAAGTTGGTACCTGCATTACCTCCTGTCTTCACCCTGACACAAGAGTTCTTCTGTCCCCAGCTTAGGGTGAGGAAACTGACTGAAAGCAAACAAAAGTTCACCAGATCAAAGAATTCATATGTGAC